>NC_000001.11:115917471-116220501 GCF_000001405.40 Homo sapiens | reverse complement strand
AAAACTACCCATATCACCCAAAGACCACCAGGGATAAACCTGTAGCCTGACACACATACAGCAAAGGAGGATACTCCAGAGGACCTGCAGAGGCTGCTGAGCGGGGATCAGCTCTATACTGTTTCCTTTCCAAAGCTGGGAGAGGGAAAGTGGGGATAATTCAGTGCTATCTCGAGGCCAGGGCAGTTTAGCAATTGAGTAATCTCAGTAATAGAAGGATTTAACAAAGGGAGCCTGGGGGTGTTGTGGAAAGAAAAGTAGTAGTCACTCATTTTACAGCCACTGCATGACCTCAGGTAATACAAGGTCCCCTGTTAACTTTGGGGCTGATTTTTATCTATATCTGTCTCTCCAGCCTGATTAACTGGATTCCTTTTTACTTTTTCAGTCCAAAGTGACTTTCTTTTCACTCTTTCAGATCCTGACAATTGTTTACTCTTCCTGTGTCCTTTTTAGTATCTTTGTGGATTCAAGAATCTTTAGGAGGCAGATTTTTAAAAATGCATATCTGATCATCTCCTTCCCTAAGTAACATCCTTTAACAGCCTCTCAGAGCCTAGAGGGAAGTCTGAACTATCTTATGTAGCACACAAGGTTTTCCTCAGACTGGGACTGTTTCCCCAGCCTTGTATTCTATGACGCCTTCCCTTAATCTGTGAGATCCAGCCATAGAGAACCACCAGCAGCTCCCTGGACTGGCTGCCCTCCGTCCTAGCACACCTTTGTACAGATATTTTCATGGTTGGGGATGCTAAAAATAGTAATGACAAGAATAGTGATACTATTTTTTGATCACATACCATAGGTCAGGCACTTGCTAATGAATTTGCGTGCATCTTCATAACTATTCTATAAAATAGGTGCTATCATGATCTCCATTTTACAGATGAAGAAACTGGGACTTAAAAGAGGTTAAGAGGCGTACCCAAGGTCACACAGCTGATAAGTGACAGAGCTGGGATATGAATCCAGGATTCCAATGAAATGAATTATACTGTATATCCTCCTGTGTATATGACACGTTCCAATCATGTTTTAAAACTCAACTGTCACATCCCTTTAACCTTGAACTCTTCCCTGACTACTCTTTTCTAAGCGGTTGGTTAATTCTCCTCCACTGTATCTTATACATAATTGTGTTATATTACCCATCTCCCTTCTGTCCTGGGCATATGAGTAGCACCTACCCCCTTATCACAGCCAGGCACGGACACTGCTCGCCAACCTAGGCTGGAGCTGATTGAACAGGGAATGAATATCTAACCTCAAAGGGCTAGTCCTCAGGCTTGGAATGCAGCTGTGACGTCATGTTATATATCTACATCGAGAGCTCCTGGAAGGCTGTGTTGGCCATGGAAGCGCTCCACTCAGATGTCCTTCAAAAGAAGCTGCTGCAGGAAATGTAGTTGGCTGACAGCCTGCAGCTGCCACCTTTTGGATACACCATGGTATTCACATTTCTCCCAGTCTACCCTCAGCCAATGCACCCTAAGGAGTACGAAGTCTGGCCCATTTTTGTCCCATATGGGGCTCCTCTAGCAGACAGCCTTTGTTCTGGAGGCTCTCTGTTGACCCAGCTGAGATGTTCTCCACAGTGCACTGGGCCCATGCTCTTCCTTCCCTCCCTCCTTCCACAGCTGCCAGTCTTGCATCACAGTCTGAAGACTCTCCCACCTGCTCCTGCTTCCCTCCTTTATCTTTCATAAGCATTCCCTCCAATGTACTTATTGCACATCACATCCTGTTTTGGCATCTGCTTCTTGATGTAATACCAGGTATCATCTCTAGATACCTGGCACTTACCACCCAGACTGACACATAGCAAGTGCCCAGTAAATGTCTGCTGAATGAATGAAGGGAAAGGAGCAGTCTCCTTTCCCCAAGTGTTGCTATTTTTCCCCCAATCTTTTTTGTTGTTGTTTTGTTTTGTTTTTTTTTTTTTTTTTGAGATGGAGTCTCGCTGTGTCACGCCCAGGCTGGAGTGCAGTGGCGCAACCTCTGCCTCCAGGGTTCAAGCAATTCTCCTGCTTCAGTCTCCCAAGTAGTTGGGATTACAGGTGCCGCCACCATGCCCAGCTAATTTTTTGTATTTTTAGTAGAGACAGCGTTTTGCCATATTGGCCAGGCTGATCTTGAACTCCCGACCTCAGGCAATCTGCCTGCCTCAGCCTCCCAAAGTGCTGGGATTACAGGTGTGAGCCACTGCACCCGGCCACCCCAATCCATTTCTATATCACTTCCAGATTAATCTTCCTGGAACATGCCTTTGTGCATATGACTTCCTTTCTTTGCCACAGGCAAATAACAGGTTTTGCTCTTATAATCAAGAGAAAATACAAAGCCTTTTTAAAAAATGTGGTAATGCATCATAGAGATATTAATGATGTGGGATGCCATCTCTCTAATTGCATTATGGGTTTGGAAAAAAAGAAGAAATTAAAAGTGACAGGACCATTGAGTAATGGAAATGGATTTGAAAGTGTTTTTAGAAAATCGGAACTTTGCCAGAGTGAAAATGCCTCTGTGCCTTCCATTCCCAACATGATTCCTTTTAGAGTTCTATGTGGTGGGTTTGGGTATCTGCTTGTTTCCCTCATTATTCTACCCCGAAGAGCTCAGAATCCTCATTCATCCACCGAGGCACCAGTTTCCCCTATCACACTCTCTACTTCAGGATTCAATGTCTTCCATAGTCGCCCACTTCCCATAGGTGACATAGGGCTGCCACAGTGTTCAGCTCCAAGGAGGTATCCTTCCCATCACAGTTTCTGAGACTGGCAGCCCGTTGGCTGTGTAGTATACAACCCTGTGTAGATTCTCCTTCCCTAGGGCAGTCCTCAGGAGAACTTCCTTCTACCCCAGACTCTGCAGCTTGAAACCAACCCAAAACAATTCCTATGTGATGAGATCCGTTCTGCCTTCCCTGGCAAATTTCCTTGAGAAAGACTATGCATGTAGTGCTTTGGGCATGACAGTCCAGGAAAGGGGTAAAATAAGCATCATTTTGAAGCCTTAAACACAGTCTTTAGTTCTGCAAATACCATAATGACAGACTTGCATTCTCAGTACTAGGAAATTTTGTGGCACTGGAGCTTAGAAACGTCCTGGGCATGTAAGCATGCTTTATTCTTATTTGTGTCTGGGATCCAAGAAAAAAAATGAGGAGTTTGAATGCTGGTTCACACCGCACTCTCATGGAGGCAGAGAGAAGCAGCTCTACAACTGCATTTATGTGATGAGAAGGTGAATAAAATACATCTTTGTGGGTCCTCTGGTGCATTCTGGGCTATGGGAACTATGTGAGTGCAGCATCAGGATCACATTTTAATAAATCGGTGGCCTAGAGCAGAGGCAGAGGCAAGGCCTGGACAGATGGAATGGAGCCTCCTTGTACATAAAAGACTGGGTCAGAAATGCTCATGTTTGCTGCTGAAAATTAGAAACATAATAGGTTTAAATGATGTCAAGGGGTTACCTTGCTAGAACCACAAAATAGCATACATTAAGCTTCCTTGCACATACCCCATTCCCACCCCCTCCCCCCACCCCATTCTCTCTGGGTAGCTGTGAAGGGCCCTATCTAGCCATTCCTGAAGCCTAAGGCACGCTTATTCTCATGAAGTCAATTCCAATATTTGTTTCATATCCATATGCACCTTTATTTCACAGAATAAAAATATGAAGAATTCAAGTAAACATAATTTTTTAAGACCTCATATTTTTGGTAGGAAACAAGAAAGGTCTAGTTAAAGAATCACACTCAGTTTGTAAAGCCAGATTTTTCTTTTTTTTTTTTTTTGTTTCCACTCAATTTTTTAATTACTATACTTCAAAATAATGTCATTAATAAAACTAAATCACAAGCTGGGAAAGTATTTGAAACAACAATATTCTTTTTAAAATTTTTTTGAATTTTGCTAATTCTTCATTCTGGTCTGAAATAATATTCTTTTTTTTTTTTTTCTTTCAGAAGACAAGGCCTTGGCTATGTTGCCCAAGCTGGTCTCCAACTCCTGGGCTTAAACGATCCTCCCGCCTTGGCCTCCCAGTGTGCTGGGATTACAGGCATGAGCCACTGTGCCCAACCCTGAAACAATATATATATATATTTTAATTATTATTATACTTTAAGTTTTAGGGTACATGGGCACAATGTGCCGGTTAGTTACATATGTATACATGTGCCATGCTGGTGTGCTGCACCCATTAACTCGTCATTTAGCATTAGGTATATCTCCTAATGCTATCCCTCCCCCCTCCCCCTACCCCACAACAGTCCCCAGAGTGTAATGTTCCCCCTCCTGTGTCCATGTGTTCTCATTGTTCAATTCCCATCTATGAGTGAGGACATGTGGTGTTTGGTTTTTTGTTCTTGCGATAGTTTACTGAGAATGATGATTTCCAATTTCATCCATGTCCCTACAAAGGACATGAACTCATCATTTTTTATGGCTGCATAGTATTCCATGGTGTATATGTGCCACATTTTCTTAATCCAGTCTATCACTGTTGAACATTTGGATTGGTTCCAAGTCTTTGCTATTGTGAATAGTGCCGCAATAAACATACGTGTGCATGTGTCTTTATAGCAGCATGATTTATAGTCCTTTGGGTATATACCCAGTAACGGGATGGCTGGGTCAAATGGTATTTCTAGTTCTAGATCCCTGAGGAATCGCCACACTGACTTCCACAATGGTTGAACTATTTTACAGTCCTACCAACAGTGTAAAAGTGTTCCTATTTCTCCACATCCTCTCCAGCACCTGTTGTTTCCTGACTTTTTAACGATTGCCATTCTAACTGGTGGTATCTCATTGTGGTTTTGATTTGCATTTCTCTGATGGCCAGTGATGATGAGCATTTTTTCACGTGTCTGTTGGCTGCATAAATGTCTTCTTTTGAGAAGTGTCTGTTCATATCCTTTGCCCACTTTTTGATGGGGTTGTTTGTTTTTTTCTTGTAAATTTGTTTGAGTTCATTGCAGATTCTGGATATTAGCCCTTTGTCAGATGAGTAGGTTGCGAAAATTTTCTCCCATTTTGTAGGTTGCCTCTTCACTCTGATGGTAGTTTCCTTTGCTGTGCAGAAGCTCTTTAGTTTAATTAGATCCCATTTGTCAATTTTGGCTTTTGTTGCCATTGCTTTTGGTGTTTTAGACATGAAGTCCTTGCCCATGCCTATGTCCTGAATGGTAATGCCTAGGTTTTCTTCTAGGGTTTTTATGGTTTTAGGTCTAACGTTTAAGTCTTTAATCCATCTTGAATTAATTTTTGTATAAGGTGTAAGGAAGGGATCCAGTTTCAGCTTTGTACCTATGGCTAGCCAGTTTTCCCAGCACCATTTATTAAATAGGGAATCCTTTCCCCATGTCTTGTTTTTCTCAGGTTTGTCAAAGATCAGATAGTTGTAGATATGCGGCGTTATTTCTGAGGGCTTTATTCTGTTCCATTGATCTGTATCTCTGTTTTGGTACCAGTACCATGCTGTTTTGGTTACTGTAGCCTTGTAGTATAGTTTGAAGTCAGGTAGCGTGATGACTCCAGCTTTGTTCTTTTGGCTTAGGATTGACTTGGCGATGTAGGCTCTTTTTTGGTTCCATATGAACTTTAAAGTAGTTTTTTCCAATTCTGTGAAGAAAGTCATTGGTAGCTTGATGGGGATGGCATTGAATCTATAAATTACCTTGGGCAGTATGGCCATTTTCACAATATTGATTCTTCCTACCCATGAGCATGGAATGTTCTTCCATTTGTTTGTATCCTCTTTTATTTCCTTGAGCAGTGGTTTGTAGTTCTCCTTGAAGAGGTCCTTCACGTCCCTTGTAAGTTGGATTCCTAAGTATTTTATTCTCTTTGAAGCAATTGTGAATGGGAGTTCACTCATGATTTGGCTCTCTGTTTGTCTGTTATTGGTGTATAAGAATGCTTGTGATTTTTGTACTTTGATTTTGTATCCTGAGACTTTGCTGAAGTTGCTTATCAGCTTAAGGAGATTTTGGGCTGAGACAATGGGGTTTTCTAGATATACAATCATGTCGTCTGCAAACAGGGATAATTTGACTTCCTCTTTTCCTAATTGAATACCCTTTATTTCCTTCTCCTGCCTAATTGCCCTGGCCAGAACTTCCAATACTATGTTGAATAGGAGTGGTGAGAGAGGGCATCCCTGTCTTGTGCCAGTTTTCAAAGGGAATGCTTCCAGTTTTTGCCCATTCAGTATGATATTGCCTGTGGGTTTGTCATAGATAGCTCTTATTATTTTGAGATACGCCCCATCAATACCTAATTTATTGAGAGTTTTTATCATGAAGTGTTGTTGAATTTTGTCAAAGGCCTTTTCTGCATCTATTGAGATAATCATGTGGTTTTTGTCTTTGGTTCTGTTTATATGCTGGATTACATTTATTGATTTGCGTATATTGAACCAGCCTTGCATCCCAGGGATGAAGCCCACTTGATCATGGTGGATAAGCTTTTTGATGTGCTGCTGGATTCAGTGTGCCAGTATTTTATTGAGGATTTTTGCTTCAATGTTCATCAAGGATATTGGTCTAAAATTCTCTTTTTTAGTTGTGTCTCTGCCCGGCTTTGGTATCAGGATGATGCTGGCCTCATAAAATGAGTTAGGGAGGATTCCCTCTTTTTCTATTGATTCGAATAGTTTCGGACGGAATGGTACCAGTTCCTCCTTGTACCTCTGGTAGAATTCGGCTGTGAATCCATCTGGTCCTGGACTCTTTTTGGTTGGTAAGCTATTGATTATTGTTCCTTGAAGCCTGACTAAAACTGCATTTTCCTTAAGACTTAATGTCAAAACTGAATTCCTTGTAAGATTTTTGTGGAAAAAGACACAAAATGTGGCATGAGTGTCGGGCTGTCTGGAGGGCACTGTCAGGACCCTAATCTTGACACTAATACTGGCCTGAATGACTGGCTGGGGTAGGGTGGGGCCAGTGCCAGTTCCCAGGAATGTTGCTGCCATGGTTGGAATGTCGGTTTCCCAAAGCACTTCCTTTCCCCTCAAAGCAGTGAGGCTTGGAACTGGATTCTGTAAAATTGCTATAGAACTGAACTGAGCTGGGCTTCCAGGCTTCCCCACAGGCATGGCCAGGGAGTGGCAAGAAAGAGGAATCCCTTCCCTGCACAGATTCTTCATGAATGTCACATTTATAACCATTTTTATAAGATGAAATTGTGGCATGATGGTTGCTTAGCCTAGGTGAAAATTCATTGAGAAGCATAAGGAAACCGAAGAGTTTGATCAGTTTGCAATTGACTCCTATACAAATTCATCCATTTGTATGAATCTGTTCAGGCTGCCAATATGAAATACCATGGACTGTGTGGCTTAGACAACAGAAATGTATTTCTCACAGTTCTACAGCCTGCAAAGTCCAAGATCAAGGTGCAGGCCAATTTGGTTCCTGGTGAGGGCTCTCTTCCTGGCTTGCAGAGGGCCACCTTCTCTCTGTGTCCTCTCATGGCAGAAAGAGAGGAAGCAAGCTCTAGGTTTCTCTTCTTATGAGGACACTAATCCTATTGGATCAGGGCTCCATCCTCATAACCTCATTTAACCTTAATTACCTCCTCCTAAGCCCCATTTCCAAGTACACTGGAGGAGTTAAGACTTCAACATATGGATTGGGGGTAACCCAATTCAGTTGATAATAGTGGTCAAACAGCAAGACACTCAGGGAAGGTGGTGCTTTTTGAGGTGTTTGCTGCCCTCCCAGTCAAAGTCCCAGGCCTCAGCCTCTGGCCTGCCCACCCCCAGGCTCCCTTGCCCCATCTTTTTTTTTTTTTTAAATTTTTAGTTCTGGGATACATGTGCAGAACATGAGGGTTTGTTACATAGGTATACATGTGCCATGGTGGTTTGCTGCACCTATGAGCCCATCACCTAGGTTTTAAGCCCCACATGCATTAGCTATTTGTCCTGATGTCCCTCACTCAACAGGCCTCACTGTGTGTTGTTCCACTCCCTGTGTCCATGTGTTCTCATTGTTAAGCTCCCACTTATGAGTGAGAACATGTGGTGTTTGGTTTTCTGTTCCTGTGTTACTTTGCTGAGGATGCTGGCTTCCAGCTTCATCCATGTCCCTGCAAAGGACATGATCTCATTCTTTTTTGTGGCTGCATAGTATTCCATGGTGTATATGTACCACATTTTCTTTATCTAGTCTGTCATTGATGGGCATTTTGGTTGGTTCCATGTCTTTGCTATTATGAATAGTCCTTGCCCCATCTTAGAACCTGGCTGTGTTTCTGCCACACCACCCGGAGAGGTGGGATTGTAGCTCCTAAAATGTGGTACAGGAACACAAGCTGCAGAGCTGTCAGAATAGCAGTCTGTCTTGATGAGTCTGCAGCACCTAGGCATTACCCACTTGTCCCTGTCTGCCCTCATGGCCAATGGCCAGGCCCTGGAATGGGGAGAAACTTAGGAAGGAAGAAGAGGAAGCAGAGAGTGACAAATCTCATCTCTTACTTAACAGAAGCAAGAACACACCTGGGACAGAAGGAAGATGACTTATAAAGTCTGCTCTTGGGCGGGCTTCCTCATACATTTCATAGTTTTCACCATTTAGGATCTTGGGGGCCTTTGCATGTCTGGCCTAGGATGTGGAGAAAATTCATCATACGCAAAGGCCAGGTTTGAAGGCTAAATAAAAACAGGTGTGAATAAAAACATGGGATTTACCTCAGATTACAAACAGCTCAAATGATAGCCACAGAACTGTCTCCAGTCCCCTTCATTCCTCCTTTTCACCCTGGAAAACGCTGTAGCTTCCACCCCTGCTTTCCCTCAGCCTGCACCCCACCCCGCCACTGTGGCTGCTATCCTCTCTCCACCTTTGCTTTATAGCAGTGAATGTCAACGCCCTTCAAAAGCTCAGGGACATCCTTCCATTGTTAGAGTGTCCAGCCACACCACTCAGGCTGCACCCACTCAAGATTTTATTCTTCTAGGGGTAAGTCACTGCTGCCGTCTTGCCCATGTGCTTCCGCAAGTAGATAAAGGAAGAAAAAGGAAAGTTGGTGCTGGGCCAACTCATGTAGCACTTTATGAGTCTGGGTGGGTTCCTGGCTTAAGTGTCTGAGCGGAATGGCAAAGGCAGTAAGGGGAACAATCCTATCACTCTGGACAGGGGCAGGAAGTCATGCCTCTCTGGTGGTGGGAGGTCACATGGGGTAAGGGACCTAGGATGGTGTCATTAACAAAGCATGACTTTGGGCTCCAACAGACCTGGCTTGGAAGTCCAAAATTCTGATCCAAGCATCCTGGGCAAGTCACCCAGGTTTGCTGAGCCTCAGTTTCCTCATGTGTATACAAGGGGTCCCCATCTCCTTCGCAGGGTTGCTGTGGAGGCTAAAGGATGTGATCCACTTAAAACACCTAGAGCAATGCCTGGCATGAAATAGGAGCTGGGAACACATTAGGTTCCCTCTTTCCCTCTCCTATCTTCCTCCTCCCCGTCCTCCTCCTAATAGGAGAGAAATCATCCCTATACACGTGTACTGTCCATAGAAAGGTTCAGAAAAGCATCCAGCCATCCCGCAAAGGCAGGCTGCCGTGCACACGGAGGGCATATTTCTCACTTGGAAACAGAAACAGATGGGAGAAAATACGGGGACACACGAACACATGTGCCTCTACTGAGGGGGACCTGAGCACACTCATTTGTTTCACCTCAACACTGTACTTGCAATGATTTATTAGTTAATTCTCACATCTTGGACTTGTGGCAGGAATTTAAATTCCCTTTTAAAAGCAGCTCTTATCATGATTCAACTCCATTATCATTATTCAATATTTATTATGTTCAGGACCTTCTTTCAGATGCAATATATTTACTTCAGTCTGGAAAGCTGAAGGCTGAGATGGGCTGCTTAAGATGCCCATAAAATCCCCAATAGCACACAGAGATGGAAAAGCAAGTCCTAGTTGACCCAACCCCAGTGTTGTAGGTTTAGGAATGGGTCAGTGACATTTGAGCAAAAGGACTTTTAGGTAAAATGAAAAGAAATGCTTTTTTTGTTGCCAACAAGTATTAAACTCACAAAACTCACTATCCAAGAGGAGTTGAGTGTGAGCACAGAAAGCATGTCAAAAGAAGTTTCAGGTAAATTCCTGGTGCCGACCTCTGTGTGGGGTGCCCTTGGCCCTCTGAACTTGCTATTAGGAAGACAGCCCAGCATCTTGTGGGGCCTATAGAAAGAGAACACTGTACTCTTGGGCCTTGTGGTTCTGGCCCATGCAGCAATTCATGTGCCCATGGGATTGTCCTTGTGGATTTCTTAGATTTGTGATTTTCCAATGTTGTTCATCTGAATTTGCAGGAGGAGGAGGAAGGGATCCTGGAGAAAAGGGCTTTTCAGCAGGGGGTAATTTCCCAGGCAGCATGCTGAACAGTGATTTTTTTTTTCTGCTTAAAACTCCAAAGATCTACACAGTTTTAAGACTGCAACAATCTCACAAAAGCACGAAGCATTTGTGTTGGAAAAGAGTTGTTGGGCCATTCCACTTACTGCAGCTTCTACCCTGAACAGTTTTGTGCAATGGCAATTAGATTCAGAAATAGAAACAGTGACAGTGCTAGAAATGCAGTTGCTGAGCTATGTATCTTTGAGGCAAAAAAAAGTCTATGTACCTAAGGACTGAACATTTTCTCATTTATGCAATAAAATGTTTGGACACCAACTCTGAGCCATGTGCTTGGGATATAAGGATGAAGAAGACACATAGCTGCCTTCTGAGAGCTTATCCAGTGGGGGCAAGAGGCAAATAGCTGCAGTACTGTAGGTGTTATGAGCGCAGGGAGGACAGAGGGTCCATCTTCACTTGCAGGAGTTAGGACATGAAGGACAACTGGTAGTTCTGTGATGGAGGTGAAAGGGGAGGAGAGGGTTTCAGGCAGATATAAGAGTGAGGAACATTGGGGAAACTAGCATGTACTATGGGTAGAGTTCAGGCTGCCCCAGAGAAAGGGGGAAGGAGGTAAGTCTGAAAAGAAAAGAAGACAAAGAAGACATTGAGGGTGGTGGTCTGAGCTAAGGAACTGGGCTTTGATCTTAGAAGGAAGCTGGGAAGAAGTATGATCGGATCCTAATTTTTGGTAGATCATCATTTGAAGGCCTAGCTGAGGATGAGACTGGAAATAAGGAAATAAGTTCAGTGACTTGCAATACCTAGATGAGGAATGACTGGGGAGAAAAGCAGAACACCGAGGTTAAAGATGTAGAGGCAGATCTGAGAGTTATTGAAACGGAGGACCAATAGGCCTGGGTTGCCAGGGGCGTAATGGGGAGGGAAAGAAGAGGGAGAGATCAGAAATGACTCCCTGGTTCCTCTGAGTAGATGAAGGTACCATTCACTGAATAGTAACTGAGCGGTAAGGGAAAGATGTGACAGAAAATACTGATTAGGGCTTTTAACATGTTGCCCTTGATTTCTGTATGAGGCAGCCACACACAGATGTCCATCAAACTGTGTACATGCAGTCCCAAGATCAGGAGAGTGGTGTGGAGATCCCAGATCCCAGGGACATCAGCAGATGGAGGTAAAAACTTGCTGTTATGGTCTGAATATTTGTGTCCTCCCAAATTCATATGTTGAGACCTGACCCCCAATGTGACAGTATTAAGAGGTGGGGCCTTTGGGGAGCAGTTAGGTCATGAGGGCTCTGCCCTCTTGAGTAGAGTTAGTGTCCTTATTCAAGAGACCCAAGGGAGCTTGTATACCCTTCCTTCTTCTTCCATATGAGGACACATAGAAGCCACCATCTATGAGGAACAGGCCCTTACCAGATACCAGATCTGCTGGCACCTTCATCTTGGGCATCCCAGCCTATAGAACTGTGGGTAATAAATTTGTTTTATATAAATTACCTCACCTATAGTATTATTTTAGCAGCCCAAATGGTCTAAGACACTTGTCAAGGGAGAGGCCAAAACATGAGCAGAGTCACAGACTGAACATGCTGCTCCAAAAACACCAAAGGCAGAGGAAAATGAGCTCAGCAAGAAAGGCAGGCAAAGAGGAGGAAGCAAAGCGTCTCATCAGGAAACAAGGAAAGGATGACTTTGGAAGAAAGGGGATGTATTCCACAGTATCAGATGATGCAGAAGTCAGTGAAGGAAGACTCACTGGGGAGAGGCGGAGAGAAGCCGGAAGACAGCGGGTCAAGGAAGTGGTAACAGAAGGTAGATGATTTCATCCAGAAGCTCAGCTGGGAAGGGAAGGAGAGAGCTTGGAGAGTGCACTGAGGAGGAAGATTCAGGAGGGGAGACTGGAACACAGTTATTTGCACCGGACGAATTGTAGAGGAGATTTAGAAAAGAGAGAGAAAATGGATGGGGCACAAATGCAGGAGACAGTCAGAGCTTAGCTTCAGTGTAGAGTGCTCTGTTTTCCCTCCCTGTTTTATCCACTCCCTGCAACCCTAGGACATTCATGTGGACCACTCGCCTAACATCTTCACACACCGCTTTTCATCACAGTTGTTGAAGCATACATTTTATCTCTTATAACTAATTTTGAATCTCTTCTAGGGCAGGGACTCCATCTTAAACATTTTTGTTGCAATCCATGGTGCTCTTAAAAAATTATATATGTAATATATATAAGGCATATATTAAAATATTATTTATAAAACCAATTATATATACTATTATATATAAAATATTATACACATATCAGGTTTCCATTTTTTTTCAGTTGAGGTACAATCTTTGAGATAAAAGACACAAAAAGTATACAGCTTGATGAAATTTTACACATGTATACACCCATGAAACCACTAGTCCAACATACATAGAGACTATTTCCAGCACACTAGAAGGCTCTCTCATGGCTCCACCAGGTCAGTGTTCCACCGCAAAGTAACCACCATTCTGATCTCTATCACTGTCTAGTTTTCCCTGCTCTTGGCCTTCTTATAAATGAGATCACATGGTATGTGTTCTTTTGTAGCTAGTTTGTTTCTCTCAACAATGTCTCCTGTTGTGTGCAGTGGTTAGTAAGTTCTCTTTTTTATTGCCATGAAGTATTCTATTGTGTAAATATATTCGTTTTTCTATCCATTGACAGATACTAGGGTTTCTCCCAGTTCGGGGCTATTATAAATAATGCTTCCATGAACGTTCTTGTATGTGTACACTGGAGTCATAGCACTCACTCTGTTGGGTAGATGCCCAAGAATATCACAGGGCCATAAGGTAGACCTTTGTTCAGATTTACTAGACACTGCCAAAGCATTTGTGCCAATTTATATGCTTGCAGTGTAAGTGCTCCACCTATACAATATTTTTCAGTAAAATACATTTCTATGATGAATGCTTAAAACCCTGAAAAGAACAACTACCTTCAAGAACCCTCAACACTGCAGAAGTATCTATTGATATGCTAACAATTGCTATGTAAATAACACATCATTCCTGTACCTGACTTCTGTTATATAACCCTGTGTTGGTCTAGTTTGAGTTAAGGTAAATTTTTGAATATAAAATAAGCAAATTTATTTTAAAATGGTTTCATAATTTATGATTGTCAACGGTTTTAAAAGGCTCTCTCACCTTTCATTCAGATTCAGAGGATTATAGATCTGATTTTTCCTAAGATCTAGCAGATCTGCCTTATCCCAACCATATGATGTGTGCATCTTGGGTGTCTTAAGAGTCAGCATTAACTGAATTATTCTCTCATGGCTTCACTCTAAAAATATATATATTGAGCAGCTACCCTGTGTCAGGCATTGTGCTAGGCTCTGGGAAAGTAGTGGGTTATGAAGATCATCAGACATGGATTCTGCCCTGAAAGAAGTTAGTCTAGAAAAAGACCTGGACACAAAGAACAGTGATGTGGAATAGAAAAGTCTCACATGTAATTGAAAGTGTTTGTACCAGGGAAGGGGGCTACCAAGTTATGTGGAACTTTAACAGAAGAAGCTGCCATTTAAAACAAGCAGAAAACAAGTTTTCTGTCTGAGTGGAGGCAGCAGGTCACGTGAGGGCAGATCTTTGTTCTCAAATCATGTGGGTGATCTCTCAATGTAAACATCGGAAGTACCCATTATCTAGAGGGAAAAACAAGTGTCAGGAACTTTTTTGGACTTCACAAAGCCTACCCTTCCAAACACCCTTACAGAGAAATTGGGTCAAATTGCTTACAGTTAGAGAATCTCTTGGAACCTTGAAGTCCTAGACCCTGACATGTTTACAGTCTTTCTGATTGTAAAATCTCAATAAGTTTTCCAGAATGATGCTGGCTGGCAGGAAAGGGCCCAACCTCATTGAGCTCAATGCTAGGCCTAGATGGTTCCCTAGAGTGCTGGTTCTGGCACAGTGAGCACTTGAGGGCAGGAGCCTCTCTGGACCAATGGCAGCAGCCTCTGGGGCAGAGGCTGAGTGTGTGAATGTGACCTTGGAATCCGAGAATAGAGCATCCTTAGCTAACATGACTTGGAAGGGAGTAGGAGTAAAATATGAACACTTAAAAGTGAGTTCCTTTACTTCCAGATGCTGAAGAGTTTCATACCAATTGTAGGCTACAGCAGATATTATTGGTTATTGTAGCAGAGTTGTCATCTCATTTTCCTTCCAGATCTCTTTACTATTTTTGTGTGTGCCAGCTTCTATGGCCTTCCTATAGGAAAAAATATCAAAGAAAATGACCTTCCTTATATATTCTTCTTCTAAGTTCATTTTGGCCCACATCCACTCACAGCAGAGTTCTTCTGTGAGGGTGAAAGGAGCTGACCCAGATAGAAAGCAATGGGTAGAGAGTGGCACATGGTGAAGAATAAGGAGGGCCAAGCTTACCTGGGTGCTCTGTGCACAGGTTTAAAAGACAATACAGGCTGGGTGCTGTGGCTCACACTTGTAATTCCATCCCTTTGGGAGGTCAAGGTGGGAGAATTGCTTGAGGCCAGGAGTTCGAGACCGGTTTAGGCAACATAGTGAGATCCCACCTCTAGAAAAAAATTGAAAAATTAGCCAGGCACGGTGGTGTGCACCTGTAGCCCCAGTTACTCAGGATGCTGAGGCAGGAGGATTGCTTGAGCCCAGGAGTTCAAGGTTATAGTGAGCTACACTAGCACCACTACACTCCAGCCTGGGTAACAGAGCAAGACCCTGTCTCTCAAAACACAGAGCAAGACCCTGTCTCTCAAAACAAAAATGAAAGATCAGGGAAAAGACAATACAGTGACTCCTAGCATTTCAGAGATGAAAGCCTCCAACATATCTGTTTCTTGACTGGTGTTGTGCCAGTCTGGGTTGTTAGCCTCTATGGTTGGTGTACACTATCATTCTGGGATCTTTTTTCACTATCTTTTGGAAAATACCTTTTACTTCTCTTCTGTGTTTAAATTTCTGCTTTTGTTATATCTTCCCCTTTATTGAGAAAGGTTGCATGGAAAATAAATTTTTGAGACTTTGCATATTTAAAAGTGTGTTATTTTATCATCACACTTATTTGATAATTTGGCTAGGTACAAAATTCCAAGTTGGAGAGCATTTCCTTTCAGAACTTTGACTATATTGCCTCAATTTCCACTGATGCTATTGAGAAGCCCAAATTCACTTTAACTTCTGCTCCTTTGTATGTGACTTGTGATGCTCTGAACTCTTATAGACTTGCTTCCCCCCAGCAAGTTTTCTTTTTTTTTTTTTAATTTTCCAACTAGGTGGCTAAATGTGGATTTGTTTTTATTTGTTGTGTTGGGCATTTCATGTATTCCTGGAAACTTAAAAATTTTGTCTTTTATCTCTGGGAAATTTTGTTGAACCAGTTTATGGTTTCCCCCTTTCTGTTTTCTTTCTTCTCTGTCTCTGAACTCCTATTATTTAAATATTGAACTTCTTGGACCAGTCTTCTCATTTTGTTTTATTTTCTCTCCAATTTTCTATCTCTTTGACTTTTTGCTCTACTTTTTGGAAGATTTACTACTGAGTTTTTCCATTTCTACTATCATGGTTTTAATTTCCAAGAATCCAATTTTGGCCTCTGAATGTTCCTTTTTTGTTTTGTCCTGTTCTCTTTTCTGGGATATATTATCTTCTCTTATCTCTGTAAAGAAATAATATATACATGCACTTTCATTCTCCTCTCCCTGCATATTCTTATTCCCCCACACAATGCTGTTTGTTGCTTGTTTTGCTGTTTGTCATCCACAATATTAGCTTTCTTCAGGTGTTTGGTAATATTGGGATACCTTATCATGATTAAGAGTATGGATTTTTTAATCTGATTGGATGCTCTTATGCTGATTAAAATCTCTGGGCAAGTGGGTGGAGCTTTGGCTAGGGTTATTGGAGAACCTCTTATGTCAGTATTCTTAGGTTTGTCCCTCTTGGGCTATACAGATTGCCTAAGCACTCCACGTGCTTAAAATAGTGCATAACACATACCATATGCTCAACAGATGTTGGTTACTATTAATATTGTTGTATAAAATATGCACACAGAGAAACAAATATACACACAACTAAAGTCCATATCCTTGCCGGGATCTTCTTCATACAGATTCACAAAGGAGTAAGCATTCTCAAAGGTTCGGACGCAAACTTTAAATGGTGGCTTTGATGCTTCAAGGTTGGTGGGCAGATGATTGAGAACAAGAATGAAAGGAAGACACTCAGGACCTATGTAGGAGAGGGTGGAGAGGCAGCTGATTGAGAAGGTGTAAGTGGCTAGAAGATGCCAAGTAGTCACAATGGCTTCTAGAACATACTAGTGTTTTTCTCATTAAACCAGTGTCTAAACACTTTAAATATTTGCAGTTCCAGTGGAATGGGTTTTGGCACACTTGGGGGCAGATTTGTTAATTAGCTCCATGGCTCCTCTGGCGGCCGTCTGTTTTATGGGTGATGGCACCAAAGGACCAACCCTGCCAGGGAAGAGAAGGAATATTCCATTAATCTGGCTGTGGGTTATTAAGCCACTTTTTCTTCCTGTCACAAACAGATTGTGAATCACACTATGTTCTCTCCCACCGTTCCTCTCTGCCTCCTCTCCCCGCTTTGACAGCCTGGGGAGGATGGTGAGACTAGCAAAGCCACACTGTTCTGAAGCCTGGGGAGTGCTGGCCTGTCTGGTTCTTGGTAATGGGAATGGTGCTCTTTTCTGTCTTCCCACAGCTGTCAGTCCCCAGCTACCTGGGAGTTCCCTCCAGAAACCTGACCAGCAGCTTCCGCAGTGCCTGGTCACTGCCAGAGTGGTGGATTCCTCCCAGGAGTTGTAGTCTTTGGCAGGGGATCAGCTCCATGAGCCACTGATTTCAACTGCTCAGCATCTTTATCTCAGCCCTCCTTGTGTATCTGCCTCTCTCAATTCAATTCTAATAACTTTATTGGCACAAAGAGATGGGGAGAGCACTGCCAAAGTCAATAATGGAGTTTCTGCAACCAGGCTAATTTTTGTTGTTGTTGTTTCAGTGTGGATGAGAGGTGTATGGGCTCATATTGCATTTCATCTTTGAATTATTCTCTGGTTAAGTTCATATTAGGAGGCAGGAGTCAGATTGTTTCTCTAGTTACGCAGCCTCATTCTTTTCTCCTTCTTCTTGGTTTATTTTTGTTTGTTTTCATGTCTTTTTCATACCATTTAAAAACAATAAAAAATCAGATAAGCAAATACTTATTGAGATCTTACTATGCCTTAGCCATTATGATAGAGTCTTAAAAGACATACTCTATTTTCTATCTACAGAAGGAAAAAACTAGGCAGGCTAACAAAGAAGTAATCAAATGCGGTTACTTTTAGTTGCCATTCATTCAAGGCAACCAATAATATAAATCCTATCAGTTACAGAAGAAAGATCATTGTGTGGTTAAATGTATGGTTTCTCAACTCTGTTCCTGCTCTTTATGTGACGTTGGGCAAATTACCTTGTTCCTCAGTTTTCTCACCTCCAAAAAGAGAATGATAACACTAGCACCTACCTCCTGTTGTGGGAATTATATAAGACTGAACATAAGGCACTTAGAAAAAGTCCTGGCCCTTAGTAATGACTTGATTAATGTTAACTATTATTATTGTTGTGACCTACAGAGATCTTAATGATTTGCTTGTCCAAACTCCTTCTCTTCACAACGAGGATGATAGAAGACCAGAGAGGCCAACTTGCCTAAAGTCACTGTTTGCTTTCTCTTATTGTAGACAAGGATGTTAATTATCTCTGCACCATACTGCCCCATTGGTTACTGGCATGAGTTTTGATTCTGGAAACTGAAGCAAAAGTTTGACAAGTGATTTCTCTCCAGACCACCATGCAATGAATAATCCCTTACAGAGCATTCTATGAATTTTATTGTTTCCAGTCACTGGGTTTCTTGTAGTGTAATAATGCAGAAACCACCAGCATCTAGTTGAATGATGGTACTTTGGGTTTGCGTGGCGTCAGGATGGTGCTGTGGTTAAGAGTTCACAGTCTGGAGCCAGAAAGACTTGGTTCAAATCCTGTTTTTTCACCTTTTCCATACTGTATGGTTTCAGGCCAATTACTTAACCTCTCTAAGGCTCAAGTTACTCATGTGATATTACGTGGATAGTAATCACATCATCTCCTACTGCATTGTCAGATGAGGATGAAACAAAGTAATATATAAAGAATTTTGCCTGATGTCTGGCACAGAGTAACACTTGTTACATGGAAATATAATGTGATGTTTATTCTAGTTTGTAGTGCTTTTATTTATCCATTACCTCATTTCATCTTCAAAATATGCCTCCATGAGAGAAAAGAGAGATGCTTTTATTCTCACTACCTTGCAGAAGGAACAGATATTCCAAAAAGTTAACTGAGAGTCACACAGCTAGCGGCAGGCAGCAGAGGGTCCTGAACACAGACAGGCTTTGTGACTCCTAAACCATATTCATACCTCAAGAACTAAACAAACCCGAAAATGTCCTCATAGTTGAGGGGGGCAAGCAAAGAAGGATAACTGGAAAACTAAGTAAGATCATCATAAAGTAGAAGTTTTAGTGATGCTTTTGTGTTGGGCACATTAAATCAAAACACACAAAAATGAAGCAGAAATGGAAGAAAGGAAACTCACTACAGCCACAAAAGGCCAACCCACTCCCAAACCCAAACCCCCAAATGAATATAGAAAAGAACAAGCAAAGCAATAATGAGAAGTTCCCTCGAAAGTTAAGTCCAGAAGACTGCTGAAGGTAACTGAACACTTTCAGTTCATCTCAAATCTAGGACAAAAACAAAGACTTGGAGAAAGAGATGAGCAGAGGGACATTCAGTGATGGCCCAGAGCAGAGTCTGCAAGGGCTCTGTGTGCTGCTCATGAAAATGACTCTGAAGATGAATGTGGCTGATAAAATAATAATCTGTGCATTTATGTAGCCATAAGCCAGGGAAGCAACACGTTCCCAGAAAACCATCCATTAAGTCAGGAGGCAATGGGATGAGGTAGGAAGGGATGCCCCATTTGCAGCAGATCTTTCTTCTTCCCTTCCCTAGACACTATGAATCTAAAGGGGACCCTGAGCAGACTCACTGAGAAGGCAAGCCATTTTCATCAGAAACAGCAGTCTGAGGCCAGGTGCAGTGGCTCATGCTTGTAATCCCAGCACTTTGGAGGCAAAGGCGGGTGGATCACTTGAGGTCAGAGCTTGAGACCAGCCTGGCCAGCATGGTGAGACTCCGTATCTACCAAAAAATACAAAAACTACCCAGGCGTGGTGGCACGGGTCTGTAGTCCCAGCTACTTAGGAGGCTGAGGTGGGAGAATCACTTGAACCCAGGAGGTGGAGGTTGCAGTGAGCAGAGATTGTGCCACTGCATTCCAGCCTGGGAGACAGAGTGAGACCTTGTCTCAAAAAAAGAAAGAGAAAGAGAGAAAAAAGAAAGAAAGAGAGAAAAAAGAAAGAAAGAAAGAGAAAGAGAGAGAAAGAAAGAAAGAGAAAGAAAAAGAAAGAGAGAGAAATGGGGAGGAAAGGAAGGAAAGAAGGAATGAAAGGAGGAAGGAAGGAAGGAAGGAAGGAAGGAAGGAAGGAAGGAAGGAAGGAAGGTAGGAAGGTCTGAGCTGATACTGAAGCCAAGAGTGAGCCGACCTACCAACTGCCCTCGCCCCTGGGCCTTGCATGGTCTGGTTGGTCTGCCTCTAACCTAAAACCTCTTCCTCATATCAGCTACCTCCAGATGGCTGGGAAACCCTTAGGATCACTTGGCATGAGTTTCTCTACCTTTTGCAGGGGCATGTAGCAGCGGCCTGAGTATTGAAGGGGTGAGAAAAACGCTTGAATTGGGAGGATCTTATTTTTATATGTGCAGGGCTGGGCATTGATGGCTATGAAAGAAGCTGGGAACTGGATACTTCCCCCACATCCCTGCAACCTGCAGACTTCAATCATGGAGGAGTGTGCTGTGCTCGTGGAAATACAGAATGCAGAGAAGCTGCCATTTCCAGCAGGGCTGAGCGCCCACATGTAGACTGTTGTCCCATAGGCAGCATGGGTCCAGCACATCTCAGAGAAATAAGAGCCCCAAACCCCAGGGAACAGCTGTGCTGTCAGTAGCACCATTATAGCTTTGCCAGATCTGAGGAGACTTTCTTTTCTGCCTCACTGTTAGTAAGTTTTAGTTGTTTCACTAATGGTGTGTGAATACAGTCCTGATGTCCCCCATCAATCAACAAAATCTGATTTTCTCCCAGTGAAATCTCCCAATCCCCCAAGTCAGCTGTCTGCTTGTACTGAGAGAAGCAGGAAGATCTCCATGCACTGACTGCATCCTCTGTAAGACAGGAGTGAGGTCGGCTTACTCCAGACCTCAGTGCCCAGGATGACCATCGCCCTGATCACTCTTTGTTGATTGATCCTTGGGGAAGTCTAATGGGCATTTGCCATTCAGTGGTGGAGGGGTGGCTACCAAGGTTGTTGGGCATGAAAAGGCAAGAATGTTATGAAAATCTGAGAAACAAGAGAGGAAGAGCAACCTCTTACCCTGAGAGCAGGTAAAGATGGGGAAGGGTATGAGGTGAATGAGGTGAAGAGCAAGAGAAGAGCTGGAGCAGGTGTACCTGCCTCAAAGGATGTGAAGGACTTAAAGTGGAGCCACACAGGGGACCATGGTCAAAGGACTGGAATAGGGCCAATGGGAGGGTGTGGAGGGGGTCACACAGGTGGGTCAGACAGAGGGCAAGAGTGTCTAGAAGACTGTTTCATTCTCTCTTCCTCCATTGGTGCCTCTTTTCAAACAAGCTGCTCCAAAAAGAGGCAGTGCTCAGTCTATGAATTTAAGGACAATATTCGCTTATGGAGAAAGGAACCTTCTTCTGTTTGAATCCTCAAAATATACTCTGAGGCATATCTTCATGGGGTGCACAATTTTAAATTCAAAAACTAAGTAAATTCAACTGGGAAGTAAGAAGTATCATGCAGTTTGGATAAATTGGCAATTAAATTTTTAAATCAACATTTGTAAAGTGCTACATAATTTAAAAGAATTTTACACATAACTCACTCAGT
Source organism: Homo sapiens (assembly GCF_000001405.40). Taxonomy (NCBI): domain Eukaryota; kingdom Metazoa; phylum Chordata; class Mammalia; order Primates; family Hominidae; genus Homo; species Homo sapiens. Next base: position 116,199,012 of record NC_000001.11, on the reverse strand, counting down.
TCTTAAAATAACTCGTAAAATCCATTTTATAGAGGTAAAACTAAAGCCTTAAAAAATTCAAATGAGGCCACAGAGCTAACAAGTGGCCATCAGAGATTTCCTAATCTTACTGTTTTATCTCCTCATGCATTATTTTTTTCACTATACCAATCAAGGGTATCAGAGGGCTATTACTTGAAGCTCATGAGGGGGTGTCAATGTATCTGTGAACAATCTGTGAACCTCCCAAAATCACATGCAGAATTTGCACAAGTGCATGTGTGATCTTTTCTGGTAATTAAGTCCATAGTTTGTGCAGATTCATTAAAGTTTTCATGGCGGCCAGGCGCGGTGGCTCACGCCTATAATCCCAGAACTTTGGGAGGCCGAGGTGGGCAGATCTCCTGAGATTGGAGTTCAAGACCAGCCTGACCAACATGGAGAAACCTCATCTCTACTAAAAATAAAAAATAAGCCGGGCATGGTGGCGCATGCCTGTAATCCCAGCTACTAGAGAGGCTGAGGCAGGAGAATCGCTTGAACCTGCCTCAAGCGAGGCAGAGGTTGCAGTGAGCCGAGATTGCGCCATTGCACTCCAGCCTGGGCAACAAGAGTGAAACTGCGTCTCAAAAAAAAAAAAAAAAAAAAAAAAAAAGATTTCATGGCATGCAGGAAATTAAACAGCACCTATAAAAGGATAAAAGGAAATGGTGTCTCCTGCCCTATATATACACCAGTGCCATGACAAACCAAAATTAAACTGTGAGACAAAGTTTAATAACTTCCAAACTAATCCCTTTATAACTACACCAATGTATTTGGCATTTGGTTGCATAAACATTCAGCTCAATTGATTCTTCATTTGTATTGGAACGTTTTGGCTCTGCATAGACACAACCTCACTCTCTCTTGTCCTCACTGTTCCCTGTGTCTCTTCCTCCCCTTCTCACACAGCCTGAGGAGGCGAGATGGTAGGCAGGCAGGGGCAGGAGATAAATTTTCTTAGGGGCCTCTTTAGAATATGATTCTCTAGCCTCTTTAACAGGTACTCTTGGTTTCCCACCCAGAACCTCAGTTTTTCCCAACATGAACATTCCTCAGTGGGGCCATGGACTTTCCAGAATTTGGCCTTATTCTCAGTCTTAGCATATCAATCTTGGTAATCTGACCAATGACAGTAATTTTATTCCCCTTGCTAGCAATTGGTTTAAGAAGGAACATGCAACTCAATTCTGGTCAATGAAATTGGAGGATAACTCTTCTGCGGATACTTCTGGGAAATGTTATTAGCTCTCAAAAGAACTATAAGAAATATAGAGTTTTCTTTTCTGCCTCTGAATGTATTTGCACACAGATATAATCACCAGAGCTCTGGCAGCCATCTTGCAGTCATGAGGGAAAACAGCTGATGTGGTGAAGATGGCCAAGCAAAAGCATAGAAAGACCCTGGCTCCTTGGTGAATTAAGCATCCCTGGAACTCGCCTCCTTTGAAACACCATATTATGTGAAATAGTTAATTCCCTCATTGTTTCAGCCACTTCAAAAGGAGTTGATAGTTGTTGGCAGAAACATTCTAATGAGTATAAGCCCATGCCATGGAATCACCTTCTGTGGAATGACTTCAAGTAAAATAATTTTGCTATTGTTTCCTTTTTCTTTTTCTTTCTTTCTTTCTTTCTTTTTTTTTTTTTTTTAGATATGGGGGTCTCAATCTGTCACCCAGGCTGGAGTGCAGTGGTGTGATCATAGCTCATTGCAGCTTTGAACTCCTGGGCTCAAGTGATCTTCCCACCTCAGCCTTCCAAGTAGCAGGCTTATACCACCATACCAGGCTTATTTTACTACTTTTTAGATAAACCCACCTTATAGAGAATGAAGAGCCAGTGTAGCCAGGTAAATGATCAAGATAGGAAGATTTCAGTTAGGTCTCACATGTTAACCTATCTAACCCCAAATGGTAAATTTCAGAAGGGATTTTTGGATAATTATTTAGGGGATTTTTAAGCTCTGATCAATGGACCTCTATAACTATGTAGGGATGCTCTACGAACCTATGAATATTTGATTCAAGTTTATTTAGAATATTGTTTTACAATTAAACATTCTTCAATTTAAAAAACGATTCACAGTTAGATGTTTTACACATCAAATGTTTACATATTGGAGACAACTATTATATTAAATTGTACTTCCAGTTTTACATGCTTCTTTGTATATAGCTCTTGCCATAATTGTTTTGTAAATGTTCATTGATTCAGAACATAGTAGCTCTGTACGGGTCCTTTCCCTATTATTATTTTTGTTATTGTTTTGGGTGTCTTTTGTCTTTGAGAGACAGGGTCTCACTTTGGCACCAGGCTGTCCTTTGTACTGCAGTGGCCCAGTCATAACTCACTGTAGCCTTAAACTCCTAGGCTCATGCCATTCTCCCATCTCAGCCTCCTGAGTAACTAGGACCACAGGCACATACCACCATGCCTGGCTAATTTTCTAAAAAAAAAATTGTAAAGATAGGGTCTCCCTATGTTGCCTAGGCTGGTCTTGAACCCCTGGCTTCGAGCGTTTCTTCAGCCTCTTATTGTTATTTTTTAATGTAGCCCTCCCTATCTCTATTTACATAAAATTATACACATGAGTATCAAACATAGCATACAGAGGCCCTATGAAATTCAACGTCAAGTAAAATATACTTTTGCTTAGCACCTTGTGTAATCATGGTACAATAATCGGTATTAAAATAACAATTGAACAAGTTTTGTGATGGAGAGATAATGTCATATTAGTCACACTTTTAGAATCTATTGCATGATTTAAATATTTCTTTTTTAAAAAAGCTAAATAAGCTCACTTTGGCAAAGTGAACCTTCTGGGTTAATTCTATATAATTGGTGAGCAAAGACTTTATTTCTAAAATATGTATTCAGTTTTCCAAGCAAAATAAATTAGTTTATTATTAAAAGGAGGGAGGTCTCAGTCCATGAGTTTGAGAACAATATTTGAGCAAACATCTGACAGAGACTGGCCATGGGGGATTGGGGATATCACTGAACATCTCATAATTGCTAACAATTGGTTGTTACTGTGTGCCCAAAGCTGTTCTAAGGCCTTACCTGTATTGAATGATTTAAACCACCCAATAATCCTATAAGGTAGGTACTATTAATGTGCCCATTTAATAGATGAGAACACCAGGACTGAGGTACTCAGCCAGCAAGTGGTAGTCCCAGGATTTAAACCCAAACTTGCCTCCAGGATCTGAACTCTTATTGACTACAGTGTATTTTCCTTTGAACAATGAAGATTTGCTTCATTGAATAACCTGTTTATTGACTCTGGATCCATGCTGGTCATTGGCCAGCTAAGGAATGAGAACAGGTCTTACATGCTATTATTGAGTCCACTTTGAAAGAAAGCCATCCAAACACTCCTCTCTCAAACTTTCTGACCTGTAATTGCAGGGCATACTAACTCTTCTATTTGCAACTACTCATATGCATGAATTAGGCTTTCTCAATAACTGTGCAACCAAAGCAAAATCAAGAAACATGCTGAATGATAAGGCTGATATAAGACTTCAACAGTCATTGGTCTCTCTTGTTTTCAAATTTTATGTATTCATTGAAGCAATCTTTTTATTTTTCTTATAGATTGACTTGGTGACAAGAAAACGTTACAAAACTAAACTTACAAAATAAATATTATGGTAATGATGTCCACATTTGTTATATGTGATAAACATAAACCTGTCCTTCCTGTTTTGGGCAATGACCTTAGAAAGGTTCTGCAGCTAGAATAAAGCACATATTAGAAAAGCACTTAGGAGCAAGTAATAGAAGTTCAGTGGCTTCAACAAATAGGGGCTTGTTTTTCTGACATAATAAGAAATCAGGAGGTAGATGATGTTGATGGCTTGACAGCTTTACAATGTCAGGGCCAGCATCTCTGTGATTCTCTCAGACTTTCCCTTATGGGCACAAGAAGGCTTATGTAGGTGCGGCCAACACATTCACCCTCCGGGCAGGAAAAGGAGCAAAGAAAACACCTGCCTTTTTTGTCCTCTCTATCAGAAAAGCAAAACTTTCACAGGAAGCTCATGCAGGCTGCTGCCTACCTCTCAGTGGCAAAAACTGTCACATAGTCACTTCAAGTGCAGGGGAGGCTGAGAAAATATTTAGCTTCCCTGAGCTTTATAAGCAAGGTGGGTGAGAGAAAATGAGGTTAGGAATGGATGCTGAGTCAGCCAGTATGCAGTATCTGCCAGGAAGAAAAACAAAGAGTTTCTTGATTACCCTGGGGAAATGCTACCCATACACCCATTTAACAACATTTGATGAATTACTTTTTATTCCCCCAACACCATAGTAGAGGCTAGGAAGTCTTGGAGGATTCATTGCAGAAGCTCTCCTGACCTGAAGACGAGCTTACTAGATGAGCTTGCTAACCAATTTTTCATAGTGCTAAGGAATCATGGGAAATTCTCAATCTCCATTTTTATATAAAACAAAAGAATTGGATTTATTTTTTTCTTTAAAAATGTGTTTATTTTTTAAAAAATCAGTTGTGTACAAAAATGTTTCGTAGTTTTTAACTCTCAAGACAAATACCCAACTCTCCACCCACAGCCCACCCTGCTTCAATGGTATTTCTGGTAACCCACCCATTTTCCCCTTCCAGGAAGTTAATAGCTCAGAATAGACCCTCCTACAGAATTTATCATCACTTACAGATTGTTTAGAATAGAAATCTAGAGAAGCTAACAAACAAGGTTCCCTATAATGGCAGTAGACTTTCAGCAGACGCCACAACAAAGCGCCATCAATTGCTGCAAGCTAAAAAATAGATATTATTTTCAATAATATTTCAGTTTCTATTGGAAAAGTTCTTAAATTACATTAAATGAATCTCTTCCCCCACCCCCAAGAAACAGTCTAGCTTTTATTATGATGTCTGTAAAAAGTAGGTAACGGCAAGCAGACAAGTATCGTTAACAGCATAGTGTAATGATTTGTATTCACTCACACCTAGAATCAAACTGACAAACTGTGCCACACCTGATTATATATAGCAGCATGGTTGAAATAACCAAACAAAAAGTGACACATTCAAAACTTCCATTTAGGTGATTGCAAGTTCATGAGGGTAGATCAGTCCAATAAAGCAGTAACAGAACAAATGGGACAAGGGAGATTCTAACACTCCCTTACCCCTATGCCACAAGATCTTTGATCTATATTGCAGCAGTGTCAATAGAACATGTGACACAATATGTAGACACTGAAGAAAAGTCACAATTGGGAATAAAGGCTATTTATCAGTAAATACTTCAAGTTACCTTCTTCCCAGTGATAGCAACTGGCTGATGGTAAGCATTTATTTTAAATTGGTACTAAAAGAATAGAACTGGATTGCTAAGTACACTTCAAATTCTGGAGCTCCCTGGCTCTGTATAAATAATAATTTTTAAAGGTATTCTCTGTCCCCGCTTCAACATCACTGTCAGTGTTGTTGTCAGCAGCATGTAATAACCCATATTTTCCTAGCAGCTTAAGCAGCCTTTGCATTAATTTGATATGATGGGGGCAACTAGAATGTTGCATGGAAATTATATTTTAAAGGGAAGCAGCATTACAAGCTGAAGAAGCAAGGACAGACAGTAGAAGCTTAGAAAAGGAAGGACAAAGTCAACATAAATAAAAGTAAGAATTGAGAACTTGAAGCTAGCATTAATAGGCAACTCATTGCCATGAATTTTTGTCCTATGATTCTACCACTTGTCAAACCCCCTTTCAGGAACAAGTGGCATGCCTATTTCTGAAGGTAGTTGCTCATCGTATAATCTCAGGTGCTCACCCTGAGTGACCATGTAATACCACAGTCCTTCACACATTCAAGAAATCTTCAGTGAGCACCTGTTATATTCCAAGCACTGCAGCAGGTGCTTGGGACATAAACACAAAATAAGCCTTGGTCACTTACCTTGGGATGCTTATGTCTACTGAGAAAGATGGGCACTTTGACCAAAATTAAAATTCAGTGGGACAAGTTACTGCTATAGAACTGTGAACCCAGTGTAGTGGAAATAGTGAAGATAGGCATCAGTCCTGCCTGATGCAGGTAAGGGGGCAAGGAGTGAATGGGCGCTGAAGGAACAGGAAGAGTCTTCACAGGCAGAGGAAAGGTAACTTTTAGGTGGTACCACAAGGGCAAAGGCATGGACATACATTTAGAAAGTTGCATGACATTCTGTGCGTCTTCCAGAACATAGTGCACCTGGGAGAAGTGGTGAGAGAAGAACCTAGAGAGTTTAACTCATTTGAAAGTGTTTTGAGTGTCTTGCACACAAAAGGTAGGCCCAGAAAATGAAGGCAAAACTGCACTGGATATTGGTTTTTGTTGTCTTGTTTTTGCCGCCGTTATTTCTACCATCCCTGCCCTTTATCACTGGGGCTAGAAGCCTGGGAGCTACTCGCCCCACACTCCTTTACCTTCACATTACTATGATCATCCAGCCAATGAGATGCACTTGCTTACAATTTGGAGATGGGAGGGAGTCAGAAGCAAGCTATACGACTCTCTTTTTCTCTCTGGTAGTGGCTTGTAGATACTTGGGCACTCTCAGAAATGATTTATAAAATCCTCAAGGCAGCCAGCCCTCTCACCTACCCTGTTCACTGCTGTAGGACAGCTGTGACTATCAGTGTCAGTTTCCTGACCTGGATGGCAACAGCAACTTCTTGATGTGAAAGGCAACAACTGCAATGGTGAACCTAAAATCTAGCAGCAGCCTCCCCTGACTTTCACCACTCCACACTCCCAGCCAGTTTGTAAGCACCTAATCTCATCTATTACATCTCTTTGCTTGAAATACCAAGAGCAGTTTCTTTTTTCCTGACTGGACGTTCACTGATACTACATCAATAAAAATGAAGAGAGGAACCTAAACCATCCTTATTTGCAGTCAACATAATTGTCTACCTAGAAAATCTAAGCAAATGTACAATAAGCTTTAGAACTACAAGAAAATTCATCGAGGTGGCTGGATACAAGACTAACTTACAAAAATCCAGTTGTACAAGTCACAGGTCTGGATGTCATCCTTGGTTCTTTCCTCTCTCTCATCTCCCACATCTAATCAATCATCAAGTCCTGTTGATTATTCCTATTCAATATTTCTAAAATGCATCAACATCCCCCTGCCACCACCCTAATCCAGATCGCCATCATTTCTCCCTGTACTACCATAACAGCCCCCTCACTGGTCTTCCCCAATGCAGTTCTAGCTTCTTGCATTCCCTACAGCAAAGCCAGAACGGTCTTTCTGAAACAGTAACCTAATCCAGGCATTGTCCTGCTTCGAAGGCTCCTTGTTGCTCTCAGGAATAATTCCAAACTCCTAAACATGGTTTACAAAGCCCTTCACAATCTGTCCCTTGCCTACTTTTTAGCTTGCTTTCTTTCTCTTCCTTCTCTTTCTTTCTTTCTTCTTTCTTTCTCTTTTTTTCTTTATCTTTCTCTCTCTCTGTTTCTTTCTTTTTTCTTTCTTGCTTCTTTCTTTTCTTTCTTCTTTCTTTCTTTATTCCTTTCCTTTCCTCCTTCTTTCTTTCTTTCTCTTTTTCTTTCTTTCTTTTTTTTTTTGGATACAGGGTCTCACTCTGTCACATATGCTGGAGTGCAGTGGTGCTATCACGGCTCACTGCAACCTCAACCTCCTGGACTCAAGGAATCCTCCCACCTTAGCCTCCCGAGTAGCTGGGACTACAGACCTGTACCATCATACCCAGCTAATTTTGTAGCTTTTGCAGAGAAAGATTTCGCCATGTTGCCCAGGCTGGTCTTGAACTCCTGGAGTCAAGCAATTCACCTGCCATGGCTTCCCAAAGTGCTGAGATTACAAGTGTGTACCACTGTGCCTGGGCTAGCTTTATTTCTTGCTAAACCACACTTCTCGTCTGAGAGCTCCAGCCATATTGTAATTCTCTCACATTCTCAAATAAGACTTTTCATAACTAGTTATCCCCATCTGAAACCCTTTTCTTCTCCTTAGCTCCTCCCTGCCCCTTTAGCTCCTAATCAGCTTTCAAGCTTGGGATTGGCCCTCACTTCCTCTGATCTCCTAAGCTAGATCAGAAGCCATGCCAATGCTCTCCTAACTCCTCATGGCCAACCCAGTCATAGCACTTACCACACTTTATTGTTATTGCTTGTTTAATTGTTGTTCTCCATCAGCCAGTTGTAAGCACCACAAAGGCTGAGAGTGTGTGCATCACTGTACTTTTAGTGCTGATACATGACAGATGCCTATTAAATGTGTACTAAACATAAACTCCTACTATAGGCCCTTCTCAGATGTTGGGCTGAGGGATAAGAGGATGAGGGAAATGGCAGGTGAAGGCAAAGATAACCAAGGCTCTATTGATGGGTTATTGTCCTGCAAAATCTCCCACAGAAGGCCACAGTGAAGTTCATTTACATCTCAGAAAACTCTGAATGTGTTATCTCTAACTTCACACCAAAAGATTCCTAGGTAGCCAATGTGATACAGAGAAAATATAGGGAGATTGAGAATACAAATAACAACCACTCAGTGAGCAACGGCAAAGTATCAGGTATGCTTTGGGTGATGAAGGTGTTCTTGAGTGACGAACACACAGTTGTCTTTGAATCTTCCCAGTATCTTTATAAGGTATGAAGTATTATTATTAGCCTTAGTTACCAATGAGGAACATGAGTCTTAAAGAAGGTAAATAACTTTCTCAGAGCCATCAATTGGTAAGTGACAACTAGGATTTGAACCCAGAGCTGTTATTTTTCATACACTACCCCAAAACCTGGGTTTAAAACGAGTGTATTTATGTGAGAGAAAGATTTTATAGTTGCTATGATTCCATTCATATAAATGGGGTCATACTACACATATCCACGCAACAAATACTTTTGAGCCATCCCATGTGCCCAGGACTGCTCTGGGCACTGAGAATACAACAGGGAATAAAATAGACTAAATGTTCTGAAATTTCCTTTATTCACTTTCAATGTATTGTTTAGAGTTATCCATGTCAGTACCATAATATCTTTTTCATTCTTTTTGACCACTGAATCATAGTTAATAGATCAGGAGAAACATCATTTATTAAATTTTTCTCTTATTGAAGATCATTTAGGTTATTTCTATTTTTTAATAAATTAAGCAATACTTAAGTAAACGTCCTTGCATGCACGTGTGTGTGTGCATGCACACATTTCAATTAGGTCAAATTTCTAAAGTATAAATTCCTGTAGGTGGAATTGCAAGGGTCAAAGGTTACGCACTTTTGAATTTAGATAGGTACAGTACTGCCAAATGACTCACCCCATACCTTTTCCTCAATGCTATAACAATTTAAACACCAATCAACACTGTAGTAGAGAATGTCCTAGATAGAACAATAAGATAAGAGAAAGAAATAAAGGGCATTCAAATTAGAAAGGAAGAAGTCAAATCACCCTTGTTTGCAGATGATATGATCTTATATTTGGAAAAACCTAAAGACTAAACTAAAAAACTATTAGAACTGATAAATTCAGTAAAGTTGCAGGATACAAAATCAACATACAAAAAAGTAACTTTCTATATGCCAATAACAAACAATCTGAAAAAGAAATTAAAAAAACACCATTTACAATAGCTACAAATAGAATAAATGCCTAGGAAACTTAACTAAATAAATGAAAGATCTCTGTAATGAAAACTGTAAAGCATTTATGAAAGAAATTGAAGAGGACACAAAACAATGGAAAGATATTCCATGTTCATGGATTGGAAGAATAAATATTGTTAAAATATCCTTACTACCCAAAGCAATTTACAGATTCAATGCAATCCCTATCAAAATACCAATAACGTTCTTCACAGAAATAGAGAAAAACTATCCTAAAATGCATATGTAACCCCAAAAGACTCAGAGTAGCCAAAGCTATCCTGAGCAAAAAGAATAAAACTGGCAGAATCACATTACCTGACTTCAAATTATACTATATAACCGAAAAGCATGGTACTGGCATAAAAACAGACTCATAAACCACTGGAACAGAACACAGAACTCAGAAACAAATCCATACATTTATAGTGAACTCATTTTTGACAAAGGTGCCAAAAACATACATTGGGGAAAGGAGTCTCTTCAATAAATGCTGCTGAGAAAACTGGATATACATATGCAGAAGAATGAAACTAGACCTCTATCTCTCATCATATATAAAAATCAAATCAAAATGTATTAAAGACTTAAATCTAAGATCTCAAACTATGAAACTACTAAAAGAAAACATTGGGGGAAACTCTCTAGCACTTTGGAGTAGGCAAAAATTTCTTGAGTAATACCTCACAAGTACAGAAAACCAAACCAAAAATTGACAAATGAGATCACATCAAGTTAAAAAGCTTCTGCACAGCAAAAGAAACAATCAACAAAGTGAAAAGACAATCTACAGAATGGGAGAAAATATTTGCAAACTATCCGTTTGACAAGGGATTAATAATCAGAATATATAAGGAGCTCAAACAACTCTATAGGAAAGAATCTAATAATCTGATTAAAAATGGGCAAAATATCTGAATAGACATTTCTCAAAAGAAGACATACAAATGGCAAATAGGTATAGAAAAAGGTGCTCCACATCACTGATCATCAGAGAAATGCAAATCAAAACTACAATGAGATATCAGGTCACCTCAGCTAAAATGGCTTGTATCAAAAAAACAGGCAATAATGAATGCTGGCAAGGATGTGGGGAAAAGGGAATGTAGATTAGTACAACCACTATAGAGAACAGTTTGGAGGTTCCTCAAAAAACTAAAAATAGAGCTACCATACAATCCAGCAATCCCACTACTAGGTATATCCCCCAAAGAAAGGAAATCCATATACCAAAGAGATACCTGCACTTCCATGCTTGCTGCAGCACTGTTCACAACAGCCAAGATGGGAAACAACCTAAGTGTTCATCAGTAGATGAGTGGATAGAGAAAATGTGGTTCAAATACACAATGGAGTACTATTCAGCCATAAAAAGAATGAGATCCTGTCATTTACAACAACATTAATGGAACTGGATGGAACTTACCACACTTGATTGTTATTGCTTGTTTAATTGTTGTTCTCCATCAGCCAGCTGTAAGCTTCACAAAGGCTGGGAGTGTGTGCATCACTGTGCTTTTAGTGCCGATACAAGTTAGGTGCCTATTAAATGCGTGTTAAACATAAATTCCTACTCTAGGCCTTTCTCAGATGCTGGGCTGAGGGTTGAGAGGGTGAGGGAAATGGCAGGTGAAAGCAAAGACAACCAAGGAATACCATTAAATTAAGTGAAATAGGCCAGGCACAGAAAGACAAATTTTGCACGTTCTCACTTATCTGTGGGAGCTAAAAATTAAAATGACTGAACTCATGGAGATAGAGCATAGAAGGATGGTTACCAGAGGCTGGGAAGGGTAGTGGAACAAAGTGGAGGGGGAGGTGGGGATGATTAATTGGTGCAAAAAATAGAAAGAATGAATAAGATCAGGTGTTTGCTAGCACAACGTGGTGACTTTTGTCTGTAATAATTTAATTGCATGTTTTAAAATAACTAAAAGAGTATAACTGGAATGTTTATATCACAAAGGATAAATGCTTGAGGTGATAGATACCTCATTTACCCTGATGTGATTATTACACATTGCATGCCTGTATTAAATTATCTCATGTACCCCATGGATATATATGCCTACTATGTACCCACAAAAATTAAAAATAAAACATTTCAAAAAATAGAACAATAGGCCAGGCATGGTGGCTCATGCCTGTAATCCAGCACTTTGGGAGGCTGAAGGGGGCAGATCACCTGAGGTCAGGAGTTTGAGACCAGCCTGGCCAACATGATGAAACCCTGGCTCTACTAAAAATACAAAAATTACCTTGGCATGGTGGTGCACGACTGTAATACCAGCTGCTCGGGAGGCTGAGGTGGGAGAATTGCTTGAACCTGGGGGCAGAGGTTGCAGTGAGCTGAGATTGTGACTCTGCACTCCAGCATGGGCAACAGAGTGAGAATCCAGCTTAAAATAAATAAATAAATAAATAAATACAAACAAAACAAAACACGAAACACTTCAGTAGAATACCATTTTCCTTTGCCCACAATTACAATGAATATTAACAATCTTAGGTTGATAATAATATTTTCTTTTCATTTGCACTTCTCTGATTACTGAGGTTGAAGATATTTTCATACATTTATTGAACATTTACATTTCTTCTTTTCTGAGTAGCCTATTTTTCTCTAGATTGTTTTTTTTCCTAGTAATTTATAGGAGTGCTTTCACTAAGACTGCATATAAGTTTTCTTGAATATTAGGTAATGTAAAAGTGTTTTCTCTCCCAGGCTGTTGGTTGAAAACTAGCTTTATTTATGGATTTCTTTCATTATAAGTCATTAAGATTACATAGTCAGTTTTTTACTTTATGGCTTTAGGATTTGGTGTTTTGTGGAGAAAGGCCCTTCTCACATCTAGATTTTTTAATGTATTTGCTCAACATGTATTTAGTTAATGTTTTCCATGTGCCACTGTTCCATACATTAATGAAAACTAAATTCTCTTGTATGTTCTAGTACTTTCATGTCTTATTTTTACTTTACACTTAGGCCTTTGATCGGTTGGTGATTTATTTCAGGGTATGGTGTGAGCTGCGGATCTCACTTACTCTTTTTGTGAAAGGAGAGCAAACTGTCCCAGTGCCACACACTGACTTGTTCATCCTTTCCCAGTGGCTTGAAATGATACTTCTAGCATATACCAATTCCCATGGCTAAATGATAGTTTCTATACATAAATGTTCCTGTGCCTTCTTTTTAGTTATCCTGTTACTGTGCCAGCACCACACTGTTTTAATTACCATAAATTTGTAGTATATTTAAGATCTCATAGCACAAGATTTTCTTGACACAATCTTTGCACGAGATTATCTGCACACAATAGATGAATTTTAGAATCAACCAAAATTGATTGATTCCAAAATTGGTTGGAAACTTCTATTGTAATTTTGATCTAGATTATACTAAATATAGACTAACTTAGGGGAAACCACTGTCTCTTTACAATATTGAGAGCTTCTATGCAAAAATTTGCCATGTCACTCTTTTTACTCCTGTCTTCTTCATGATCTTCCCTAGAAGACTATAGCTTGATAGATCTTGCACATATCTTGATAAAGGTATTCCCCCATTGTTAATAATCCTAGTTGCTGTGTGTAGATATCTTTTTCTACACTGTATTTATTAATTTGACACTGTGCATGTGTAGAAAGGCTGTTAGTTTTTATGTTTTCTGAAATGGTTCTAATAGTTTTTCAATTGTTTTTCTTGGATATTCTAGGTAGACAAATGTTATAGATAAAACTACATTGTGCTTACTCTCTGACAGGCTTCTAAGCACTGTACATACATGAACTCATTTAATTCCAGCAATCACTTTATGAGGTAGTCACTATTATTATCCCCGTTTGCAGCTGAGAGTTTAAGTGACACGCCAAAGGTTACACAGTGATGGCTGAAGTCAGGATTTGACTCACTGCACGCGCTTACTTACAAGTAATAATAGATTTGCCTCTTCTACAGTATTTTTGCCTGCTGTCACATATTTTTGTCATGTTACATCAGCCAAAACTTGAAAAATACCACAGGACTAGAATTGAGATGAGGCGAGAGAGGCACTGGCCTTAGGCACAAAACTTAGGGAGGCACCAAAGGCTCTGCAGTCAAGACAAAAAAGATTTTAATGAGTATTAGAGCCACATCAGAGCTGGAAGCAAAAGGAGAAATCAGTTTTACTGATCCTGTCTTTAATATGTGTATATTTTGTTCTTCGGGGATTTTTTGCCTTAAATTGGATTTTTTAAAATATTGCATTAAAATGTTATTTATTTTACTGATTATTGAGTTTATGGGCACTTTCTCAAATTTTGCACCTCAGGTAAGTTCCTCACTCATGTAACCATAGTCCCAACTCTGAAGTACTGTAGAGTGTTTTTCCAAACTCTGAGGAAAAGGCTTCTTACATTTCTTTGTTTAGTATAATGTTTGTTGTGGGTTTTTTGTTAACATTTGTTCATATCATCAACAAATTAAGAACTTTCCTTTTATCCCTGGCTTACTAAAAGCTTTTGTTAGGAATAGTCTTTGACATTTAACACATGGTTTTTAAGCATTAATCAAGATGATCATACAGTCTTTCTCCTCTAATGTAAGAATGTAGTGAATTACACGGATAACAATAAGTAAAGTTGCTTCTCAGTGTTTTGTTATCATAAGTAAATAATAATCATTTTTGTGGATAAATTGCTTCCTGTCAATTGGGTTATATCCTTATGTGAAATTCTCATAAATCAGTGGGTTGCCATTTTATTTTAAACTCTTTCATTTTAAACTAGCCCCAAATGAAGCACATTTTTAAAAAACAAATGCTATTAACGATAGTAGCAGTCTTCTTTCGCTAGAGCTCTGGGGGAATTTGACACATATTCCCTTTCTGGTGCCTGTCTTACTGTTTTCTGTCATGGTTTGCATGTGAGTAAGGGGCTAGCAGCACTGACAGTACCATAACTTTTAAATCCGATGGGATCTTTCAGTACATTTTATGGAAAATAAAAGAAAATTCCCACATATGGCAGGATTCCGTGAGGGGACTTTACTACTCTTTAACCCCCTAATATGGCTGAGTAGTGTAGAAAAATAAAATTGGAGCTTAGGAGTGATAAAAGATGACCAGGTCTTTTATGTCTTCTGTTCATATCTTGGCTGGAAATATGGAATAAAGATGACTTCATGACTGACTCATCAAGGACAGTTCGGTCTCTTCTTTCTTTTCTTTCCAGGAGGATTTGTTGACCGTTGATGAATAAGGTACATCAATGTGAAGCGCTACCCCAGAATGAAACCCCTACATGTAGTTAAAGCTGGGGAAGTAAAGGAGATTGCTCAGGAGGTGTGTGGGCCATGGTTGAGACAGTGAACTGGGGACACAACGCAAGCTCCATGGGACAGCCTGTCTTCATGGCTCCAACTGCTGCACTTAGTGTGAAGCCCAACATACAGGAGTACCCAATAGATGCCCAGGGAGGAATAAAAGAAAAAATCACTAAATCCTTCAGGGTAGCACCATCAAGGACTGAGCTGAGGAGGAGGAATAGGAGAAGAAATGATGAGAAAACCCAGCTGAGACAGCGTCATGAGTGTCAAGGAAAGACTGTTTTAAGTGGAGGGAATGCACAACATTGTAGTAAATTCTGCCCAAAAAGTCATTGAACTTACACAACGTTTAACTGTAGTGAAAAAGAAAAATCCACAGCAATGACTTTAAGGGCTTTTGATGGTTGTTGATGTGTGTTTTGTGCATGACAGAAGTTCAGAGAGAGGTAATCTAAGACTGGGGCAGTGCTCAACAATGCCGTGAGAGAAACAGCTTCTCCTAGCTTTATCTTTTCCATTTGTAACATGTTGGATTCTTCCTCGTGTCATGAAATGGCTGCTGCACCTCCAGGTATTGTGCCCACATCCACAGTAAGAAAAGTGGGGAGAGGCAAAAGAGTAAGGAGCAGTCCAACTGAGTCAGTCCATTTTCTACAGAAATGCAAAGGTTTACCCAGAATAAGTTTTGCTTTCCTTTCTTCTATGAGATCTAGACCATATCATCACCTCTAGATCAATTTCTGATCAGAAATCTTGAGATTCCATCACTGTTTTAGTCACTTAGATTCATCTTCTGAGGCTAAGGAAGGGCTTCTCCCTGAGATCAAGGGGTCCCTAAGGGTGACTGAAAAAACTTGGGTTTCTGTTACAGAAGTTTCATGTTTTAAAGACTCAAATAAGATCAACTGCATAATTTGTGAGGTCCCGTGCAATATGAGAATGCAAAATCTCTTGTTCAAAAATTACTAAGAATTTCAGGCAGCAACGGTGGAACATTAAACCAAACATGGGGCTCTTCTGAGTCCAGGGTCCTGTGCGACTACATGGATACCACACTCCTCACGTTGGCCCTAGACCCAAGGCTATCTATTGAGCTGGGCAGTTGGAGATTCTTGGTTAATTCAGGTGGGGTGTGGAGGACAAAAGCAGAGGAGAGTGCAGTAGGTTGAGAAGCAAATGGGAGGTGAGGATATAGAGATGGCACTAAGTAAGACTCCTTGGAAAAAATAGAACCAGGAGAAAGCTGGCAAAATAGGGGAAAAGAGGAGAGTGGGCGGAGGCCAAATGTACCCAGCAAACTGCTGCACAGGCATTTTCTGTCTCTCTATTGTGGGCCAGCTTGTGTTGGAGCCTGGGGGCGACTTTCATGTAAGGCAGGTGGGAGAGGGGCTGAGGCTGAGAGCTGCAATCACACCTTCTCAGGACACATGCCACTGCAGAGACCTGCGTTTGAAGAGCTAGGTTCCAACTTGGTTCTGCTATGAACTAGCAAAATTCTGAATCACTGTGCCTTAGTTAGCTCAGCTGTCAACAGGCTATGGAAACGTGTCACATGGCCCATATGAGGGTGACTTGCTACAAAGGAAGGCACAGCTATTGCCCTTTGAACAGACACTTTGGTCCTGCCCTCCTCTCCACTACTGACCCCAGCCCCTTAGTACTAATTTTAAGGACAGGTGTCAATTTTAACAGATCCTATTAACATATAATGATACTATCAGTATGAGTGGTGGGTGGGATGGTGCAGGGAGGGGCAGGAAAGGAAGAGGTAGATGGTGTCTGTTTATGTAACCCACTCCATTCCCTCCCACTCCCATGCTTGCCATCCACTGGGAGGCTTGGCCCAGGGCTTATGCCACTTGGTGATGTCACCCCCATCAGTGCCAGGAGACATAAATTTCATTTCCCAGAAGATGCAGCAGACAGTAGCTTCTGGACAAACAGTGACTCCAGCAATAAATATTGGCAGAGGAGAAAAACCTTTAATGGAAAAGGTTTGTGAACCTAAAGCAGGCAGACTGTAAATCCCAAAACAGGGAGGGGTTTCATACTTTTAGACCAGAAGAAAGATTCATCAGTAGCAAAATAAATAATTCCAAAGCCTATTTGAAGGAATTAAAATCTAAGTATTAAATAGAAAGCACTTCTAACTGTTAAGAAACCATGGAAATGAGACGAGCCCCTATCCAGAAAGAAAAAGCCAAGTGACCTCCTGAGATTGGTGTGGTCTGGCAGGGGAGTGCGCGGAGCTCAGGAGGATGGAGGGAGCCCACAGGAGATGGGCGGGGTTCTGCCCTCCTGGGTGAGGAGAAGAGGTGATGACTTTAGATTACACTCCAGGGAACTTACCTGAGGGTCACCCAAACCAAAACTCTGAAGGGAGGACAGCAAAGAAATCATAAATAAGGACAGATTGCAAGCTTAAAACTGTCCCCCAAATATCACTTGTCAACAAAATACATTGGGAAACTGAGCTCTAGGAGAGTTTAAATGATTGAATGTGAATTTCGTGTTGTGTTCCTCTGCAGAGTGAGTTCACTTTCAACACTGACTGCAGAAGAGAATGCAAGCTCGTCTTCATCTTACAAGATGTCGGGGCACTTGCTTTGGGACAGGCTGGTTTTTCTGAGAAGGTAATCCAGTATCCACAGGCAACAACTTGGTCTACCTGACCTAGCACACTGCAGGCCACTCCATGACTGCCCAACACCAAAGCAGACCTGCATGGGGAGGGCGGCAGGACTCCCTGGTGTGATGGCAGCTGCACAGGTTCCTATGAATCTTCTTTTGGAATGCGGGGTGGGGGAAACATGGCTATTATTGTCTGCCTCAGACGACGACATGAAAGTTCAAAGAGGTTAGGTAATGTGCTCACTATTACATAAACCTGAAGCTTCTTCCTTGGAATCTCGAACTTTTCTCATTTTCCTATTCCACCATACCAAATTCAAACTCAGAGTGAGAAATTTGCAGCAGGAATTCTGCTTCTGGAACAAGAGATTCAGATGTTCAAAAGTGGATCTAGAGACTACCTGGGGTTCCCTAACAGGCCCAAACTGTAAATCCTATTCTAGAATTGCCCCCCTGCAGGACAAGACTTCAGGAGCTTCTTCTGGGGTCTGGAGTCGGCCTTTCCCCAGTTGACCAACCGGGTTAGAGCAGGTAGAGGTGAGGAAGGGAGCTTGGCCTATGGCCCTTGCCCCGTAAAGTGTTTGCCCCCACCAGAGATCCGATGCAATCCATCACACCTGGGCCTGAGAATCTGCATTAAAGAGATCTCTGGCAGGGAACCAACAATAAGACAGGCATGGGAACCATGGCACTAGATGGTGATACCCAGAGGACATAAACCACATTTTATTCATATTATTTCACAGTGCATGATATTCAGTACATTCAAAACTTGTTTACTGAATACATGGACAGACACTTTGGTTAAAAATACCTGGATCTCAGTCTTGGCTCTGCTACTTAAAGACCATGCCTTAAGTAAGCCAATGCCCAAACTCTCTCAACTATAGTTTCCTCAGAGGTGAATTATACCTTATAGGATTGTGAAGAATATATGAGGTAAAGTGTATGAAAGAGCCGGACAAATTAAAATACACTAAAAAATGTAAAAGTTCAGAGGGAGCATTGCCAACATTAGAAATCCTTTTCTTGTCACTTATCTCTCCTTGCTACACATCTCTCTGCCAGCTTTACTAATTTATGGTTTCCCACCCTTGTCTAATATGCACTGGAGTGATGGTTGGGGGAGGAGGTAGAAAGATACATCAGCCTCAAATTGCTGACAATCTACAGTTTCTGCTCTCTTACCTAGAAGCAGTCATATTCCCAATTACCATGGCAACCTGGAGTCTGCACATCTCACACCCTGGTGTCCAGAACAATGGCCATGTGTTGGATAAGTGTGTGTTTGTGTGTGTACGCACTCAGGGCCACTGCACACCCCAGTGGCTATTAAGTAATCAAAAAGTGCGCATGGAAGACTTATGTTGATCACCCATGGGAAACAGAAAGTGCACCTTTTTGATGCTTTGGACCCGGGGTTAATAAGCTACACCCCATGGGCAAAATCTGCTTGTTTTTGCATAGCTCTCAAGCAAAGAATGGTTTTCACTTTTTTAAATGGTTAAAAAATCAAAAGAAGCCTCTTTCATGACATGTATAATTATATGAAATTCAAATGTCAATGTCTATTTTAAAAGTTTTATCAGAACATAGCCCCACTCCTCTGTTTACATGTTATCAGTGGCTGCTTTTACAGTTAAAATAGGACTGTGACAGAAACCATCTGGCCCAGAAAGTCTGAAGTATTTACTCTTGAGCTGTTTACAGAAAAAGCCTGTCCACTCCTGGTCTAGGCCTTCCATTCAACAAACTTTCACTGAGAATAGGCTCGTGTCAGGCTCTGGGTCACCCCTGGTGACTGGGAATACTGATGAATAAAGTGTGGACTTTGTCCTCATCTGGCTCAGGGTCTAGTAGGGGAGCACAGAGGCCGGGTGCAGTGACTCATGCAGGTAATCCCAGAACTTTGGGAGGCCAAGACAGGAGGCTCACTTGAGTCCAGGAATTCAAGACTGCAGTGAGCTATGATTGCACCACTGCACTCCAACCTGAGCAAGAGAGTGAGATCTTATCTCAAACAAAAAGAGAGCACAGAGTGCAAACACCTAATCCAGGATGTTTCTAGAGATGCCAGGCCCACTCTTGGATACCCTTCACCAAGTTTGTGTAGAGATCCCAGTTTGAGGTAACCTGCAAGGGATCCTAGGCAATCATGATTCCACTGAGGGCACAATTCAATTCTGTAAAAGAGCAAGCTGGTCCCTTGAAGCATAGCCAGTGGTCCCTGCAGGTGCCCAGAATATAGGGTGGCTCTCATATCCAGGTGACATCCTGTGCCAACCTGTTCTGACTGGTGCTTTGCAAACAGGTGTAGGGAGGCACACTCATGGTAGGCTGAAGTCCCTCAGGCAGCTCTCCAACAGTCCGTGGGTCACCTGTCTGCTGTGTATGGCCATGTGCCCTGTTCCCTTGGAGGATTGTTTTATTGCTTCACTGTTACCTTTTTATTGCCTGTTCAGCATGCAATCTGGTCTCTCCTGGCCTCACATGGATTTATAATGTCTCCTGCCCTGAGTAGACTCACCAAGTCTTCTGATGCCTCCTTTGGGGAGACTTCTCACAGGAGTCAAGGCAGAGCCAAAGACGTTCAGCACCAAGCATGAAGCGTTATCAGTAAAGCAGTGAAATGACAAAATACCATTCAACATGCCAATACCTAAATGTGGACCTGTTTGTTGCAGACCTACCTTCTACCAAGGATCCTTCTACCAAGGGTGACTCGACCAGGCTAAACCTAAAGGTTATACAGATCAAAGGGCACCACTTTCCTCAAAGCCGAATGCATATACAATACTTGCATAATGGAATCTATGAGCTGGGTTCAAAGATAATGGATGGGGCTAACTGGGGTTTTGAATGTGAGCCTTATCCATAACTAAGGGAATAAGATGAACTCCTTTTGCTGCTGAATGGGCAGGAACATGAGATGGTCCAGGAAAAGTCTCCAAAAGCACTAATTGGCAAGGAGAGAGGTAGGTCACATGGAGGGACCTGCTGGGGAAACAAACTCTGAGCAGGGCATCTGGGGCCTCAATATGGAGGGTGAGGGGTGCATCCACACCTGGCTGAGGAGGGAGGATTGCTGCGGCAAAGGTAGCATTGCCTGCTATGGAAGGGGCATGCCGGCAGAATGAACTTTGTGATCTTAGGGAGAGAGTTGAAAGGGACTGTGAAACTTAGAAATAAGTAAAAGATGTCAATGCGTAGAGGGGTGGCAGTGCTACAGGTTGTGTAATTTACTCTTCTCACCTGTTTTCAGGTTCTATTTTTGCCCAGCTGGGCTGAAGATGGCCCCCAGCATGCTGAGCCAGTGAGTGACACTTGTCTGTGTTTACTACATCAGCGCCTCGGTCTGTGAAGTCCCAGGCTGGGCTGGTGTCCTGTTGGATTAACACAGGACAGGCCACATGGTCCTAGAGAGCCCTAAGCCCTAAGGAAGCTCCACATGCATTATCACCTCCACCACCAAGATACCTCACTTTCTGGAATGTTGTATATAAACAAAATGTGTATAATTTGAATGAAAATACCAATGCCCTATTGGAAATTACATTTGCAATTTACATTTGTATCATGCTTCACAATGTTATAAGCTATTTTCAAATACATGATTTTCCCCTAGTCTTTGTAACAGTCGTGAGAGGTGGCTATTATCACCACTATTTTACAGCTAAAGGTGGTGAGACTGTGTGAACATGCTACTTTGCACAACTTCCAGAGGCTAGTAAGCTCTGAGTTAGTAAGTCCAGTGGCTCCACAATGTCCCCAGAGATCCCTGTTCTTTTCATCTTCCCACTCTGCCTTCCTCACCACTCAGTTCTGTCCGCAGGCTTACTTCCTCGGTGGCCACGGTTCCAGGTACCACATCCTCATACCACAAAACTCAGTAGCAAAAAGGGACCATGTCTTCTTTGGGTTCATTTTTAAGATTAAAGAAATCCTCACTGGAAGCCCTTGCCTGCAGACTTTTTCTCCTGCCATGTTAGCTGGAATAGGGTCATATGTCCAGTCTTAATCTAATTGCTGGAAGCAGGGATGAATGATCAGCATTGGCTTGGATAAAGTACGTTGACTGGTTACACTATAAATTCATGACTACCAACCTCAAGAACTCTCTTAATGCTGCCTTGCAATCATACCATATTTTCCTAGACTAGTGAGTCTTAAACTTAAGTGTGCATCAGAGTCACCTGGAGAACTTGTAAAAGCCCAGATTGCTGGGCTTGGCCACAGACCTTCTGATTCAGTAGGTCCAGAGTGGGGCCTGAGAATCTGCATTTCTGACAAGTTCTCAGGTGATGCTCATGCTGATGCTATAGGTTCTGGGATCACACTTTGGGAGCCACTGCTCCAGATCATTGACTATCCCTACTGTCCAAGACAACAGCCATTTGCATAAGCTTTTTCCTCAAACTTCTGACACCTCCCTTCACACATTTCTCAATCTCAACTGATAATTTTGTTGCTAATTTCATTGAGAACAAAGAAAAACAATCAGAAGAAAACATGATCCCACCATCAGATCTACCAAGTACTTGTACACTGACTTCCTTTCTGCTACTTTTTTTTTTTTTTTTTTTTTTTGAGACAGTCTCACCCTGTCGCCCAGGCTGGAGTGCAGTGGCATGATCACAGCTCACCGCAGCCTTGACCTCCCAGGCTCAAGCACTCCTCCCACCTCTACCTCTCGAGTAGCTGAGACTACAGGCTCACCACCATGTCCAGCTAATTTTTTTGTTTGTGTGGAGACAAGGTTGCACCATGTTGCCCAGGCTGGTCTTGAGCTCCTGAGCTGAAGTTATCTGCCTGCCTAGGTCTCCCAGAGAGCTGGGATTACAGATGTGAGCCACCACGCTGTCCTTTCTGCTACTATGAATGAACTGCCATGCTCCTGTTCAAGGCCAGTTCTTCCATCTGTCTTTGGACCTTATCTCCTCTCACCTATCCAAGGACATGACTCCAAAAACTCTTCCGCTCCACAAGCCATTTCCATCAGCAAACATGCTCTGATATTTTCCATCCTGAAACAAAACAAATGAAAACCCCAAAACCTCCCTTGACCCCAAACCCTTGTTAACCCTGACCTCAATTCTGTTTTAGAGCAAAATACTTGAGATCTGTATATACGCACTCTCTTCATCTCCTTTCCTTTCATTGTCTCTGGAGTCTAGTCCAGTCACACTTTTATTCCCTTTTCTTTAGTGATAACCTCCTGGTTTCTAAATCCAGTAGTTAAGTCTCAGTTCTCATCTTACTCTACCGTTAGCAGCATCTGACCCAGCTTGTCACTTCTCTGTTGGCCTCTAGGTTCTCCTCCCTCCTCCATGGCTGCTCCATCTCAATCTTCTTCAATGAGTTTTCTTCATGTCATTGACACCTATTTAAATATTCTCTCTTGAGGTAGTTTCATCCAGTGTCAGACTTTAAATGCCGCCTGCATGCTGTGACTCCAAAATTGATATCTCCAGCCTAGACCTCTCCACTGAATTTCAGACATATGTATCCTATAGTACTAACTGCCATCTTCAGGTATATAATGGGCATGCCAGCCTTGACATCTTCGAAACTGATCTCTTGATTCTTTCCTAGCCACACAGCACACACACATGCCAAGTTCCTCTTCCTACTCTCAGCAAGTAGAGACTCCATTCTACTTCCTCAGGCCAAAAAGCTTAGAGTCATCATTGACTGTACTCTTCTTTCTCACATACCACACCAAAAACATCAGCAAAACCTGTTAGGTCTACTTTCAAAATGTATCCAGAATCTGACCCCTTCTCACAGCTTCTTCCACCGCTGCCTCTGGTCCAAACCAACTTCATTTCCTGCCTCCATTGTTACAAAAGCATCTTACCTGGTCTCCCTGCTTCTTCCCTTGACCCCCATTACCGATTTTCAACACAGCCAGCCAGAGCGAGTCCATTAAAATGGACTTGGCAGCTCAAAATCTCACTCAGAGCAAAGCCAAAATCCTTACAAAGGCCTGAAAGGGATTTGCGGGACTACCATTCTGACTTTATCCCCTCTGCCTCTCTCTCACTTCTCTGTAGCCACGCTGACCTCCTTGCAGTTCCCTGAACATATCAAGCAAATACTTGCCTCTCCACTTACTGGCACTCTGCTGGGAGTACCCCTCCTGCACATATCTTTGCATCTAGCTCCTTCAGGTTTCTGCTCAGATGTCTCCTTATCAGAAAGATCTTACCTGACATTCCTAGATGAAGTAGGAACAACCCCCTACCCTCACTTCCACCTCAACCCTTTCTCTTCCCCTCATTCTACCTTGATTTTCTGGCAGCCCATATTATTATCTGATATATCAAATACTTATTTACTTATCTTATCTCTTCCCCTCTAGAATGTATGTAGCATGTACATACAGGGAATGTATGAAGCAGGGAATCTGAGCCCATAGCAGGCATTTAATAAAATTTGCTAAATAATTAATGGAAAGAGAGTTTCCACAGTAAACCAACAGATAGGCAACTAGGTTATTGCACCTTGGGCCCTTACAAGTTGGATTAGTGATAGTCAGTCCCCACAGAGCCCCATCAACTCTGTTATTTCCAGACTGAGCTTCTGGATCTACAAAGCCAAGAAACAGACTCTGGACTACGTTATCTCCCTGTAGGTGCTGTCTTTCTGAGACCCCTGGCTAGCAAGCTTCCCTCAAAGCATCTCCATCTCCTCTCAGATTCTCTAAGTCCTGGGTCCTTGGTATTTAAAGAAAACTGTGGCAAATTCTTTTTGAAATACACATAATCCCTCCCTGATTAAGTTCCCAACTATTAACTTTTGAACACTGTTTTTCTCAAAGCTGGTCACACAGGTATTCACCCACAAAACACACACACACACACACACACACACACACACACACACACACCACTTAACTGGCATAGTTCACTCTCTGCTTCCTGCCACAAGATAGCACCCTCAATTAAACAACGACTTGGTCAGCCAGAGTAGGATAATTTTGATGGTTGTTTCTAGTCACAGTATAACCACCTGTACCTTGACAAGAAAATTGATTATTATATCAGGAGACTTCACTCTTATTGGCATTGATGCAACTTTCTTTTTTCATGTAAGTCAAACCTTTTCCCATCCCCAGACAATGGTGTTCTTTTGTTAAAAATAGAAAAATACAGCATCCTGTGAAAATGGCAAGAATTTCCATGAGGAATTGTCTTGCTTGGAACCTTGCCTGCATGGTACCTAATATATGCCTGTGCTGCTAAGAGAACTGAAGTGACCTCTTCAGGTGATTTTTTTCTCTTCTGTGAAAGATTGCACTTCAGGTTTTGGGACAATCCAATAGATCATGAGATTGGCAAAAGGAGATGGGGGAGCCAACTGGAAATGAGATAGTAGCAGCAGCCTGACCTCTCCTGCACCCCATCCACCAAAGGGATTAAATTTAACTAATTGGCTAAGAAGCTAAGGCAAGGGTCTTGCGCTTTGGAAAGGGTTAGAAAGACTTTTATGATCTTACTATGGTGAACCATCAATGATATAACTGATGCAAGGTGTAGCTAGCTTGGAACAAGCCATATGAAAAGCAGGCAAATTCCAAGTCAGTAGATAAAGCTTAACTGAGTGAGTCATTAATTCTCCATATTGAAAAGAGGAGGAAAAATTCCCTTAATCAAGACACTAAGAACAAATTGGGGGCATTTAGTTATGAACAGGGCAGTGTGAAGGAGTGTATGTGTTACAGACCTCTCAGTGAGCGCCCTGTCTCAGCTAAATCATTAGAGCTGCTGCTGTGCCTGGGGACCTCTGCTCATCTGGAGAATGTGGGGATACTATCAAGACTCAGGATGTGTCCAGAGAGAACTAAACACACTCAAGAGCAGTGCTTCTCACACTGAACTATGCCCTCAAATTGCCTGGGCAATCTTTCTTAAAAGCAGATGCTCATGAAGTAGGTCTAAGGGGCAGCCTGGGATTCTATGTGTCTAACAAGTTGATGCCAATGATGCTGGTCCAGGGACCTCACTTTGAGTAGCAGGGGTTAGTACTATACAGTCTGCAACCTCATTTCTCTTTGCAATGATGGAATTGCCAAAGAGGTAGATTTAGATACATAACTGATTAGGTCAGTAGTGTGAGCATTGCTTCTCAAAGTGTGGTCCAAGGACTAGCAGCACAGGCATCACCAGAGAACTTGTTGGAAATGTGAATTCTTGGGACCTTCCATAGAATTTCTAAACCAGAAACTGTGGGAGTGGGACCCAGTAATCTGTATTTTGATAAGCTCTATGAATGATTCTGAGGTGCACTAGAGTTTTGAGACCAACTATTCCATCACATTAAAATCACCTGGAAGTTAGAAACAAACAAAAACAGGACACGGGTCCCACCTCAGAGAATCTAAAGGCATCCATGGAGATTTTTATGTGTTGTCAGCCTTGAGAACAGCTGGGCTAGAGCAGAAAGTCAATCCCACTCATGAAGTTGATTTAACTCTAAAGCATCTCAGTAAATCACCACAGGCTAGTGGTAGAATGTGGACAGGTATCTGAACAATGTGCACCCTGGGGCTCTGGGGCTGCAAGTCTGAGAGGATAAACAATACAGAACAAAGTCCTGGCTCCTCTCCCTGACATTGGGGCCCAGGTTTCTTGCTCTCTGCCACCCTACACATATCCCAGGTTGCCACCACACATTTCCCTGGCTAGCCAGTCACTCTGCCTATCCTCATGATGTGCTGTGGCTGAAATGTCTCCCTGCTATAGTGTCATCAGTCAAAAGTTTCACCCATCCTTAAAGGCCAATATCAAACTCCAGGTCTTCCAGAAATCTCTTGCTAAACTCCCTAGCTATTAAACTTATCTGTCCATAGAATTCCATGGCATGTTATATGCGATACATTTAGGTTTTTTCTTGACTCTTCCCTTCTATTTGATTATAAACTCTTGGACACCAAGAACCACATTATACTTAACTTTGCCTTTCTTGTTTTGGTGTAAGTGCTGGGCTGTGAACCTAGTAGGCACTTAGTAAGTAAGTATTTATTGACTCTGGGGTCAGAAAACTTGAGTTTGAGATCTGTCTTTGCAATTGGTGGCTTTGTGACCCAGGTTATTAGATCTCTCTAAGCCTCCAATTACCTTCTCTGTAAATGTGAACTGGATGATCTTCAAGGCCTCTTCCAGATCTCAGATTCTTCTATTCTCTCCAGCCTATTCATATCCATGGAAAAATAAGTCTAAACATAAAATTTATTGATACTGGGTACTGTGGATTAGAGATGGTCACAAATTATTTGATCGGTGTCCCTTAGAGATATGGGGTTTATTTCCCCTCCCCATGATTCTGGGCTACACTGGGACTTGCTTTGACCAATAATAACTGCAGAAGAAGTGACAATGTGCCAGCTACGGGCACAGTAAATTGGTGTGTGAGAGACTCCGAGGAGAGGCCTTGAGTCTACATGGAGAGAGGGACCCATGGACTCCAGCCTTGCAGCCATCCCAGCCAATGTGCCAGATATGTGAGTCAAACAGTTTTGGGCCCTCCAGACCCGCCTCACCACTAGTTGAATACCACCAAGTGACCCCAACCTGTGTCACTCTGGAGCAGGAGAATCATCCAGCCCAGCCCTGCCCTAATTCCTGATCTAGAAAATCATGATACATAATAAAATGGTTGCTGTTTGGACAGGTGCAGTGGCTCATGCCTATAATCCCAGCACTTTGGGAGGTCGAGGAGGGCAGATCATAAGGTCAAGAGATCGAGACCATCCTGGCCAACATGGTGAAATCCCGTCTCTACTAAGAATACAAAAATTAGCTGGGCATGGTGGCATGTGCCTGTAGTCCCAGATACTTGGGAGGCTGAGACAGGAGAATTACTTGAACCCAGGAGACGGAGGTTGCAGTGAGCTGAGATCGCACCACTGCACTCCAGCCTGACAACAGAGTGAGACTCCATCCCAAAAAAAAAAAAAAGTTGCTGTTTAAGCCACTAAGTTTGAGGTTGTTTGCTATGTAGCAATAGCTAACTAGCACATGATGTTAATGGCATTATACTTGTCTGTGAAATTCTATGCAGTTTAGCATGCAAATATTGACAGATGTTGGAGAAAATATACGCAAATACACACATACATAATATGGGCTTGTGGAGGTGCATGACATTCTGTGCTATTCCCATTAACTTTGATTTCTCAAGTCAACTAAAATGGCCTGTGGATACATTTCCACAGCAAAATGTACAACAACTAAAAACAAGAACCTCCTTGTGAATTTTACTGAGGTCTGTGATGTGGCACCAAGTTCTATGTTGGGACTTGTGGAGGAGATGTAGGAAAAGCCGGTGAATTGTGCTGAAGGCTTGAGAAGGTGGGGTCCTTATACAATGAGGGCTTTGTCTGCTCATGAACCCTGTGTGGCCATTTCCTAAGGTAGAATTTTTAGTTTGGGAGAGATTTGCATTTTGAAAAAGAGGATTTTATTTCCTTCTCTCTCCAACTAATTTAAACCTCCCTCATCCCAAGGGAGATTTTTAGTGCAGTATAATAAGGACGCGTTCAGAATCACAGCCTCTTTTTCTGAATGTGTTTCTTATGTAAATGCTGCATCAGAGAAATTTCCCTCTACTTTACACTTTAATTCTGCTTTTAAAACCTGCAAAATAGAAACACAGAGAAAAAGACACCTTGAAAATACTTTGAGTTTCATCTATTTTCCATTTTTACCTCAGGCTCCCACATTTTATTTTTCATCCTTATTCTTCAAGTCAAGTATATTTTAAAACCATCCTCTGTTGAACTGGAAAAGCAAAGAAAAATTATGATTCCTATACATTAAGCTGCCCAAATATACCAAGAAATGCAAGCACTTTATAATGATCTAATAATCTCCGGATGCCACAGTGAAGCCAGAAGACCCACAGGAGGGGAGTCAAGGGACTTCTTAAGAGGTCCCATCTGAAGCCACTGTGGCCCCCTCCCCCACACCACAGTACTTCTGGAGGGGATGGGACAGGCCTGGTTCCATAGTTCTCTTACCTCCTGCCCTTAGGAAGAACTGTGTATTTAGTGTTTATGGCCCACCCACGGTACTCCAAACAACATCTAGCCTGAAACACCTCACTATAGTGATTTGTTGATATGTCCATTTGGTCCCTTGGGAGCAAAAGCAGTGAGGGAGAGAAGAATTATATCTCATTTCCATGGCTTCAGACAGCCAAATAGTACTTAAAGATTGAAAAATGTGCTTGGTCGGGCACGGTGGCTCACACCTGTAATCCCAGCACTTTGGGATGCCGAGGTTGGAGGAGTGCTTGGAGGAGTGCTTGAGACTGGGAGTTCCAGACCAGCCTGGGCAGCATAGCAAGACCCCAATGCTAGAAAAAAAAATTAGGTGGGCCTTGTGGCACATGCCCGTAGCCTCAGCTAATCAGGAAGCTGAGTCAGGAGGATCGTTTGAGCGCAGGGAGTCAAGGATACCATGAGCTATCATTGTGCCACTGCATTCCAGGCTGGGAAGCAAAGGAAAAAGCCGTCTCTAAAAAAAATTTTGAGAAGAAAAATTTAGAAAATATGCTTACTGAATAACTGATTGAAAGAATGGGTTTAAATATCAATTTAGGTACTTACTAGCAGCATTTCCTTGGGCAAGTTATTGAATCTCTAAGCAGGCCCTGGTTCCCTCCTCTGTGAAACAGAGAAAAGTTGCAACCAGCTCATGGATAGTTCCGGGGAATAAAGGGGGTAACATTTGTGAAGTGTGTGGCAGTATGTACCAGGCACACAGTAGGTTCTCAACTAAGGGCCCATCACACCGCCCCTCCAGACTCATCTGCTAACGCTCACAGAAGGAGTGGACCTTGCTTATGGGGTTGGGGAGCACCTGTAGGGTTTGCTGCACCCACAGCACTGCTCCACTTTCCTGGCTCTTGCTTGAATCAATGTCCTTAAGAACTTCGTCTAACTGGAGGCTTAGATTCTACTTTAAAGATAACTCTTTGGGGGGTGGGAGGTCCTTTAAGTGCCTATCAGTCACTGAAACCTCGGTATGAACTAGTTCCAGATCCTCCTCATAGAACATATTGCAATGCAGACGTGGAGCTAGAGAGGGCAGATGGGTGCCTGAGGCTGGGCTAGGGATGAGGTAGGGAAACGAGGGTGAGGAGAAAACTGGGAATGCTGGGTCCCCAAGGGAAGGAATCAAGAGGGGCGGTGTGTAAGGAAGCGTTCCCTGGGAGACAGGAAAACACTGCAAAGTCAGATCCAGGTTCAAATGTGAGCCTTTCTTATTGCTGGCAGTGTGACTGTGAGCAAGTGACTTAACCTCTTGAAATTGTAGTCTTCTGATCCGTAAAACGGGGCTAATACTAGCTAATATACGGGGTGACTCTGGGGATTAAGTGAGGAGACATATACAAAGCGTTTGGTAGAGGGTTGGTGGAGTAGTGGAGGGGGGACGGTGCAGTGCCCCGCTGGCTCCTGTACTCAGCAGTAGGTTAAGCAAGGTTTCATTTGCCGTCTATCTAGGCTGTGTTTATTACTTCCTTTCCCTCACCTCAATTTCTCAGTCTGTGCTCTTTTGCCTGGGGCCAACTGTGGCCGCAGTGACAGCCACCTGCATTAATTATGAGAGAATGCATCTTTTCTGAAATCTTCAAATCCCAAACCAGAGACAGAGGCTAGAGTACAATAATATTTCATTCTAGCTGGGACAGTCGGCCTCAACCACAGCTCCAGGAAGGAAATAGTGAAACCAATGCCGCCATTCAGTTGAAAGCGAGGAGAAAATACTAGTGCGTGGAAGACAATTCACCGTGCGGGTAGGGGCCCTCGGGCCTGCGCGGCTGCGATCGGGGCTGGCGCCACCGCGGACCCTCCGGGCGGCCGGCAGGAGGCGCTGCCGAACCTTCTCCGCATGCGCTTGGGGCGCAAGTGGGAGCCCTTCCCCCATCCCGGGCGTTGTTAAAACCCAGTGGGGCGCGGCAGCAGTTTTCCTCGACCCTTCCCGGTCCCCTGGCGGGGTGCTCCCGCCTCTTTGTTCTACTCCTCTGTGTCTTCATTTCTTCTCTTCCCACCCCATCCCCGCAGAAGGCTCGGCCCGCTGCTCCTGCGCGCCCTCTCCAGGTGCCCCAGCGCCCCCTCCCCAGGTGCCCCAGCGAGGGGCAGTGGGCCCCGACCCACCGCAGCACAGTGGGCGACCGGTAGCGCGGCCATTGTCGCCGCCTCCCCATCCTCCCTCCTTAGCTTCTCCTTTCCCTCCTCCTTGCCGCTTCATCTTGCCCCCTTTCTGCCCACCTTCTCTTCCTTCTTCTCTCCCCGCCCACTGTAGCCTCCCTCTTTCTGAACACGTCCCAGGAGAAGGCTGGTGCTGCGGACAGCGATCCCAGCACCCCTCTGGCCTTTTGCTTCCCTTGCTTCCCGGGGAGAAGGAGCAGGAAAGACATCTCAGCGGCGTGCCCTGGCTGACCCTGGCTCCCCAGCCTGCCTTGTGTGTCCTGGCTGGGAGACCCCGAGCCTACGCCCTTCGGGGCATTCCACAGCCCTGAGCACCGCCCTGCGCCGCACTGGGCTATCCAGGCTGGCCCCCACCCGCAGATAAACTCGGTGGTCCCCAGACACCACCTCTGAGAGCAGCACGTTGGGGCAAACCCGGACTGCAGACGCCTTTCCCTCTCCTGCTTGGCTCTAGTGCGGACACACTGCAGCGGGGCTCAGGGGTTCACCCGGCCCAGTGGGCTGCGGGGGTGGGGTGGACAGGAGCGCCCGGTGCACCCTGGGGTGAGACCGGGGCTCATACACGAAGGCTGCAAGGCAGGCCAGAGGCAGAACGAGTCTTATCTGAGTTCACGTCGCACTCTGGAAGCCTTTGACATTTTCAACTCGACGGGAATGGGCTTCGCTATAGGTCACATTGCTCTAGGAGAGGAAAGGAATCGTGATCTGAATTGTTGTAGAGAAAGTGTTTACTTAAAATCTTATTAAGGTTTATTTTTAGAGTCTAGGTCTTCTGGCCTTATCACAAGAGACCAATTCTAGAGGGGTCTCTCTGCTCTGCTGACCTTTAAGAAAAGACTTCAGAGATATTAAAGCAGGGAGAGGCAGGATGTGCTCACCTGCCTTGACAGGAAGGCAGCTCAGGGCTGCGTCCACCAGGCAGCCTGCATGTACTCTGTAATGCTAGGTCAGTGGGAATCCTTTCCTGGGATGGAAGGGCATTGTCCCTCCCTTCTTCCCCCATCCAGCAGACCCAGGTAAAAGGCTAGCTTGACCAGTGGGATAGTCTAATCGTAGCAAACAGTTATTGAGTGCTTACAAGCCAGATATTGTTCCAAGTGCTTTACACAGAGTAACTCAGTTCTCACCACAACCCTGTGAGGTACATACGGTTACTATTCCCATTTTGCAGTTTGAAAAACCGAGGCACGGAAAGCTTAAGTAATTTGTCCAAGGTCATAGAACTTTCTGATCATTTTCCTCATCATAAGAAAGTCCCCACCTGGAGGCACTCTGCCTCAGCCCTTCTGGCCAAAGAGCAGCATTAAGGGCCAGTCACACACTGGGGAGACCTGAGCAGGGGTTGCTGAGGATGGGGAGCCCGAGGCCTCAGGAGGAGTGCTGCTGCAGAGGGAGTGGCATTGCACCAGGCCTCTTAGAGCTGGTGCCAAGAGCTGCTTCTCCCTGCCAGGCTGCAGAAACATCTCCCAGATCTGCCTCTTTGAATGTGCCATTCCTCTCCTAAGAGCCCACCAGCAGCTTAGAATATTCTCCATTAAACCCCAAACATTCACAAGTTTTAATGGCCACCGTAGTCCCTAGTTCTCCCAGCTTTGCAGGGTAATGTGGAACCTATGAGTGAAATCCCCAGAAACCTAGAGGAGAGGCTCTCAGCATGCCAGAGAGTGTTGCTGCTTTCAACTGGGAACCAATCTAAGGCAGAATGACTAGACAGGGAGGGCCCTCAACCACCAGCTGTGCCTGCCTAGGCTGGAGGGAGAGGCTTGGGTCAGAAGGAGATGGTGATGTGGGTTGCAGAAACTCGTGGATCCAAGCCTGCCATAGCTCCAGGGACTTCTGGGCACTGACCTTTCATTGGCTCAAAAACTGCCTCCAAACCGAATAGTTGCTAGCTCCCTACAAATGTGGCCAGGGGCACGTCAGCAAGGCTTGGGGTGGTGCAAGAGAGGTGAACAGAAACCAATGGGAGGCGAGGGAAAGCAGACAGGAGCTGCACCCTGCAGGAACAAAGGCAGGCCAACAGAGCACCAAACTGCCGGTCTCTGCAAGGCAGGGCCCAGGTTACATTGGAACATGCCAGGGATCCTGAGGCAGCAAAAGGGGAAATTTCTAAGGCAGCTGTAAGCCACAACGGGGTGGAGAACCACTAGGAGGGTGTATCCATATGCACACACATGGCTACACAGCTACATACCCCAACCTACCCTCTTTCACATGAGCTTTGACATGTCGTATGCTCATATTATTATATACCCATATCTAGACGTGAGTCCCCTCCCACACACACATGCTAGTGGACAAAAGTGAAGACACAACATGACAACACAGTGAGGTTCGCCGTGGGGAGACGCTCATTTGTCCGTTTACACCCACACACAGGCTCATGCCCAGAGATGCACAGTAACAGACTCCAGCACGTTTGGACTGAGTGTTCCTGGAGAGGTCCCCATGGACCATTGCTGGCCATGCCCAGAGAGCTGGCCCGGAACCAGGGGTGTTCTGCAGCTGGTCACCCATAGCTTAGCCGCACAAATCAAAGCTGGTTCTGGGAAGCTCTGAGAATCCCAGCAGTCACTCTGGAAGTGCTGGGCTTCCCATAGGGATTTCAGACACCCAAACCATGGGATTATCCAAGAAGCTCTGGAAACGTCCCAAGGGGAAAGGATTCTTTGTCCCCTTTGCATGGCCTGGAGCTTCCACAAGGGCTCATCTCACACAGCTGGGTGGCTGGGCAGATCCACAGTGCTCCTTGTCTCCACAGTGTCCCCACCTCTGGATGCCAAGTCCCATGGTGCCCACAGTTTGTTCTGTTCCTAGAACCACATAGAAAAAGCACCAGACCTGAAGGCTGAATAGCCAGGATTAGAAGCACAAATTATGGAACCAGACTGCCTGGGTTTAAATCTGTACCCTGCCACTTACTAGCTGTGTGACCCTGGGCAAATTACTTAACTGGGCCTCAGGTTCCTCAATTGTAAAATGAAAACAATAATATACCTAACTCCTAGGACTAAGTAAGAATTAAATGAGGAAATTGTCCTCAGAGGAAGTGGGTGAAAAAGTGAGGGGCCTGAGGCCCAGGGGCTGGAGGCAGAGTAAGTGATGATGGCTGGGACAGGGGAAGTGGGGAACAGGAAAATGATCTGGAAATGACCACAGGCCTGTGTCTCTGTGCTGTCAACTTTGATATTCTGGAGGGACGATAAATAAGAGCATAATTCCTGTAACCATATTTCCTCACAGAGCACAGTGTACTTGGCCAGAAAGCCACAGCAGGCAGGAACATTTTCTCATTATTATATAATAATATGAAAGATAATGTCCTCCTCCTCAAAGAAGCCCAGAGCACTTAGAGATTGCATATTCAGTGCCCAACTCACAGGGGCCCCAGGCTGGGTGGCTGAGGCTGCCAGCTATCTGCGCCAGGCTGCTTTGCAGTGGAGAAGGCAGAACCTGAGCCAAGGGTGTGACGGGAGCTGCCACACTCAGTGAAGTGCTGCATCCTCAGTCCACACAGATCTGCCTCTTTGAATGTGCCATTCCTCTCCTAAGAGCCCACCAGCAGCTTAGAATATTCTCCATTAAACCCCGAACATTCACAAGTTTTAATGGCCACCGTAGTCCCTAGTTCTCCCAGCTTTGCAGGGTAATGTGGAACCTATGAGTGAAATCCCCAGAAACCTAGAGGAGAGGCTCTCAGCATGCCAGAGAGTGATGCTGCTTTCACTTTCCTCACAGCCCCCACCCTGGGGGCCACCGCCAACTCAGAAGCCTTGGGGGGGCTTCACAGAAGGAGGGCAGCTGTCTCTGCTCACTGCACTGTCAACAGGAGAAATGGGGAGGGGGGTTTCACAGACCTGTCTGTTCCAAACCGCTGCTTACTCTCCTGCCTCTTTTGCAGGCTCTGTCTGTGTCTGAGGCAGTCCCTGGAGCTGAGGCAAAGCAACCAGAGGGAGAACCCACAGGAAAGAGCAGGAAGTGATTCCTCTTCTGTCCTACACAAGCCCTCACTGCATTATGGACTCTGTTTCCAGGGTGACTTCTGCTCTGGGATTGGACTTCATGTTCAGGGAGAGATATTTTTTCCTTCATGTGAAGAAGCAGAGACCCACTTAAGGACTGCATGGGCCCTAAGTCATTTCAGAGAGTTGATGACTTGATAGGGTCATTGAGGAAAAAAAAAGAAAAATGCTGCCCAGGATGAAGTATGAGACTAGTGACAAGACAACGTGATACTTTTCTCCACTGTTAAGCCATGTTTGATATTTTCCTTTTAGGAGAAAGAAAGAAGCATGTGGCTCCTGAGTTAAGGAGTCCTTCATGCCCTTATGCTGGAGCTCCTGCCTTCTTGAGCTTTCAGATGCAAATGTCTTCTCTAAGGCTGACTCCTAAGCAGCTTCAGCAGAAGAGCAGATGGGCCATTACTACCTCCTGAACATGGTGGCAGCTGGCACCAGGGAACTCCATAGTCAGAACACTTTTTGTCTGTATTCCTGCAAGCTCTAGGTCTGACACAGATGTCATAAGACAAGTAAGACCATCACATTCCTGGTGCCAATGGAGAGACAGGCACATAGTAGGTGCTCACAGCTTTTTAATACCTTCCTGTTGCTTATAGCATAGTAAGAGCACTGACAGCAACAGCCACCAGCATTTGCTGAGTACAGTTATGGGCTGGCACAGTTCTGTATGCATTGTACGTATTATTCATTTAATGTTCTCGGCATCTTTGTGAGGAAGACCCCTAGCCACATGTGACAGATAAGGAAATCGAGGCACAGAAAGGTTAAATACTTTGTGTTAGGCCACACAGCTACTAAGTGGTGGTGCCAGCATTTGAAAATGGGTGAAGTCCAAGCATCTGGTTGTGAGGTGCAAAGTCTTTTTCAGCAGCCTCTGCTTCCTCCCTGGCCTCCATTCTTGACATGCCCTATCGTGTGTTCCAGTAACAGCTCTGCACCTCTCTCCATCTCCCTCCACTGTCTTTTTCACCTCACCATCCTCCCTCAGCTTCACTGCACCCTTCTCCTGCCTAATACCTACTTCTCTTTCCAGATTCATTTGACCTGCCACCTCCTCTTGGAAGACCTCCCTGATGTGCATGCCCTAAGTCCCCAAGGCTGAATTAGGTGCCCCTCTTTTGTGCTTCCATGGCAACATTTGTATAACCCAATCATTGCACACATTGCATGTGTTATTCCAGGGCATTTATTTTCTCCCACACATGACTATGGTTTCCTAAGGACCACAATGATGTCTTATCCATCACACTGTCACCAGTATGTGGTAGTTAGTTTGGCACTTGGTCATTGTTTGTTGACTTGGGAACTTTTTCTATAAGGAACCAGAGAATATTTTAGACTTTGCAGACCACATGCAAACTCTTCTTCTCCTTCTCCTCCTCCTACTCTTCCAACCCTTTAAAAATGTTTTTTTTTTTTAAAAAAAAAAAAAGCAACAACAACAGCAACAACAAAAACCAGTCTTAGCTTGAGAGTCATATAAAACCAGCTCTGGATCAAATTCTGCTTGCAGTTAGTAGTTTGCTGACTCTGCTGTCATTGGGTAAGATGTTTCTAAACAAAACAATTCCTAGTCAAACTAACTCAGTGATTCTCAAACTGAGGGGTATGGAGATGGGTGTATGTTTTTTGTCATCACAATGGATGGGGTGGAGGCTAGCAATGCTTACTGCCCAGGAACCAAGGATGCTGTGCCCCAAGGAAGCACAAGTAGCAGTGTGCAGCGGAGTCCCCCAAAACTGCCACAGGAACTCACTGAAGAGAATGGGCTGGCTGTTTGCTGGTTTTCTTGTGCTACTTTCTGGTAACAATAAACTGCTTTGGGAACTCACTGAAAGAAAATACATTAGAGAACCAATTCCTTCACAGATCCAGTTGTTTAGGCAGCAAGGATAAAAAGAAATGAGGATTCATCCTTGGGCTTTCAAGGCAAGGACCCTCTTAGGTTCTTACCTGAGTCCCTGGCACAGTGCCAAACACACAGAGGCCTCCATGTCCCTGAATCTTGCCCACCAGTGCTGCTGAGGACTGGCAGAAAAGTGGAGTGCCATAAGACCTGCTGTAGCTTATTGTGTGTTCTGAGGTCTCAGTAGGGTTGCCTCAGTAGGGTTGCCAGAAGGGGAGGAACTGGAAGATAGCCTGAGGGCTTGGAACTGAAATAGAGATCCCTTAAAATGGATCAAAATCAGTCTTGGGTAGGCCAGAGCCATCTGGAAGTCCTGTCCCATGCTGAATGTTGAAAGGCACAAAGCTGCATGTCTGCAGGCTTCATTGAAAATGCAGGACAAAACAGCAGGAATGGTGCAATGGAAAGGCTTGGTTAGCATTGTCTTCATTCATTTGGCCCACTATAACAAAATAGTATTGACTGGGTAGTTTATAAACAATAGAAATTTATTGCTCACAGTTCTGGAGGCTGGGAAGTTCAAGATCAAGACACCAGCAGGTTCAGTGTGTGGTGAAGGCCCTCACAGATGGTGCCTGGTTACTGTGTCCTCACATGGTGGAAGGGGCACAACAGATTCACTTCTTTTATAAGGAAGCAATCCCATTTATAAGGGTGGGGGGCCCCATGACGTCATCACTTCCCACCTCTGAATACTATTATGTTGGGTGTTCAGTCCCAACATGTTAATTGGCGGGGAGACACCAACATTCAGATCACAGCAGCATGCTATGCAATAACTCAGAGCAACCCTGCAGAATAGACCACTTGACTATCTTTTTCTCATTTAGTTCAACCCCATTATACATTGGGAGCTTATTCACACATGAGTACTTCAAGAACTTTGGTGAAACTTTATATACTTTCATCATAAAAACTAATCAAACATTCATCTAAACCCTTACTCAAGTGCTTGTAGCCACTTTATATGTAGGAAAACAGAAAAATATACCCATAGGTAGAAAAGGGTTCAATAGTACTTTGGAATATCTTTAACTATAGTTCCTAAACCAAAGTGACCTTAGTTAGAGCTGGACATAGAAGACTGAGTTTGAGGCTACTTCTAGCCTTTATTAGCCTTGAGGTTAGAGTGCATTAGCATGATCTTAGTTCACTGCAACCTTTGCCTCCCAGGCTCAAGCAATCCTCCCACCTCAGGCCCCTGAGTAGTTGGGACTACAGGTGCACACCACCACGCCTGGATAATTTTTTGTATTTTTGGTAAGTACAGGGTTTCACCATGTTGCCCAGGCTGGTCCCGAGCTCCAGAACTCAAGCAACCCACCCACCTCAGGCTTCTAAAGTGCTGGGATTACAGGTGTAAGCCACCGCACCTGGCCTGTGGATGAGTTCTTTACTCTTTTGAAGCCTTTATTTCTCCATTTGTAAAACCAAGGTGATTGACCCCTTTCCAGCTTTTTTCTGGGGGTGATTTTGGTCCAAAAGAGATGAGGAAGGTTAAAGTCACTTATGAGCTATAAAGCACCATAAAAATATAAAATCCCTTAGGAAGTCTTGTTTTTGCATAAATCACAATCTGTTTCTTCACAAAACTTCCTTCTGCTTTAGAATTATTCCTCTTTAGAACAGATTAGTTACTTGCATGAGAAAACAGGTCATATATCGACCTTTCATTTTGGGGCCAGACACTAAGGTACCAAGATTAGTTCTGATTTCATAGCATTGTTTGGAAGTTCCATGGTAAGATTTCATAAAGCATTAGGTTAATTTATTCTGTTGTTGATTTATTCATGCAGGCCATATCTATATCAAGGGATCTACATTTGCCCAGTTGCAGCTAACACTCTTAAATTGCTATCTTTCCTGTGTCACGCCAACCCCATGAGGTAGATATTATTATTTCTGTTTTCCAGATTTAAAAAAAAAAAAAAACAACTGAGACTTTGAGAGTTCAAGTAATTTGTCCAAGAAAATTTCATGAGAAAGTAACCGTTAAAAAATCTTCTTTTCTATAAAGTTAAATCTAGTTCTAGTGTTCTATAAATTAAATCTTTCCTAGAAGACCTAAAAAGTATTTTTTCTTGTTAAGTCACCAACATATACACAAATCATTCTTCAGTAAAAATCAAATTATGTAAGTGCAAAAAAATAACAAAAATGTAAGTTTCAAAAATTTCAGAAGCATTGCTTTTAGTCAGTTCTTCTCAGGTGCTGAAAGCAAATCCTGCAAGTCGAATTTTGAAGAAAAATGGGAAGAAGGTAAAATATGACCAAAATCATCAGGAAGGATGAAAAAGACTTGGTTACAAGGACTTCTGGCTTGTCAATTCTTACTTTCCCTAGAATTCTTTCTTGTTGGTTGATCTGTCATGTGTCTCAAAGGGATGGGAGCTAATTTTACCTCTTATTTCCCACTCTGTTCCCTTGTGCAATGAGCCAGTGCCGTCAGAGATTAAGCAAATACCTCCTCTTCCTCTCCTTGCCACTCCACTCTCCTTTGGCCTCAATGACCCCAATATTCCTCTTGTTTCTGGAGGCCAGAGAGGCCAAAGGAAAATTCTAAAGCTAATTTTATTTACTTTCACAAAGTGGCAGCATGCTCCAGGTTTTGCCAATGAGCTGCTTTATTATCTTGCATCCTTGATTCTTAGCTCTGTTCCTGACAAGGCAGAAGGACAAACTCTATCTCTGAAATTGCAGGATGTGTGGGAAGTAGAATGCTCTTTCAATATTAGCTTTATTTTTGTCCCCCTTTCCCAACGTCACCTCTGCTGGTCCAGAAAGCAGTGAAAAATATCTGTTTCTCTAAAGGCTTTTGGGAAAGCTCAGTCTAGTGAGACTGATTAATTCACTCCAAAGATGTGTGTAATTGAGCAGGCCAAGTGTGCCAAGCAGCAGCAGGCTTGCCTGGGCACTGGGAGGGAAAGGTGCCCAAAGGGCAAGAGCTACTGCCACTTTCAGACAAAGCTCTCACTAACTAGAAAAGGCCCTCCCCTAAAACCTTCATTATGGAAATACTACCTATTCTAAAGTCCTACCTCACACCCTTGACCTTGAGCACCTCTGCTGGAAGAGACCCCTCTTACAGAGCTGCTCTGCACCATGAACCACACGACAGCATGTTTCACCCACCACCATACACCCCACTTGTTTATATGGATATCTTGATTTCCCTCCTGGACTTCCAACTACTCAAAGGCTGGAACTAAAACTCATGCAGCCTTACACCCTAAACAGCACTTAGCCTAGGGGTTTGCACACAGAACGTGCTCAATAAATTATTTAGTTTGTAAAATAATGGCTTCATTAGATTTCTGCAACTTTCCTAGGTTTAACGGTTTTAAAAGCACATGTGGGGAAATCATAAAACACTTTGAGACAA
Source organism: Homo sapiens (assembly GCF_000001405.40). NCBI lineage: Eukaryota > Metazoa > Chordata > Mammalia > Primates > Hominidae > Homo > Homo sapiens. The sequence goes on along the minus strand of NC_000001.11, from coordinate 116,158,890 downwards.
AACACTATTATTAAATAATTTTTTGATCATAGTGGAAGTCTTGAGGGAAACTAGAAAATATTTTAAACTGATTGTAAATGAAAATATAACATATTAAAATTTATGGTATGTATCTAAAGCAGTTCTTAGAGGGAAATTTATAGGAATAGATGCTTATATTAGGAAAAAAGAAAGGTGTTTAATCAATCATTTTAGCTTCCATCTTACAAGACTAGATCAAATTCAATTCAGAGCAAATTCAAAGTAAACAAAAGGAAAGACATAACAAAATAAGTATATATATCAATGAAATTAAAAATAGAAAAACAATAGAGAAAATCAATAAAACCAAAAATGGTTCTTTGAAAAGATTAATAAAATTGGTAAACATCTAGTTTAAAAAGAAGATACAAATTACCAGTATCAGAAATGAAAGGAGTATTACTACAGACCCTACAGACATTTAAAACAAATAATAATAACAGAGTATTACAAAAAATTATACACATACAAATCCTGCAAGTTAGATAAAAATGCACCAAGTTCTTGAAAATTTCAATCTACCAGAATCTAGCCATCATGAAATAGATAATATAAATAGTTTTATAATTATTAAAGACATTGAATTCATAGTTGAAAATCCTTTGAAAAAGAAATCTCTAAGTTCAGATGGTCTCACTGATGAATTCTGGCAAATGTTTCAACAAGAAATAACAGCAATCTTCCCAGAAAAAAGAAAGGAATATTTCTCAGCTTATTTTATGAAACCAGCATTACCCTCACACCAGACAAACACAGTACAAGAAAAGAAAACTTTAAAACAATATCCCTCAAGGGAAATAGAAAGTTGCTATTCAAAGCGTATAAAGTTTTAGTTATACAGGGTGAATAAATTCTAGAGCTCTAGTATACAACATTGTGCCTGTAGTTAATAATACTGTATTATATACTTAAAATTTGTTAAGAGGGTAGGTTTCATATTGAATGTTGTTAACACACACACACACAGCAAACTGAATCCAGCAATATAAAACATATACAACAATAATATATAAAATAATAATACACCATGAATAAATGTTATTCAGTGAATGAATGGGGCAACAAAACTCTTCTCTGTTTTTATTGTGGTGATGGTTATGCAAATCTATACATGTATTATGTTTCATAAAACTGTTCACATACAAACCAGTTTTACTATATGTTAATTTTTAATATAAAGTTCAAAAAAATTATGTTTTTGTATGTGTCATCTCTGTGATGACAGTAACTAGCATTTGTACTACACTTTCAATACAATGTACTTTCAAATACATTTCACATAGTTCACTGAACCACAACCATATGAAGTGTATTATTGATCCCATTTTTACAGATGGGAAAACTGCCTTAGAGAATTGAGATGGCTTCATATGTACTAATGAGCAGAGCCATGCCACAGGACCAGGCCCTCAGTGGAAGGCCCCTGCCAGCAGAAGTTCCCACTGACTCTCCCCTGACTCTGCCCTTAAGCCCCCAGATGGTGACAGAGTGGAATTCTGTGTCCCCCGAATAGAAGGTGAGCCCACGAGCAATTTCACCCAAGGACAGCAGCTCCAGGCCTCACTGGAGAAAGTTTCCAGTGGGAGCAGGAACTCACAGCTCTGCAGCTCCAGCTCCAGTTAACCTTCACAAAATCAAGAGTTCAGTTCACCCACAGCAGAGAAGTCTTCGCCACTCCTTCGATAACTGCTCTCCAGATGCTTCTTTTCCTTTTGTGATTATCTCTCTTACCATGAGTGTGAGCTATTCTACCATGTTTGAAGTAAGTGGTGAAAGGTGGGAGTGGAGGGGCAAGGGGACTCTCAGGCAAGAATGAAAGTTGCCAGAGTATTCCATTCTATTCTCTCCAATTCTCCGCAACTTCATTAAAACATTTGTCTGATATCAGCACCATAGGAAAGGTTAAAAAAATGTTTATCTCAGAGACCCCCTACTCCTCTGAATCCCACCAACTAAAACAAAAATCATGTATGTGTTAAGGAAGGAAGAGAAACCAAGAAACTGGGAAACATACCCACTGGGGTTCTGGTTAATTGAGCTGGTCAGGAGGGGTTAGGGGTGATATTCTAGGAATACTCGAGTGAGGAATGTGCTGATGAAAGATTGCTTATATTTGAGTAACTCCCCCTTCTTTAGTTCAGTGAACACTCATCAAATATCCAGTGGGTTATCTGTCCAAGAAACTGTGTATATGCTGTCTTTGTCAAAGAAGCAGATTTTAAAGGCCAAGAGCCATTTTCAAGGGACTTAATTTTAAAACGGAATAACAGCTCAAGATGCTGCAAGGAACTTTTGCCAAAACTCTAGAGCCCATCCGGACACTTTGGACAAGCAAGGGGCAAATTTATTTCCTAGCGGTCACCAGCATAGTCCTTACCCTATTGAAAGCACATCATGTTGGAGTGATAATGTGTTTCAAGAGGCTTAATTCTGGATGAAACATCTGGAGGCTAAGTCATTTGCTACCACTCTAACCCCATGGGAATCTGTCTGACATAGGGAATACAGAGATGAGTGAATTCTAGAAAGCACAGAAGATGTGAAGTTGGGTCTGAGACAGTATTGGAATAGGGCAGTGGGCTAAGGGAGACCTTTGCAGGATCTTTGCAATCTGTGTTTGGTGAGTAGAAGGTATGGGTAAGCCACATTTCACACACTGGCACTAGCAAATCATAGCCAAGGGCAAGAGATGACTTCATCTTATGCCATATTTTCTGGGAGCAGGAGGCAATAGAGGATGCTTTTTAGGGAAGGCAATTGTATGGCTCCTGTGCTTGAAGCAACAAATTCTAATGGTTGGAAGGAGCGCAATTCTGGGAGTACATTTTTTAGGGGAGAGTAAGAAAGGGCACAGTTGCTTCTCAGGTAGCGTGAGGTTGAGAGCCCAGGATTCTTTCTTCCTTAAGAATCCAGAACAAGAGATTTAAAAATAATATTTTTAAATATTCCTATATCCAAAGATTTCTGCTTTTGGAGGCAGATAGCCTACTTTCGTGTCCTCCAAACAAAGCCAGTATAAGAACTTAGGATACTCCTGAATTAATTTTATGATTTTGGGGTGCTGAATTTGTCATTTAGTTTTCCAAGTCTGTGAGGCAGGTTTTATGATCCCCATTTTACAGATGAGGACATTAAGGCTCAGAGAGATTCAGGAACTTGTCAAAACCTCCCAACCATTATGTGGCAGGGCAGGGACTAAATCCCAGATCCATGCAGTGCCCTTCCCCTGCCCCATGTTGCCTCTCCTATCTCGAGTGAGGCTCTTACACAGAAAAACACCTCTAGGCACCTCTAGGGATTGCAAAGTTGACAACCTTTGACAAATGCAAAATGAGAATATCGTTTGTGTTTTAATTAGTAAGATATTAATAGGTGCTCCACTCCTGACCTGGAGTATTTGTTTAAATGTTTTTCAAATCCTTCTCTTTCTTTCTTGCTTCCCTCCCTCCATCCCTTCCTTCTTTCCTTTCTTCTTCCCTTCCTTCCACAAATGCACTCTGAGGGGGTATTACACGGATGAGGTGATGTCAGGCACTGTGGAAGTCACAATGATAAATGAGACTCAGATTCTTCCCTCAGAGGGTGTTCAAGGTAGCATTTAATTGCAAAAAGGCATACTACAAGTAGACTGTAATAAAGGTCAACCACTCCAAGAGCGCCTCCATCGCCCTTACTAGGATCTACCCTTTGTTTGTTTGCTTCCTTTTGTTCTGTCACCCACCAACAGCAAGCTCCCTGTGAGTAGGAATGCATCCTTCCTATTCGCCATTGAATTCTCAGGGCCTGGAACAGAACCTGGCACATAGTTGGTGCTCAATAAATATTTGTTGGCTGAAAAAATAAATGAGAAATTGATCTTAAGTGGGATCTCCTGGGAAATTTCAAGGTAAAAGTATCATTTGAACTCGGCCTTAATGAAGAAGTAGAGTTTTCATAGGCAGGTATGGGAGCTGTGCATGTTCCAGAGAGAATGTGAAGAGTATGGAGACAGACGAGAAAAGCTGGCCTGTGTGTGAAGGACACTGAGTTTGGCTGAAGTGTAAGGAGTGGGTGCAGGAGGGAAGTTAGGTTAAGGCTATATCATGGAGGTCCCGAATGGCAATTGTTTGCTCAGCTGGCAAAAGAAAACCATTCAAGTTTCTGTAGCAGGGGAGAGGCTTGCCGGAGCTGTGGGTGAGTGCGATGATCTGGTAGTGACACTTTGTATGTGTCAGAGTGGGGAGAGAAAGGAAAAAGGAGGGGAGGTTGTTGGGCATGCTGGATGTGGTGGCAAGAGCCCATGTGAGGGGGTCAAGGGCCTGAGCTGGACAGAAGCTGTGGGACTATGAAGAGGAGGGCTCTTCGCAGCCAGATATTCAGGTCTCGGGAACTCACTGAATGTGGAAGCTGTTGGATAGCGAGACATTAAAGACGATATTGATGTTCCCAGCTCAGATGCCTGAAGGAGAGAAAGGGAAGTCAGAGTTAGGCTGAGAGGAGGAGAAGAAAGGAGAGGTGATGTGTTTGGTTTGTGCATCTTGAGTTTGAGTGCCCAGTGGGATACCTAGTGAAAATGTCCAGCCAGTTGTCAGAATGTCAGAGGTAAGGGTGTGGCCCAACAAGGCCTTCTAATCACTGAGCCAAAAATAGTTAATGGAACAGAGCTGGGGAGCCTGTTAAGGCAACCTGCAGGATTACAGGCTGCAGAGCATTAGCCTTTGAAGAGAACTTGGAGCTTACTCCCCAGCCTCTGCACAGAAGGGGAATCTGAGGCCTAAAGAAGTTGGGTGGCTTGTCCAGTTTACATAGCCAATTTGACCTCCCAAATTATTATAGGAGGTCAATTAACTTTTAGGTGATTGAAATATTAAAATAGAAAAGCTCCACACTTGCATCTCTCTAAGAGCAAAGCTGTTTAGAGTACTGTACCAATGAAATTTCCAAAATCCATCTCTCAAAGGGCAAAGCTGGTTACAGTACTGTACCAATGAAATTTCCAGAATCCATCTCTCAAAGGGCAAAGCTGGTTAGAGTACTGTACCAATGCAATTTCCAAAGTCCATTTCTCAAAGGGCAAAGCTGGTTAGAGTACTGTACCAATGAAATTTCCAGAATCCTCTCTGTTGGTAAACTTAGCTGCCACCCAGATGACAGCAGGGGCCTAAGGAATCAGGTGCAGGGTGGGTGATGGCTTGGATTTTATTGATTTTTTGGTTTTGGTATGTTTTTGTCTCCTGGGGTCTCCTGTATATAGTACTCCATGAAGGCCACAGCTTTGGAAGATTAATTTGTTTTCAGTCTTCAATTTATAGCCTCTCACTGAGAAAATGTTTCTAAACTCCTGGGAGATGGAGGGCAAGAAGAAAACCAAGCCTTTTACTAGACCCTAAATTATTTTCTTCTTCACCTAAAGGATATGTGTCCAATTACAAACTACAAGACTTTAAAAAAAAAAAGCAAACAAAACCCCAACTACATAGCAAAGGTCATCTGGCCTGCAGAGTGAATGATTAACTTTTGTGAAAGTGATTTTTAGGATTTTTTAGAGCGTTCAAAGGTACAACTGGAAAATGTTAGCCCAGGGGCAATTGTAAGAACACCTTTCTCTACCATCTGTCACACTACGAGCTCCACCCATTCCACCATCAGGGAAGGACCTTGACCCACATCCATGTTGAGGAATGTCCTCTATGTCAAGGTCAGGGAACAGCACCCACAGAGGGTGCCTCTGGGTCCCTCTCTGCTCAACTCCCTCTCTCTTGGTTCCTGCGAGGCTCATAGGGTTGCAGGGCCCAGCAGAAGGACTGAGTCTTCCTCCTGGACTTCTGGTCCTGGTAGGCTGTGCCTTCATGTCTCTCCTGTCACCTGCACTGTAAGGAACTCATTATGACAAACGCATAAAGAATATGGCTCTGTCCACTCCAGCCCATGACCTTGGGCAAGTTCTTTTTTCTCTGTGAGCCTCCAAGTGTTCATTGGCAAAATGGGTTTATGCTGCCTACCTACTCCAAAGGAGTGCCGAGGGGATTAAATGAGATAAAGCACAAAGCCCCTAAAATATGTGCCAGGCACATAGGCAGTATCTGCAAATCTTGGTGTCCCATCCTTTCCTTTCCTGGAGCATTCTGACCCACCCACCCTCTTTATGACCTTCCTACCATGACGCCTGGCCTGGGGGTGATGGAGCGCTTAACTCCCTCCCCTCCCTTCCCTTCCCTTTCCTTTCCTTTCCCCGTGGGCATTAGTCTAAGGAAAAGGAGTCCATAAGAGCACAGCATCTTTCTTCTGTCTTCCACAGCCCCTCTAATCTTGCAGGGAAGGAGGCTGAGTGCCCTGCAGCAGCACAGATATGTCCGGATGAGCCAGTATCTATACTGGGGTAACTGTCCACCCCCCACCCCGATCCCCAGTGCTAGGCAATAAAAGAGGCCCACTGAAAAGAGGACCCAGGGAGCTGGGCGGAGCCTGTGGATCAGAGCCCCCTCGCTGGGCACTGGGTGGGCTGAGGGTTACCCCCAGGCTGCAGAGCGCGTGTGGGGGCCGCCGTCAGCTAGTCTTCCGCCTCCCGAGGGCCAGCGTGGGCGGAGGCGGCGGGGCTGCGGCTCTCGGGAACCGCAGTGTCCCAGTCTGCTCTCTGCCTTCAGCGGGAGGAATTTCCCCAGCCCTTCACGGCTCGGGGCCGCGAGGAGCCGCGGGCGCCCCCTGCCGCTTCCGAGCCGCGGCGCGCAAGGCGGCCTCCCCGTAGACCGTAGTCCCTGTGAGTCTTCCCCTCCAGCCTCAGCCCTGCGCGAGTCGGGGCGTCCGCTCCCCTCTCTCTTGCTCCTCGCTGCTCCTTCAAGAGCCCGCGTCCTGGTCACAGACAGCACAAGTCACATATGGCGGTCCCTGGACAGAGAGAGTCAATGGCAGGGAGCCTTCTTGATGCCCCTCACATCTCACTGTGGGGCAAAGAACATCCTGGAAAGAGGCAGGAGAGAGGAGGAGAGAAGGGCCAGGGCCTCCATGGAGGGGCTGTGACAGCAGGAGAGGATGGGAGCCCAGGCTCTGCTTCCTTTGTACCCCCGGCCACCAAAGGACCCAGACTGTGCCTGTCCCTACACCGGTGCAGCCTTCCTTGCTCACCCGGTCCCTCAGACCTAAACCACACTTTGGGGTACTCTGTGGTAAGCACCCCAGTGTGTTGAGTGCTCAACCTAATATCCCTCTATCCATCCTATAGAGGGAGGTTACATTTTGCATTAGAAGCAAGAATCCTGCTTAGGTGGTGAAGGTGGTTTTTTCATTTGCCGTAACATTCTCTCTCACAGAGAGCACTGCTCACTCCGGCCTTTGTATTCTGAGCATTCGTAGGTCGGTCCTCACAGGAGATTCATAGGTTACAAAGTCTGAGAACATAATATATATGCTCACGAAAGAAAGTTACATCGCCAAAAATAAAGCTGGTTGAATGAGAGGAAATGAATGGTCTAGACTCAGAGACAAAGAGAACCAAGACCAGTACTGTTTGTCTCCGTGCTTGGCAGGAAGGGAGGGTGAAAGCCTGAACTCTTTTCTGATGTGCTTTGTTTAAATGCAGTGTGTGTGTGTGTGTGTGTGTGTGTGTGTGTGTGTGTGTGTGTGTGTGTGTTGTTCAGTCTACATGTTGCACGTTGGAACCCAGTTAAGCTAGGCATGTCCAGCAAACACCTGCTACAAAGTATCCACCAGTGCCCACAGTTGTCAGTGGCTGCTGTGATGAGCTGCCAGGCTGGCCCCTCTGCAGCATGAGTGTGCATTCTCAAGCTCTGCTGCATCAAGCTGTGTTCTGCATAGTGAGGACAGCCAGGCCCTTCTGGGAAAACAGGCTTCTGGAGCCAGAGGCAATTTTTCTTTCTCTAAAACTAAAGATGTGGGATTCTTCAGACTCTCAAAATGTTACTTTGTAGAGGAAAGAGCCTGGCCTGAGAATTAGAAGACCCGGGTTCAAATCCAAGCCCTGCCACAAAGCAGATACATATTATGGAGCAAAATCATGTATTCATCCATTCCTTCATGCAATTATCTATTTAACAACTATTCATTGAGCTCTTACCCACTGAGCATTGTTCCAAGTGCCGGAGATATAATACAACAGTGAATAAGACAAGCCCTCTCCCGGCATAGAGTTTATATTTATTCTAATAGGAGAACCAGCAAACCACTATGGGGAGAGTGAAGTATGGTGCAGGGCAAGAGTGCTGGGGGCTAGCTGTGTTAGGCTGTTCGGGGAGGGTTGGGACATGTCAGCATGGAGCATGGGATTTCTGAGCAAAGGGGGAAACAGGTACTGAGGCCCTGGGCAGGATGGAGCTTGGGTGTCTGAAGCAAAGCAAGGAAGCCAGTGTGGTATGGTTGGAACAGTGTGAAGGAGCGTGGTAGTTGGCGAGGAAAGAGAGAATGGCCCAAGTCAGATCACATAATCCTTGTGGGCCTTGGTGGGGAGTTTCCCTTTTTTTTTCCTAAGAGATGAGAAGCTATTGGGAGGATGAGAGCAGGGAAAATAAGCATGATTGAGTTTGCAGGTTGCCCCCCTTGCTCTTGTGTGGGGAGGACTGGTGTGAGGTCGGGGGGCAAGAGTAGGTCTGCAGCAGTCTGGAAGAGAGAGGCATGACCTGGCCTGGGGTGGGCTGACCTGCAGGGTATGAGGCCTACCTGGACTACATGGAGAAAGGAGAGCCAAGGGATGTGCTGGTGGGTTGAATATGGTGGGTGGTGGCCTCAAGGCTAACTCTTGGGACTCTGGCTGAAGCATGTGGCTGAAGTGACACTGTTTACTGAGGCGATGGGAGCTTTGAGAGGGAAAATCAGGAGTTCAGCCTGGGACATAATGCATTTGCTTTGAGCAAATCATTTTCCCTCCTCTCTTTGGACCTCTGCCTTCGCATCTGTAAAATGAAGGGGTTGGCCCAGTTGATAACCAGCATCTCTTCTGTGGTGATTAGAGCTATTTTTTTTTCTAATTTCCTGTGTTCTTTCAAATCTACCAATATATTCTGAATTCAGAGAATAGAAATGATGGGACTGTTTTAATTCTCTTTGGGGGTGAGAAGAAGAGATGAAACAAGCCTGTGTGTCCCATGAGGGGTCCCACAGAGGCCGATGTCCTGACAACCATGAGGGAGAGAGCATGGGAGGAGGGCGAGGCGAGCCAGTCAGGGCAGAGGACACAGGCAGGGAAGGACGACCCAAAATGTGTGACTGGCAACAATTTGAGTTAAACTTCATTTCCAACACTTCCTAGGTTTGCATTTTAGAAGATTCAAGGGCATCTGAAAGGAAAACTATTTTAGACTTTCAATTACAAACTACCTCAGTTTGTGGCTTAGTGGAAAGAGAGCTGGCCTGGTAGTCATCACTAACTCTCTAAAGCCCAAGATAGTCATTCAGTCTGTATGGACCTCATCATATCTACTCTACATTTTTTTTTTAATTTTAAACACTTTTACTGTATCTTCAAGATAGAAAATTCTGTGATTCTATTGCCTTAAATAACTAATAAATGAAAAGTCCAAGAACTTGGAGATCTAAAATGATAGCTTTGAAGAAGTATTGCAAACATTTTTATTCAACACATATTAATTGTGTACTTACTAATGTGCCAGGCTGTGTCCTCAGCTCTAAAGATACAACCCTGAAAATGCAGATAAAGCCCCTTCTCGTGGAGCCTTCACTGTGGTGGGAGACAGATGGTAGCTGGAGAGCTGGAAGTCCAGGTGGTGCTGAGTGCTATGGAGAAGAATAAAGCAGGCGATGAGTAGAGCTTATCAAGACTGAGGTGGGGTGGGGATGGAGCCAGGGATACTATTTTACGTGGGAAACTTAGGGAAGGTCTCCAGAGGGAGGGAGCAGCAAGCACAAAAGTCTTGAGGTAGGGCCATGTTTGGGATATTCTGAGAAGAGTGAGAAAGCCTGTGTTTTTAGGGATGTGTGTGAGAAACCGGGAAAGGAGAAGATGGGTTTGGAGAGTTTGGGGCTCCAGGTCATCCCGGGCCTTGGGACTGTAGTATGAGTGAGGCAGGAAGTGACTGGAGGATTGCGAGCAGATGAGCAACATGACCTGAAAAACTGAAGGAAGACCCAAATTCCAAATGATACGTGGGGGCAAAAGAATCCCTGGGATATCAGACGCCATGTCAAGATGCATTAAGCTCTAAAGCAGTTGGGGATATTTGTTTCAGCAAATGCTTAAAACAAAATTGTTGGCCCTTGGTGTGCAGCTGGCTGGAAGTTTCATCTGTTTATCTGCTGAAGGGTTTTTGGCTGTCTGTTATGTGCTACACACTGGAAATTCAATGAGATAAAAGACATAATCTCTACCTGTTCTACAGACAAGTATGTTGAGGTCTTGCCAAATTTAGTGAGTTATTGGCTAGGAAGTGGCAGAGCTGGAATTCCAATCCTGGGTCGTTTGACTCTAGATGGGGCAACCAGCATTTGCAATCCTGCAGGATATCCAGATGAGGAAAAGCATTTCGAGAAATGAAGAGACTTGCCCAAGATCGCCACACTCTAAAGGGCAGAGCTGGATTTTAAAGGGATGCCTGTAGACTGTCTGTCCACGGTGCCATAAATTGAAATCCCTGGAAGGCAGCTTGGTGATAAAGATGCGTAGCAGAATGTTTAGTAGGGAGCGCCCTCAACAGCAACACCTGTGAAGGCAGGGAAAGGAAGCAGAGTTGAGCTGAGGAAATAGCTGAGCTGTGATGCAAGCCCAACACAGGCCTCAACCAATCCTGAAGAAGCTCTACAGCTAAGAACAGGCCTTCAGAGTTGTCCTGAGTTGGGGTGAGGGGCCTGGGCCTTTACACACCCACGTTAATCAGTCTTTGTGTCTGGCTGCCCCTAGAAGGGAAGTAATTTTGGCTGAGAGAGTTTTCTTCAGTGAGGTCATCCTCCAAGAAGAATGACACTGGGATCACACTGGGCAATAAGCCTTTCATTCCATCCGGAGGGACCTGAGTGGCACATCACAGAGTCTACACATTCTCTCCACCTCCTCACATAGACTCTCAGTGATGTCCCTGGCCTTTTTCAGGTTACAAAAATATCATAGACCCACTTGTTACATTTGACCTTTTAAAAAAATTTCTTTAAGGAGGTCTGCAGTGGGTGAAAAAAATTCTCTTTAGGCTATGTTTACCATCATATTTTATGTTTTATGTAAAAAAGACATTAAGAAATGGTTTTTAGTTTTCCTTTCATTTTATTCCCACTCCACATTTAGCCAGTCTATTTCCCTCCTTTCTGTCTTCACTCTTTGGAGATGGTGGGCAGTGGAGAAGGTTGTACTTAGGTATTCTAATAAAAGAGCTTCCTTTGTACAATTAGGGATAGAAAAGATAGAAATGTTGCCTTTAAAGCTACTGACAGCCTGTAGAGTATCAGCTTGAGGAATTTTCTTAACTACATGATTCTGTCCGAGCAAAGTGAGGGGTGCTCACCCTTGGGGGTCAGGTTGACCCTTGTTTTGTTGGAACTGCTTGTGAAGCATCAGGTGGTGGCATTTCATAGGAACCGCCTGCAGTGCACAGGAAGGCCGGACTGGAGCTCTACATGTGAGCATATTTGGAATGTGGATAGTACTGGAAACCACAGGAGTGGCTAAAATTGCTAGGCTGAGTGAGTAGAGTCTGAAAAGAAGAGAGCCCAGGACCAAGCCCTTAAGGGGAGGATGATAAGATTCAGGGGAGGGCAGAGAAGGAATCCAAAGAGACTCAGAAGGAGCTGAAGAAGCAGGGAGTGGTGTCACAGGTGAGAGGTGACAGCGTGCTGGCAGTCCTCAGAGCCCTCACTTGCTCTCGGCACCTCCTCTGCCTGGGCTCCCACTTTGGCGGCACTTGAGGAGCCCTTCAGCCCACTGCTGCACGGTGGGAGCCCCTTTCTGGGCTGGCCAAGGCCAGAGCCGGCTCCCTCAGCTTGCAGGGAGGTGTGGAGGGAGAGGCGTGAGCGGGAACCGGGGCTGCGTGCTGCACTTGCGGGCCAGCTGGAGTTCCGGGTGGGCGTGGGCTTGGCGGGCTCCGCACTCGGAGCAGCCAGCTGGCCCTGCCGGCCCCCAGCAGTGAGAGGCTTAGCACCCGGGCCAGTGGCTGCGGAGGGTGTACTGGGTCCCCCAGCAGTGCCGGCCCACTGGCGCTGTGCTCGATTTCTCACCGGGCCTTAGCTGCCTTACCGCGGGGCAGGGCTCAGGACCTGCAGCCCGCCATGCCTGAGCCTCCCACCCCCTCCATGGGTTCCTGTGCGGCCGGGAGCCTCCCCGACGAGTGCCGCCCCCTGCTCCATGGCGCCTAGTCCCATCGACCGCCCAAGGGCTAAGAAGTGCAAGCGCATGGCGCAGGACTGGCAGACTGCTCCACCTGCAGCCCCAGTGCGGGATCCACTGGGTGAAGCCAGCTGGGCTCCTGAGTCTGGTGGGGACGTGGACAGTCTTTATGTCTAGTTCAGGGATTGTAAACACACCAATCAGCACCCTGTGTCTAGCTCAGGGTTTGTGAGTTCACCAATCGACACTCTGTATCTAGCTGCTCTGGTGGGGCCTTGGAGAACCTTTATGTCTAGCTCAGGGATTGTAAATACACCAATTGGCACTCTGTATCTAGCTCAAGGTTTGTAAACACACCAATCAGCACCCTGTGTTTAGCTCAAGGTTTGTGAGTGCACCAATCAACACTCTGTATCTAGCTGCTTTGGTGGGGCCTTGGAGGACCTTTGTGTCCATACTCTGTATCTAAATAATCTGATGGGGACGTGGAGCACCTTTGTATCTAGCTCAGGGATTGTAAACGCACCAATCAGCACCTTGTCAAAACAGACCACTTGGCTCTACCAATCAGCAGGATGTGGGTGGGGCTAGATAAGAGAATAAAAGCAGGCTGCCTGAGCCAGCAGTGGCAACCCCCCAGGGTCCCCTTCCACACTGTGAAAGCTTTGTTCTTTCGCTCTTTGCAATAAATCTTGCTACTGCTCACTCTTTGGGTCCACACTGCTTTTATGAGCTGTAACACTCACCGCGAAGGTCTACAGCTTCACTCCTGAAGCCAGCGAGACCACAAGCCCACCGGGAGGAACAAACAACTCCAGACGCGCCGCCTTAAGAGCTGTAACACTCACTGTGAAGGTCTGCAGCTTCACTCCTGAGCCAGCGAGACCACGAACCCACCAGAAGGAAGAAACTCCAAACACATCTGAACATCAGAAGGAACAAACTGCAGAGGCACCACCTTAAGAGCTGTAACACTCACCGTGAGGGTCCGCAGCTTCATTCTTGAAGTCAGTGAGACCAAGAACCCACCAATTCCAGACACACAGGGACTGAGAAAACAGGGGTGCAAGGAGGAGGGGTTGACTGCTGAATGCTTCTGAGAAATTGTATAAAATGAGAAGCAAGAAGTAGCACTTGATTTTGCATATAAGGTGGGAAGAGTTTATGTTTGAATGAAGTTTCTAGCTGGCTTGAGGTTTTGTTTGGATGAAATTTCCTGTGTACCCAGCAGTATAGCAGATTAGGCACTCTGGATGACCTCCGAACTGAAAGAGCTAAAATGCTATTAAATATATGGACTCCAAAACCTTTACAAATATGTCTCTGAGGTAGAAGGAAAAATATCAGAAGGAAAGAAATCCACAGACTCCAAAAATGAAATAAAACTAAGAACCCTAGATGAGGAGAGAGCAAAACTAGGTTTTGCTCTGACAGGTTTTCTGATCCTAGAAATCTGGAACTTTTCATGGTCAGCCGTACTAGTCTAGGGAACAGATGAGAATGCCTATGGCCTGCAAAGGGTAGGGAATCGACTAAGATTCCCCTGCCTGAATTTGGCTCAAATGCCCATGCTCTCAGAATAAGGGTTAATGAGGAATAAACCTGCTATAAAGAAGTCATCTTGCTTACCTTGACCTTAGCACTGGAAGGAGGGGGAAAAAAATCCCCTAAGGATTTTTAACCACAAGATAGCCTCAAATGTTTTCTATCTGGATTCATTTACCTATTGGCCTGAAAAACCACAAACATCAAGTTTAATTTAAATGGTCTCGAGTTGGTATGCTCTTGGGTAACTGGCAGAATTAAAAGCAAATCCTTTTAGATACCTCAACTTCAAATCAAATGTCAAACAAATTCCTACTGATAAAGTTTTAAGGAAAATAAACAGAATTTTCAGATATGGAATGTAGAACAATTGTATCTATTATGTTTAAACAGAAGATATATGTTTTATATCTTTTGTTTAGATATATGTAAAAGATATATGTAAAACATATATGTAAAAGATATATGTAAAACAATATGTTTTGTATTATGTTTAAACAAAACATAAACATCTATTATGTTTATGTACAAACATAAGCAGGAACATGAGACCTTAAAGAACAAATAGGCAGGTTTAAGAAATAACCAAACAGACTTCCTAAAAATGAGAACTGAAACGTTAGAAATTTAACATTCAGTGGACAGATTAAACAATAGATTAGAGGCAGCTGAAGAGAGAATTAGTCAATTGGAAGCTATATCCAAAGAAATTACTGAGAATGCAGGTCTGAGAGATAAAAAAAAGATGCCAATTCTAAAAAGAGAAGGTAAAAGAGAGGGTAGAATGATAGAATGTGTTATACATGTAAATTGAGTTTCCTTCTACAATGGAATACTGAGAGAATGAGGAAGAGACAATATTTAAAGTTAAGGGCTGATAATTCCCCAGAATTACTGGAAATAGTTCCCCAGATTCAGGAGGCCTAATAAATCCAAAAAAAAGAGAAAGAGGTACAGAGACAGAGAGAAAGAGTATTAAAAGAGCCCAGATAGAATAACGCAGGTACTCTACAAAGAAACAACAAATAGTCTAATGACTGACTTGTAAAAAGCAACAAAAGAAGCCAGAAGACAGTGAAAGAATTTTTAATATGCTGAAAAAATTGTTTTTCAACATAAAATTGAAATTACCTTTCAAGAATACAGGTGAATAAGAACAGTTTCAAACAAATAAAAACTGTTTACTTTTGTATACTGTTACTATAGAAAACGGTAGAGCATCTACTCCAGGCAGAAGGAAAATGATCCCTAATAGAAAATCCGAGATGCAAGAAAGAGTAGTGAGTTAACATAGTGGCTAATATGTGCATAAAATAAGAAATATAAAATAATGTAATAAAAATATCTATTTTATTTATGTGTATGTGTGTAGGGGTGTGGTAAATAGTCTAGAACCAAAATCCAGGATGACAACAGCAGAAAATGTGGTAGGGAGATTGATAGCAGCCAAAGCCTTTGAGTCCTTGTCAGAAAGGAAAATGAAGGTATTGATTAGCTTTAGATTTTAATCTACACAATTTAGTCGGTATGTGTAAATAGTCTTGGTAACCATTAAAAGGACAGAGATAGGGTATGGACTTTCCAAGCCAATAAGAAAAAAAAGAAATTTAAAAAGAAGAAACAAACCTCTTAATTTTAAAAAGATGAAAAGTGGGGGGCAGAGGATTTATAAAATAGGTCAAATAGAAAGTAAATAATAAAAGAATAGAAATGAATCCATATGTATTTTCAATTCGAATAAATATAAATGGACTAAACATAGAGTCAAAAGACCTCAACTATCAGATGGGATTTTTAAAAAATCAGCCATTTATAAAGAATGCAGTTATCAACAACATAAAGTATACAAACAGATAGAAAGTTAAAGGATGGAAAAATATATACCAGGCAACTACTAGCCAAAATAAAGTGATATTATTGTATTAATAACTGACAAAAATCAATATTTACGCAAAATGTTTACAAGAGTTTAAAAAGGTCACTTTATAGTGAAAAAGCTTCAATTAATTGGGAAGATATAAAAATTCTAAACCATACAGCCCTAATAATATAATTTCAATGTACATTAAACACAATTTTGACAAAACCATACACAAAAATTGAAAAGTCCATTATCATAATGAGAGATTTTAAAACAACTCTCTCAGTAAATGTTAGGAAATACAGCCCCCCCCAATAAATCTATAAAATATAGAAAATTTGAGCACTGTAGGATATAACTGACATTTATTAGACATTACATCTAAACTTGTGTATCTTCTTTGTATGTACATAGAACAATGAAGAAGTGCTAAGCTAAAAAGCTGGCCTCAATTAATGTCAAGGGATTGGGGTCATTCAGATCACTTGTTGTTATTACAGTGCAATTGAGTGATAAATCAATAACAAAAACATAACTAGGAAGCCCAACAGGTTTGGAAACAATTTTCTTAAAATTAGTGTAGAAACTAGAAAATAAATAGAACTTGAAGACAATAAAAATAAATTATAAAAAAAACCTGTGGAATTGCACTAAAATGGCGTTTAAAAATTTCTATACTTAGAAAAGAAGAAAGGGTAGGAATTTCTCTTTTTAAATTTTATTTATTTATTTTATTAATATAGAGATGAGGTCACACTACGTTGCCTAGGCTGGTCTCCAACTCCTGAGCTCAAGTGATCTTCCCACCTCAGCCTCCCAAAGTGTTGGGATTACAGGCGTGAGTGGGTAATTACAGGTGGGTGAATCACAAGGTCAGGAGTTTGAGACCAGCCTGACCAACATGGTGAAACCCCATCTCACTAAAAATATAAAAACTAGCTGGGCGTGGTGGCGTGCACCTGTAATCCCAGCTACTCAGGAGGCTGAGGCAGGAGAATCGCTTGAACCTGGGAGGCGGAGATTGCAGCGAGCCAAGACCACGCCACTGCACTCCAGCCTAGGCGACAGAGCGAGATTCCGTACCCTCCTCCGCCCCCCTACCACAAAAAAAAAAAGATTAATAGTAAAATATCTCCTGGCAATAAAACTGAAGGTCCAGCCAGTTCTTTACATGAGTTAAACCAAACTTTCCAGCAAAGAGATTACCCCAATATTATTGGAATAGAATAGGAAAAATAAGGAACAGCTACTTCTCCTAAAAGCCATAGCTATAAAATTCTAGAGAATATAGGAGCACTCCCATGACCTGAAAAGAGAGAAGGATTCCTTAAACAAGATGCAAAATGTGCTCCATTATAATGGAGAAAGTTGCTGAAAATCCACCCATATTAAAATGGAGAATTTAGATTGGCGTAATCACTTTGGAAATATTTTGACAATATTTAGTAAATTTAAACATTCATGTATTCTGTGAACCTACATTTTATTCTTATGTGTACACCCTTAAAAGACTTGTGTGCATCTGAAGATGTATAAGAATGAGCATAAAAACATCATTCAAATCACAAAAACTGGAAACAATGCAAATGTCCAATTACAGTAACAAGAATATATAAAGTGTAGCAGCAGATTCCCACAGTGGAATATTATTTATTGGTGAAAAGGAATAAACGACTGCTACATGAAGACACACATGGGAGTCTCAAAAGCATAAAAACAATCTCAAAAGATTGTTTCTCTGTGGCCATGAGAAACAATCACAGACGACTTTATACAGTATGATTTCATGTATGTAAAGCCTTTAGATAAATGAAACAGTCAAAACTAAAAACACAATTTGGGATGCATGCAGATCATATTTTGTTGATTCTAAGCCATGTCTCTTTTTTTGACATTTCAAACACTTCAAAATTGAGATTCATTTTGTAACCAAAATTTTGTAACCAAACCATTCATTTTGTGAGTCTCTTTCTTAGAGGTGAAATAATAATGCATCTTACAATGTCGGGAGCTTAAGTTCAATGAAATATGGTAGGAAGTAGAACTATAAAGAAAAACATGAGAATGATTAACATAAAATGTGGGATACCTACGATTACCTATGTCTGGGAGGAAGGAGGCTGCTGGAAGGAAGGGGAAGCAAGGAGAATTCCGTATACTGACAATGTGCTATTTTTCACCAAGGTACAGTATATTGGTGTATTATTATTATTATTATTATTATTATTATTATTATTATTATTATTTTGAGGCAGAGTCTCACTCTGTTGCCCAGGCTGGAGTGCCGTGGCACAATCTCGGCTCACTGCAACCTCTGCTTCCCAGATTCAAGCTATTCTTCCACCTCAGCCTCCCCGAGTAGCTGGGACTGCAGATGTGCACTACCACGCCTGGATAATTTTTTGTATTTTTGGTAGAGACGGGGCTTTGCCATGTTGGACAGGCTGGTCTCACACTCCTGGCCTCACGTGACTCCCCCCGCCTCAGCCTCCCAAAGTGCTGAGATTACAAGTGTGAGCCACCGCGCCCAGCCTGCTTTATTATTCTTCTTTAAATAGGTTAGATTCTCACATGTATAAATATATTTCACAATTTAAAAAAACAAAAAGAGTGAATGAGGCGAGTAGGTGGAGATACACGTATAGTAACTCAGGAAGCTGGACAGTAAAGGGGAGAAGAGAGTGAAGCGGCCATTGCGGGAGGATGTGGAGGAAACTACAAGAAATAAATGGAAAGACTGAAGAGCTGGGAGGCATCTGAGCTGTCACATGTGGAGAAATTGGCCTTTCAGGGAGATACCTTCTATATTTTAGCAAGAGGGACGAAGGGGAGAATGGGCTTGCAGAATTTGCAGTGAAATTTTCTCATGTTTCCTCTGTGATGGTTTATATTTTCTTTACAAAGAATTTATCTGTGGTCTGGTATAGTTATCAGGAATGGTAGAGATGGGCAAATAGCACGAGGGGTAGGCATCTAAAATGAAAACATTTGTTCAGCAGTTATCCCATGCCAGGTACTCAACTAAGAGCCTTTTACATCCATCATTCCATTCGTTGCTCTCATTAACACTATGAGGTATATATTCTTTCATGATGCCTGTAACAGTTTCCTAGGGCCATAGGAAAATAACCAAATACCACAGACTAGGTGACTTAAATAACAGAAATGTATTTTCTCCCAGTTCTGGAGGCTGGTGGTCCAAGAGCAGGTGTGGACAGGCTGGTTTCTCCTGAGGCCTTTCTCCTTGGTCTGTGGGTGGCTGCCCTCTGCGCATGCACATCCCTGGCATCTCTCTGTGTGCTTAATCTCCTCTCCTTTAAGGATACCCGTCAGACTGAATCAGCTAATCACCTCTTTATTATTAACTTAATCACCTCTTTAAATACAGTCACATTCTGAGGTGCTGGGGGTTGGAGCTTGAACTTATGAATTGTGGTGGACACAATTCTGGCCATCACAATGCCCATTTTGGAGAGAAGGAACTAGAGACACAGAAAGGCCAAACAGCTTGCCAAGGTCATGCAGCTCCTCGGCATCAGAACTGGGATGCAGACGCAGGCAGGTCAACTGCGGTGGCTGAAAACCAACCATTCCTCTACACGCCTAGTCTTGGGCCTGGAAGAGTGAAGAAGGATTGAACGGTCTTTTGGAGAATTAAAAAAAAAAAAGAACAGAATAAAGGAGTAATATTCTCTGGCTTTTCTTAGCTGTGCAATCTGTCCCAGGAAACAGAATGGAGCTGAATGCCCCGGGAGCCTGGATGGACGGTCCTCTCATAGGCTCCCTTTTAAAATCTGAGTTTTAAGGAGAAAGATGTAAATCTCGGCTAAAATGGCAGGAAAGGTCAACAATTTGGCATGAGCTGGAATCCACTCATCCTTGCTCTGGAGGGACCAGGTGTAAGTTACGGGCTGAGAAGTGTGACACCTGCTGGGCTCCGAGGACGAGAATGGGTGGGACCTGGCTCCTTTCATATGTGTTCCCTTGCTGCCCTCTGCTGGCAAGAATTGGGAATACGCAGGAAGCTGCTGGTAGCCCTGCTTCCTGCAAAACCCTCAGATCTCAGGGGAAAGACGGAAAGAATCTACCGGAATCAGACTGTGGCGCACGTCAGTTCCTCCCTTTCCACACACGTACACACATATTGAACCAATGTTACAGTCAATTTTCACTTTTTAGCATTCCGTGACTGTGTAGCTGTTTTAAAAGTTGCTTAAGATGGTTTTTGTTTTGTTTTGAGACAGAGTCCCGCTCTGTAGCCCAGCCCAGGCTGGAGAGCAGTGGCCAGATCTCAGCTCACTGCAAGCTCTGCCTCCCAGGTTCAAGCGATTCTCCTGCCTCAGCCTCCCAAGTAGCTGGGATTACAGGTGCCCACCACCATGCCTGGCTAATTTTTGCATTTTTAGTAGAGACGGGATTTCACCACGTTGGCCAGGCTGGTCTGGAACTCCTGGCCTCAAGGGATCCGCCCACCTAGGCCTCCCAAAGTTCTGGGATTACAGGCCTCAGCCACCCTGCCCGGCCGAAATTAAATTTAAAACCTTATTACATTTGCCACCTTTTCAAAAATGATGTTTCCTAAGATACAAGAATATGAGAATTAGAATACAAATTTTTGATGATTTAACAAAATGTTAGTTTGTTCACCATTTTATATGCTCTTTTTAAATTTTTTTTTTAGAGACAGGGTCTCCCTTCCGGTGACTCCGTCACCCAGGCTAGAGTGCAGTGGTACAATCAAAGCTCACTGCAGCCTCAGACTCCTGGTCTCAAGGAATCCTCTCATCTCAGCCTCCTGAGCACCACATCCGGCTAATTTTTAAATTTTTTGTAGAGACGGGGTGTCAGTGTCTGGCTATGTTGCCCAGGCTGGTCTTGAACTCCTGGTCTCAAGTGACCCTCCTGTCTCAGCCTCCCACAGTGCTGGGATTACAGGCATGAGCCACTGCACCAAGCCTTCATGTTTTCAAAAATTGTAAACTCATTGTTGGTTTGGAAATTTTTTTTTCAATATTTTAAAATCATTACTTATTAAACGATAGCCTAGGGACCCCACCATTTGGTTACAGTACTTTTTTTTTTTAATCATACTTTAAGTTTTAGGGTACATGTGCACAATGTGCAGGTTAGTTACATATGTATACATGTGCCATGCTGGTGCGCTGCACCCACTAACTCGTCATCTAGCATTAGGTATATCTCCCAATGCTATCCCTCCCCCCTCCCCCCACCCCACAACAGTCCCCAGAGTGTGATGTTACCCTTAATGTGTCCATGTGTTCTCATTGTTCAATTCCCACCTATGAGTGAGAATATGCAGTGTTTGGTTTTTTGTTCTTGCGATAGTTTACTGAGAATGATGATTTCCAATTTCACCCATGTCCCTACAAAGGACATGAACTCATCATTTTTTATGGCTGCATAGTATTCCATGGTGTATATGTGCCACATTTTCTTAATCCACTCTATCATTGTTGGATATTTGGGTTGGTTCCAAGTCTGCTATTGTGAATAATGCCGCAATAAACATACGTGTGCATGTGTCTTTATAGCAGCATGATTTATAGTCCTTTGGGTATATACCCAGTAATGGGATGGCTGGGTCAAATGGTATTTCTAGTTCTAGATCCCTGAGGAATCGCCACACTGACTTCCATAATGGTTGAACTAGTTTACAGTCCCACCAACAGTGTAAAAGTTTTCCTATTTCTCCACATCCTCTCCAGCACCTGTTGTTTCCTGACTTTTTAATGATTGCCATTCTAACTGGTGTGAGATGGTATCTCACTGTGGTTTTGATTTGCATTTCTCTGATGGCCAGTGATGATGAGCATTTTTCATGTGATTTTTGGCTGCATAAATGTCTTCTTTTGAGAAGTGTCTGTTCATGTCCTTCACCCACTTTTTGTTGGGGTTGTTTGTTTTTTTCTTGTAAATTTGTTTGAGTTCATTGTAGATTCTGGATATTAGCCCTTTGTCAGATGAGTAGGTTGTGAAAATTTTCTCCCATTTTGTAGGTTGCCTGTTCACTCTGATGGTAGTTTCTTTTGCTGTGCAGAAGCTCTTTAGTTTAATTAGATCCCATTTGTCAATTTTGGCTTTTGTTGCCATTGCTTTTGGTGTTTTAGACATGAAGTCCTTGCCCATGCCTATGTCCTGAATGGTAATGCCTAGGTTTTCTTCTAGGGTTTTTATGGTTTTAGGTCTAACGTTTAAGTCTTTAATCCATCTTGAATTAATTTTTGTATAAGGTGTAAGGAAGGGATCCAGTTTCAGCTTTCTACATATGGCTAGCCAGTTTTCCCAGCACCATTTATTAAATAGGGAATCCTTTCCCCATTGCTTGTTTTTCTCAGGTTTGTCAAAGATCAGATAGTTGTAGATATGCGGCGTTATTTCTGAGGGCTCTGTTCTGTTCCATTGATCTATATCCCTGTTTTGGTACCAGTACCATGCTGTTTTGGTTACTGTAGCCTTGTAGTATAGTTTGAAGTCAGGTAGTGTGATGCCTCCAGCTTTGTTCTTTTGGCTTAGAATTGACTTGGCAATGCAGGCTCTTTTTTGGTTCCATATGAACTTTAAAGTAGTTTTTTCCAATTCTGTGAAGAAAGTCATTGGTAGCTTGATGGGGATGGCATTGAATCTGTAAATTACCTTGGGCAGTCTGGCCATTTTGACGATATTGATTCTTCCTACCCATGAGCATGGAATGTTCTTCCATTTGTTTGTATCCTCTTTTATTTCATTGAGCAGTGGTTTGTAGTTCTCCTTGAAGAGGTCCTTCACGTCCCTTGTAAGTTGGATTCCTAAGTATTTTATTCTCTTTGAAGCAATTGTGAATGGGAGTTCACTCATGATTTGGCTCTCTGTCTGTTATTGGTGTATAAGAATGCTTGTGATTTTTGTACTTTGATTTTGTATCCTGAGACTTTGCTGAAGTTGCTTATCAGCTTAAGGAGATTTTGGGCTGAGACAATGGGGTTTTCTAGATATACAATCATGTTGTCTGCAAACAGGGACAATTTGACTTCCTCTTTTCCTAATTGAATACCCTTTATTTCCTTCTCCTGCCTAATTGCCCTGGCCAGAACTTCCAACACTATGTTGAATAGGAGTGGTGAGAGAGGGCATCCCTGTCTTGTGCCAGTTTTCAAAGGGAATGCTTCCAGTTTTTGCCCATTCAGTATGATATTGCCTGTGGGTTTGTCATAGATAGCTCTTATTATTTTGAAATACGTCCCATCAATACCTAATTTATTGAGAGTTTTTAGCATGAAGGTTGTTGAATTTTGTCAAAGGCCTTTTCTGCATCTATTGAGATAATCATGTGGTTTTTGTCTTTGGTTCTGTTTATATGCTGGATTACATTTATTGATTTGCGTATATTGAACCAGCCTTGCATCCCAGGGATGAAGCCCACTTGATCATGGTGGATAAGCTTTTTGATGTGCTGCTGGATTCGGTTTGCCAGAATTTTACTGAGGATTTTTGCATCAATGTTCAACAAGGATATTGGTCTAAAATTCTCTTTTTTAGTTGTGTCTCTGCCCGGCTTTGGTATCAGGATGATGCTGGCCTCATAAAATGAGTTAGGGAGGATTCCCTCTTTTTCAATTGATTGGAATAGTTTCAGAAGGAATGGTACTAGTTCCTCCTTGTACCTCTGGTAGAATTCGGCTGTGAATCCATCTGGTCCTGGACTCTTTTTGGTTGGTAAGCTATTGATTATTGCCACAATTTCAGATCCTGTTATTGGTCTATTCAGAGATTCAACTTCTTCCTGGTTTAGTCTTGGGAGAGTGTATGTGTTGAGGAATTTATCCATTTCTTCTAGATTTTCTAGTTTATTTGCGTAGAGGAGTTTGTAGTATTCTCTGATGGTAGTTTGTATTTCTGTGGGATCGGTGGTGATATCCCCTTTATCATTTTTTATTGCATCTATTTGATTCTTCTCTCTTTTTTTCTTTATTAGTCTTGCTAGCAGTCTATCAATTTTGTTGATCCTTTCAAAAAACCAGCTCCTGGATCTATTAATTTTTTGAAGGGTTTTTTGTGTCTCTATTTCCTTCAGTTCTGCTCTGATTTTAGTTATTTCTTGCCTTCTGCTAGCTTTTGAATGTGTTTGCTCTTGCTTTTCTAGTTCTTTTAATTGTGATGTTAGGGTGTCAATTTTGGATCTTTCCTGCCGTTTACAGTACTTTTGAAAAGTAATCATTTTCATTTTCAAATGTGAATTTTCATGAAAACAAAATCAGTAGTTCATGCTTTAGAAATTTATCTTTGGTATAGACATTTGGGCAAAAACATTCAAAAGTAATAAAGGAGCCCCTTGAGTTGAGAAGCATTACATAAACGCCAGAAAAAAACCATTGATCTCACCGAGAACTCCTAGAATTCCTGATCGGTTGTGCCACACAGAATATGTTGCCTTGTGGGCCTCTGTGAAATTCCAAATGGGTGGCTCAAGAGCACTCAGTGCCCAGCTCCTGTGTGAGTCCCCAGACCTTCTTCATGCAGTTACCAGAACAATTGTTTAAAATGCAGTCAGATCGTGATACTCTTCTGCTTCTGGAGAGGCCAAATGTCACACCTTTGATCTTAGAATAAAATACTGATTCCTTCCTGGCTTTACAAGGCCAGGTGCTCTGACTCATGCCAGCCCCACCATGCCTGCCTTTGGTCACTTTTCCTTCCCCTTCAGCTATTTGCATTTTCATCCTTCGGGGACCTTTCTGTGGACTCTACTTCAACATTCTGTTTATTTCCTTTGAAGCACTTGCTTCCATCTGTAATAACTGTGCGTGTTTATCTGTCGTTCATTTCTTGTCTCCACCATTAGGTGGCATCCCCAGGGGGAGGTCCTCATCCACTTTGCTCTTTGCTGTGTTCCCGGTGCCTAATGAGCATTATTTGTCAATGAGTGAGTGAGTGAATGAAGTGAGCAAAGGAACACACTGAGCAGTGACAGACACCTAAGGTCACTCCATGCAGATCATAGTACTAGGTTATTTACATAAATATATAAGGAAGTTCCATCCATGGCCCATGGCATGGGAAGCAAAGAGAGGGCTATGGTTGGGATCAGGCCAAGAGTTGTACTTTCATCTTTGACTTACACTTATCATCAAAACCATTCCCCTCCCTGCTTAGAGAATACCAGCGAAGCAGACAGAACATCAGGAGCCACTGACCCACATGCTAAGGAAGCTGGAGGGCAGCAAGGAAGCACAGGCTCACTAACTCATCAGGTGCAATTTTGCGTCAGTGCTGTGGGTACCGATCCAGGATGCAAACACCAGCTACTCAACCAACCAGGAACACTTTGTGTTGATCCAATGCCTTCCCCTTGAAAAGGCGCCAGCACAGTTTCATAGGCACACAGCCCTGCTCAGAGGTAGGCACGTTAACATTCCCATTTTACAAATGGCAGGAGAATGTGCCCATGATCAGTGGGCTGGGCACAGTATTGGCCAGCAGGCTCATGTCCAGACTTCCAGGGGTTCTGTCTCCATCTTCACTGTGAGACGATCACAGCCTGAACAAGGGAAACTAAGTTCAGAACTGTCACCAGTTCCAAATCTGTGCCTGGGGAAGCCTGATGAGAGCTGTCTCCAGGAGAATTAGCTAGGGCAGAAATGCTTGCTGGGCTCCAGGGAGGCCTGGGCCAGACATCCTGGGGCACAGTTTTCCCCCTGCTGAAGTGTTTCTGGTTTGATGTAATTTCCGCTGCCATTCGTGGCCTTTCTCCTAGGCAGGATCCTGGCACCTGACTGAGGAACCATCCAAAGAACAATGTTAAGCCAGAATAAAATGTCCAAGAGCCTCCCAGGCCGGGGCAACCATCAGGGCGGGCCGATCTGGGGGTTCTTCAGGAAGGTGGCCAGCTTTTGGGCCACAGTGTCCAGTTCAGTCGGGTTGGTGCACTGAAAGAGGTTGCTGTTCCGGACGAAATAGTGTTTCAGGAAGTGCTGGCTCACGCACTTGTGCAGTTTCCTCACCAGGCGCAGAAATGCTTTGCTGAAGACCTGCCAGTCTTTAAAGTGGGGATATTTCTCGCAGGTCCAAAAGAGCACAGTCTGTGGAAGGGAGAAGTGCTGTCAGACATTGTTTCGGGCAATTGAGGAGGATAGCTTGGAAACAATTATTGAGCTTATGTGGCCTTGGAAGGAGGGAGAAAAGAGTTGCCTGGGCAGACTGGATCTACCATGAATTCACAATCCCCAACTTCAGGTGGGCCTTCAGTTTACCAGCTGGTCTCCCGCACCTCTTCCCTAATCTATTCCCTCACTCTCCTCCAACATTTCCAATGTTCACTAATCCAGGCAATGTCTTTGCCTCCTACTTTACGGGGAAAATGGAACCCCTCATCCTCCCAAACCAGACAGATCTTGCCTACTGCGGCACCCACCTCTCTTCCTCCCTGCTTCTGCCTCTTCTGCCTGTGGGGCTGATCCCTCCACAGGGCCCTGGATCCCATCTTCCAGGAACTGTATATGACTGATTACCCTCTTCCTCAACTGCTTTTCACAAGTTGAGAGCTCTCCTGCAACCCCAACCCCACATCTGCCTCCTGCCCTCACTCTTCCCTCTGCAAATCCAGGCTTCTCTGGAGAGTCGGCTCTATTATTTGTGGTCATTTCCTCTCCTCCCATTTCTTGCCTCAGTCTGCTCCAATATGGATTCTTCTCTCATTAATCCTCAAAGGCTCCTCTCGTCAAGGCCCAGTGATCTCCACTTTTCTAAATCTAATAGGCCTTTGTCAGCCTGCACCTTACCTGACCTTTCAGCAGACCTGGTTCTCTCGCCCACACCCTCCCTCCTGAGCCATCCTTCACTTGACTTCCAAGCAATCTGCTCTCTGGGTTTTTTCTCCTAGCATTACAGCGCCTCCCTGGCAGGCTTTTACTCCTTGGCCTGCCTTTGAGAAGTGGAGTTTCTGGAGGCTCAATTCTAGGCCCTCTTCTCCTCTCAGTCTACATTCATTCCTCAGCTCTATGTTGCCTCCACCACAGCAGCTCTAATTCTCACTACATATGAATGACTTGCAAATTTGTGTCTCCAGCCCAGACTTCTCCTCTGACCTGCTTATCGTGTATCTCTTGAGTATCTGAAAGTTATCTCAGTCCCAACATGCCCAAACTGAACCCCTGCTCTTCCTGCACAAACCTGATCTGCCTCCAGAGTTGCTTAACTAGCTAGTTGTGCAACACGAAAACCTAGGAGTCGCCCTTCTCCCTTACCGTCCCCAGTCAAGTCCTGTAATCCTCTTGTCTAAGTATTTCTCGAGTCTACCCATTTACCTTCACCTCCAGTATTATTCTACCATCCCCCTCCACACTGCCTCCACATCTCACTGGACCTCTGCAGTAGCGATCTCATCAGCCCATCCCTGTTCTTGCCACCATCCAAATTATCACCATCCATACTGCTGCCAATATACATCTACTTCCCTTCTCATCTAAAATACTTCAAGGTCCCATCCTGGCTAACACGGTGAAACCCCATCTCTACTAAAAATACAAAAAATTAGCCAGGCGTGGTGGCGGGTGCCTGTAGTCCCAGCTACTTGGGAGGCTAAGGCAGGAGAATGGCGTGAACCCAGAAGGTGGAGCTTGCAGTGAGCCAAGATCATGCCGCTGCACTCCAGCCTGGGCAACAAAGCGAGACTCCGTCTCAAAAACAAAAAAAAAATTAATAAAATAAAATACTTCAAGGTCTTCCCATTGTTTGTTAGCTAAAAACATCATCCTTAATGTGGTGTGGTTTATAAGGTTTGGTCCCTGCCTTCCTTTCCAGACTCATCTTGACCTGTGTCCTCCCTTGCTCTCTTCATGTAGCCACACCAGCCATTTCATGCTCCCTTCTACCACAGAGCCTTTGCACATCCTGCTTCGGCTGCATAGGGCACACTTCTTTCCCTTCTTTGTCCATCAGATCAAATTTCCCTAGTACACCCATTGCACACTCTCTTAGTCATGTACTTCTCATAAGAAGCAGCGACAACAGTAGTAGTTTTTATATTTATGTGATTAATTTTATCATTTCCCCTACTGGATTATAAACTTTATGAGAGCAGTGAATGATGCCTATTTTTATTCACTATTAAGCTACCCAGTACCCAGCAAAGGCTAGCCCATGAGAGGAAGTTAATAAACATTTATTGAATAAGTGAATTAATGAATTATCCATTAATGTTATGGTTTAGATATTGGGTTATTTTTATACAGTCTTTATTTTTTAGAGCAGTTGTAAGTTCATAGCAACTATGTATTTAGATTACGTTATTATGAATAAATGAGTTAGAGATAATTTCATGCAAGCGAAGATAACCTAGATACCAGAAAAAATGTTAATTCCTCTTGTTAATTAAGCTTTTATCTCCCTAAGCAAACTGGGGCAGTTAAGCTCATTATAAGCAAGCCAATGTATTTTGAGTGGGTTTTAGGAATAAATAAGGCAATAAAAGATAAGCTTTTGCTTCACATGAAATAGTCTTGGGGCAGAGCCTTTTTGGGGAGAAGGTGAGGGCCTTGTAAGAGAGTGTCAGACTTAAGGTGAGGCAAGGCTGAGTGCCACAGCTTCCTAATGCTGTTTTGCAACCCAACCTCTTCCACTTTCCTCAAAATGAAGATTTGGCAAGGATCCAGCACACTCAAGTCATCATCTGGGATGGTGTCTAGCACCACATTTATCACCAGCCACATTCATTTCAAGGGCAGGGATGCCTAAATGGGAGATAATTCTGTCTGTGGACTAAGGATGGAAGACCAGAGAAAAAGGCAGTTAGCACTTTCTGTTTATCTTACTCCAGAAATAGCCCACTTAAAAAAAATGCCCATCCTTGAGGATGCCCTATTGTGCCACACAGGTGGGTCAGGGAGGATTGAAACAGAGAATCCTTAAGGAGTTGCCTTAAAATCCACCAGGTGACTTAGGAGCCATCAGAATAGAAGTCAGCCCTTGTGGGGAGTACAGATTTGCAAGCAGCCATGGCTGGGAGATCCATGGTGGCCCCATTCAATCCTGCCTGAAATATTCATGTCACCGAATGGTATTTCCATCCATCTTAATTGAGAGGTAATGAAGTCAATCGTTAAGGTTATGAGGTTTTGATATGAGATAGACTTGAGTTTGCGTCTCAGCTCTGCCTCTTCTAGTGTGGCCTGTATAAAGGAAAGCAAGAGAAGCTAAATCCACAGAAAGAATCAAAGTATCTTCTGCAAGCACATGCCCTCCATCCAGGAGAACAGCCTGCGTGTTTTTAGGGAAGTGTGCTTGGGACACGTTGAGAATGTTGGAACTCCAGAGAAAAGCCCCAGTGCATGTGAATGAGATGTTAACAGATTCTTCCGCAGGTCAAAATGGACAGGTTATTGGAAAGATAAGAAGGTGAAGCAAGGTTAGTGATTTTGTGCGAAAAAAAGAGAAAAGTTGAGTAAGATGTGAAGCCACTCATTCATTTGCTCAACAAATATTTAATGCGCTACTATGTACAAAGCATTGGGAGAGATAATGGGGGTTTTGTTCACCTTCTCCCAATGAATAAGAACATCGAGTTAGGTCAGCATGCCAGCTGGACAAGATCAATGTGGTATCTGTCCTTCAATAAGTTACTTTAGAGCAGACAGAGTAACATGGGGCTGGAAGACAGTTTTGTCCATCGAATGAGAGAAGGAAGAGGTATGTGAGGAAGGCACCTCACAGATAGGTGACTGCCCCAGGGACTTGTGCTTACCTGAGTAGAAAGGGAGTCCATCCTTTCTGGGGCCAGGGAGGAGGGCTGAAGCTAGGCTTCACAGCCCACACTAGCTAGGCTGGGCTGGGGTGTCCTGCAAGAGTCTCCTACCTCCCTACTCCAGCAGGCTGCACAGAGCTGCTACATGAGAGTACACTTCACTCTGTGTGGTTCACAATTTGAGAAAGAGGGAGTCGGGAGGGTGGTCAAAGGCCCCCTCTCCAGGGAGGCCCCCTGACTGCCCAGTCCAGGTCAGGCTCTGCTGCTCTGAGCCTTCACAGAGCCATACTCCTCCCTTTCCAGTGCTTCCTCACTGTGTGATTGTACACGCACCCACTGGCTTGCCTGACCCATGTCTATCTCCCATGCTAGACCAGAAGTGCCATGAGTGAGGAAACACATCTGTGTCTGTTCACCTTTGTGCCTGCAGAGGTTGAGCCCACAGCAGGTACTGGGGCAGGCCTCTGGCCCAGAGTAATCTCAATAAACACTTGCTGAATGAGTGAGTGAAGGCATGAATGAATGTGTACTGTTGGGTTTAGGGCAAGGAGAGGCAGGGGCTGGCAGAGCAAGGGAAGATCCTTGCCTGGTGATTTGGACCCTGGAAAGAAGTGTGTGGCACTACGTGTGTGGTAACCTCTGTGTTGCATTTCCTGGTCCCCTCTGTGTTAGTGGGTCTGTGTGCATGAGGAGGTGTGCGTAGGCTGCAGTGGGTTTAAAGACTGGCGCAAACATAAAGCCATCAAAGTGTGAGGCACAAACCACATTTTGTGATTCATTTCTGAACCTCAGCAGGGTTTCTGGCACCTAGTGAGCACTCAGGTTGGTTTGGTGGGTAAAATAAAAGTGAGAGGGGAGGAAAAGTGGGATAGAAGAGAATTGGAAAAGGGAAGGGAGGGAGGAAATTTTACCCTGGGCAGGGGTGTTGTGGACTCCCATATGGTGCTAGTTTACATATTTCCATAATACGTAGTAATTTGTTGGATGGCAAATATAGATACTAGAACCTCATCCTGAATTTTTCACACATGCTACCCCTTCTGAGTGGCTCTGGCCAGGCCCTACAGAGGCCACAGGAAGAATGACCTATCCAAAGCTGCCCCTGGGTCTTCTCCAACCTGCCCCACACTCACCTGCAGATGGTGGGACGTGATAACCGGCCTGTTCCCTGGGCACCAGATGTCCTCCTTCAGGTGCCTCATGACCTGAAAACACTTCCTACGGCAGCCCCCATCTTCATCCAGCTGTTCCAGTAACACCTGCTCAGCACGGAGGAAGCTCAGCTGCCAGTGATAATTTGAACAGGCCAACAAGTTAAATCCAAACGACTGGAAGAAAGAGAAAAATATTGGGAAATAAGAAGAACAATGCTCACTGGTGTAGAAAGCCATTTCTGAAGCAGTCTGCTGGTCTGGGGAACTTGTCACCAGGCAGACAGCACATCCTACGTGGGGATGAGAAGGGGGTGCCAGGGAGACCACAAGCCACCTTGGATGTGGACAGTTAGAAGATGGTGCCCACTTCCTCTCCTACAGCAGTTCTCCAACTTGAGCATACATCAGAATCACATCACCCAGAGGGCTTCTTAAAACACAGATTGCTGGGCCCTGTTCACAGGGTCTCATTCAGCAGGTCCAGAGTGGGGGCTCGGGAAGCTGCATTTCTAACAAGTTCTCAGGTGACGCTGCTGCAGGGCCCACACTTTGAGAACTGCTGATCTAGTAACACCTCAACTTTCCTTCGGAAACTCATTGGCAGTCAGTAATGCTGTGACTGGTTAAGCTGTTGGCATCACTGCTCTGGCAAGCTGGGTCCCGCCCACTGATACCTTGATGCACTCCACTCTCTCTTGGGAAGGCCAGCGCTGCAGACATCGAGGCCACCGGGCTTTCTTGGACCAGGTGGTGGGGATCTCCACTGCGGGGACCAGCTCCAGTTCCACCTGATATGCAGATGTTTCCACAGCAACCCAAACTGCAGAGCGGTTTCCTAGCAGGCTGACCTTACCTGGTGGGAAATGACCAAATGGATAAGGAGAAGAGAAAGGTTTGCACATTACAAGCGTTCAAACAAGAAATTTGTGAGCAGTTGCTCTGACCAGCACCTTGCAACTGGTGTGGCAACTTTCACAATGTCTGTAGCACGTGAAGGATCACAATGCCTGTAGCACGTCAAGGTTTTGACATCAAAACCAGATGGTTAGTCAGCTAGCCAGCATCGGAACATTACTAAGAAGTCTCATTGCTGGTGAGTTTTTCTTTCTCCCCCAACCCCAAGGCATTTGGGGTACCTTTTCTTTTAAATTAATAGATTCTTTTCAGGAGGATCAACTGAAAGTAAAAGCCATAGAATAAAAAGAAAAAGTGTAGTATAGATGCTCCTTGACTTACGATGAGGTCACATCCTGATGAAGCTGAAAATATTCTAAGTTGAAAATGTATTAATACACCGAACCTACCAAACATCATAGCTTAGCCTACCCTACCTTAAAAGTGCTCAGAACACTTACATTAACTTACAGTTGGGCAAAATCATCTAACACAAAGCCTATTTTATAATAAAGTGTTGAATATCTCATGGAATTCATTGAATGGTTGTATGGGTACTCGAAGTATGGGTTCTACTAAACATGTATCACTTTCGCACCCTTGTAAAGTAAAAAAATCATATGTTGAGCCATGGCAAGTTGGGGAACTTCTGTATTTGCTACTGTAAAAATGAAACCTAACTATTTTTCTATATCCTTCTCCATTCCACCCAAATATCTAAATGTTGGTTTTCAGAGTAATGCAAACATAGGGAAGGCTAATGCCATTTTTTTTCCCTCTTCACCTAGATATTCTGACACTGGTTAGGGACAGCATCAGCCTCCTTATTTATGCATATGCCTTTGGTGAAATTTGGCTTCACCTTTCTTTTATCTGAGCCTCAGTCTCTTAGATGGTATTTGTTTTTACCATCCATTCAGCCAGCCGAGCCTCAGAGGTATCTATCATCAGAAACCCCTGTAACCACAAAATACATCAAAGCACGTCACAGCCACTGTTTCAGAGGATTGAGTGATTTGAAAGAAGTCTCCATTGCCTCGTTTTCCAACCAGGCAAAGAGAAGAAGAGAAAACTAACGCATCTAGTAGTTTTCCAGCTCACATACTATAATTTCCTCATTTCCAATTTGCTCCTTCTTCTTTCAAAAGGTACAGTTTTTGTTTGTTTGCCTTCATTGCAGATAAAGATAAGCAGTCTTGAATAGATCAGGATCTATTCATCCTTATTTGCTCATCCCAATTCTTGAAATAGATTGGAATCTATTATTTTGCATTTCCTTGCACAGAGAAGAAAATGGAAGCACATTAATTGTGTTAGGCTGTTCAAAAGGGAAACATTCCCTGGCCAGGGTGGGATAAAGGGCTTGTCTGCATCTCATCAGAGCTGCCCAGACAGGAACATGACAACTGGCACTTTAGCATTATTTACTAAAAGCGCCTCATAAACCTTGCCCATTCTGAATCTCTGCTTTGCACTTTCACCATGAATAATGTCGCACAGCATAAGAGGTGAGCCGATGCTGCAGCCAGCCTGCCGGCCCACACCCTGCCGGCCCACACCCTGCCCTGCAGCTGGCTCTGCTTATGAGGTGTGTGAACTTCAGAAGTGACTTAATCTCTCTAAGTCTCAGTTTCCTCATCTCTAAAACAGGTAGGAAAAGAATTCTTACTGTATTGTGTGGTTATGAGGATTAAATTAAATAACCCATGAAACTTATTCTACTTAGTAAAAAAATCTATTAAACATAAACTATTACCATTATGGAAATTTTCAGAACTATTCTGTCTAGACAAACAAATGTATGTATGAATACATCCTTTTATTTTCACACAGATGGAATCTCATATTGTTTAGCAGTTTGGTTTTTCACTTAACTATTTAGCACATGCATTTTTCATAGCTCTGTATGTATGCATGGGCATATGCCTGTTCTTTTTAAAGGCTGCATAGTAGTCCAGTAGGCAGAGATAGCATAATTTAATTTAGCCAATTTTCCTTTGTTAGCCATTTAGATTACTTCTAGCTATTTACTATTATAAAACCTATGGCAGAGAATATCCTGGTGCACAATTCTTTGTGTATTTGTAGAAATATATTTCTAGAACTGGAATTGTTGAATTGTCAAGTAAGCACATTATAAAAATAAAATATAGACAACTTGCCCTTTAAAAAGGAGACACCAATTTACACTTCTAATAACAACATGAGAATACCCATTTCACCATGCCCACTCGACACTAAGCATGATCAAACTTTTCATTTCTTTTAGCTTGCTAGGTATTTTAATGCACCCAACATTAGGTATATTCTAATATACGTTGAAATATACATTAGATGGAATGCCTTTTCTTATTTTTGCAAGCCATTTGTATTCTTTTTCTGTGATTCCTTTTTTTTTTTTGGTAATTATCTCTATTGGTCAGCTCATCTTTTTTCTTATTGATTTATAAATTAAGAAAATTAGCCATTTCTTTCCAGTTTGAAATTCACCTTTTCGCTTTGTGTGAACAAAAAGGGAGTGTGTGTGTGTGTGTATGTGTGTGTGTGTGTGTGTATGCATATGCTGTACAGTAGCTTAAGACTTTGGAGTTGTCAAACTTAGTCAGTTCTTTATGGCTCCTGGATTTTGTGCTTTGGTACAAGTTAGTGGTTTCCAAATGTGGAATCTCAGCACCCTGTGGTACTGCAGTCAGATGGAGGTGCTGCAGTAGAAATGTGCTAATAAAGAAGACCTGGGGTTTGTGAATAATTTGCTTTTTTAAAAAACAATACGCTTAAGTTTTTAAGCCTGGTTAAGGTGCATAATCCACAGCATTTTATATCTATGCCAGCACAGTAACTTTCTTAAAGCCACAAGACTATTTTGTTAGTATGAATTCCAATCTTCTGTGCATCAACAGCAGGAAAAAAAGCTGATTCATATTATGAAGATTAAATAAATGTGAAGAGCACATGATTATTTTCTCAAATGTAGGCTGTGAGCTGCAGGTAACACCCAAACAGAGGTTTTATAGAGTGAAAGGGGAATGCCAGCAATTACCCTTGCACTTGTTCCTGATCAGCTCACCTGAGAGGTGACAGGTTCTAACTGCATTTTCCACCAGCTTCCGGAACACTAGGAGGACCTTGGCAGGCACAATGTCTCCGTCGATGTTCACATCTGTCTCATGCCACTGCCACAGGCTCTTCATAAACTGTTCCACCTCCAGCCACTGCTGCAGACCCTCAGGGTCCCGCAACGGGCAGGGCAGCCTGGTGCCCTGCAGTGTGTAGTACCGCCAGTGCTGCTCCCTGGCCTCCCTGTACCCGGCCAGGCCTTTTATTGGGACTGTGACGAGGAACTGACTGGGAGCCAAAACCTAGGGTCAGGAAAGGATTGAAAACAAGCATGAATTCACAGATTCGGGAGGTAACGGAAGTCCTGGGAACCAACCTGTCTCGTCAGGCAGCTCTGTTAACCACTCCACCCTCAGCAGAGTGACCAGATACACGGAGACCTCGACCTGGGTGTTACAAGTGGATTACCTCTTTGTTCTGCTACTGAATCATTGTAAATACTTCGGGCAAGTAAATTAACCTGCTGAGTTTATTATCTCATGAATATACAAGTAAAGACAGTGAACTAAACCAGGAACTCCAGAGGAGACCTAAGGTTTGAGAAAGAAGAATGAGTATGCATTCAGTTCCATGCAGACGCAACACCGTAATTCTAATGCATTTGACCATTTCAACTTCACAGTCACACAGTAAGGTGAGCTTTCTTGCCATTTTCCAGATAAGGAATTCAAGATGCAGAGGGGCTTGGAGATCTCCTCAGGGACACACAACCAGTAAGTAGAAGAGTCAGAATTTGAATTTAGGTCTTTGGACAGCTTGTTCAGTTATTATTTCTCTACCCTGGGCTGGCACTCAGCCAACAATGAATGACATGGAATGGTGAATGTTTTGACACAAATTAAAGGTGGGAAGTAACAGGAGGGGACGTAACAGATTTTGTAAAATATCTCCTTTTTTTTTTGGCCTGTACTGATGACCTATGGTCAGTGTTCATGACTAACCCTTCCAAAATAAAGGCAAAATGAAAGCTTATTTGTTGAGACAATGTGAGCTGTTGAGATGATTCTAAGCTTAAAGAAAAAAGCAAACAATCAGAATTTACCTAGCCCCTTTCTCCAGGAACCAGTGAAGCAACGACTGGGGGAAAGCAGGCAGACCGGCAGCCGAGAGGTAGAACAAGTGGGTAAACAGAGCAGCCAAAGGAGCTTGAACTATGACCATGTCCCACTGCATGCACGCCTTCGGCTGTGAGTCAGCTGCCTCCTCCTCCTGGAAAGCTCTGACCATGGAATTTGGTTAACTCTTGCCCAGGGCCAGTCATTGACCCATTGAGTGGGGAAAGCCCTAATCAGCTCCAGCTGGTTCTGTCTAACTCTAAGAAAACAATAGTTTGATGTTTTAGATGATGTATCCACATGACTTCTGGTACCCATAGAAAGGCAGCTGGATTTAAAAAGAGGAAAAACATCTAAAGTCCCTGGAATTTCAGATCTGTACATTATTTCAATTCACTTTCATGTGAATTCAAAAGCACAACTATCATGTTATTAGTCATATAAGTGGTGCTTAGTAGATATTTGTTGAGCAGCTTGGGCAATATGATGAAATCCATCTCTACAAAAAATAAAAATAAAAAAATTAACCAGGCATGGTGGCATTTGCACTTGTAGTCCCAGCTGCTCAGGTGGCTGAGGTGGGAAAATCACTTAAGCCTGGGAGGTTGAGGCTGCAGTGAGCCATGATCGCAGCACTGCACTCCGGCCTGGGTGACAGAATGAGACCCTATCTTTAAAAAACAGGCAAAAAAGCAAAACAAACAAAAACTTGTTGATTTTGATCTAAGTTAAAAGCAATTTTATATGCTATGCTGTAGCTATTTTCAAAACTTAATATGTGAGACATGACATATATAAATGCAAGATATATTTTAAGCTATGAATTCTAAGTGGGACCACTGAAGGAAATTTCCTTGGGTATAGTGCTAAGAAAAGTAATGTAATATCTCTATTTCTAGTCACTGGTCTATGTGTGTCCAAGTTAGATTGGCTTGGGTGGTAGAGTTGGGCAAGTGATATTCTAGCATTCCAGGATTCAGTCTGGTTTTATAATTTTCACCCTGGGATTAATTTCCTACAATCTGAGTCTGTTTCAGAATCCACAAATCCCAGAATCTCTTAGGTGGTTCCTGCGTCCACCAACCTTGAGATGTAATGGGCCAGCAATGGTCTTTTGCTCAGGTACTAATTCTTTTACTCATTCATTTATTCATTCATTCCACATATGTTAAGTGTCTACCATGTGCCACATACCATGCTGGGTGCTAGGAACAAAACGAATAGTAAACTTGGTCCTTACAATCGAGGGATGTGCAGTCTGTTGTGAGAAATGGGCCATGAATACATACAAATTTAATACAAAGTGAAAGAGGTAGGTGGCATAATAAAAATCGAGATAAAGAATAATGGAGATTCAGAATGATTCAGGATCTCACTTCTCTTACCTCTAAAATGGAAATGAACAGATTGTCTTTTCCACAAGGTGGTTTACAGGTTTAAGTAAGGTCGTTTCTCTGTGTACAGCTCTGCCCTCACTACTGTGTTGCCTGAATGCTGGTGTTACCCATTGGCTTACACTGGGTGGGATTCTTTAGCAGGGAGAGGGGTTGCCAGTCTGCTCCTGCAGCTTCTCAGTGGCACCTCTTCTACTTTCTTCCTTCCCCATCTGCAACCCACAGACTGACTTTCAACTGTCTTCTTATGGATGCCCTCAGTTCCCTCCACCCCACCCCCAATCTATTAAGTAGGTGCTTAATAAATGAATGTGTATTTAACTGAGCTTTGATTGTGACAGCGGAATGTGCTTTGGAATCAAAAGCCTCTGTGTGAGTTCTGGCTTTAGTGCCTGATATGACTTGATCAAGTCATTTGACTTCTCTGAGCCTAGTTTTTCTCATCTAGGAATGTGGGGGCTCAAAGGAAATAACATCTATCTTTTTTTCTTTTTCTATAGAGACAGAATCTCACTACATTGCCCAGGCTGGTCTCAAACTCTTGGCCTCAAGCCATCCTCCCACCTTGGCCTCCCAAAGAGCTGGGATTATAGGCATAAGGCACCCTGCTGGCTGAAATGACATGTATAAAATGAGACTGTAAATAGTAAAAACTAAGAATACCTATGAAAACAAGAATTGTTATGAGTATTCTGAGTGAGGCAAGCATCTGTCACACACTGAGATTCACCTGCCCAAGTGTCCTGGCTCTGTTGGTGGCACTTAGAGACAGCAAGACTTGCTTACCTTAATATTTTCATTGTACGTGTCAGAGTAAGGCACAGCTTGAAATCTAATGTCTTGGTTGCTGATGTTTGTGGTCAAATGATGAACGACTTTCTGCACCTCCTCCACAGCCTGGGAAATCTGCTGGCGCCTCAAGTCCACCTGGGTGTGAGAGGGACCAGCAATGGTGGTTATTTCCTCTGTGGGCCCCAAGATACCAGCATAAGAGAGTGAGGAGACAAGGGTACAGCAAGGGGTGACTGAGGGAGTTCAGCTCAAAAATCCTGCCTTCCCAAGATGCCGGGGAGATGAATTTAGGTCTGACTCCATTGAGAAGACACTTGGTGGTGCCTCAATGTTCTTTTCTGTAACAGATGCATTCATTTGATATTTATCTAGGACCTACTATGTAGCAGGTGCCAGGCTGGGTGCTGGGGACACAACAGTGATTAAGACAACAGTGAACAATGTAGA
Source organism: Homo sapiens (assembly GCF_000001405.40). Taxonomy (NCBI): domain Eukaryota; kingdom Metazoa; phylum Chordata; class Mammalia; order Primates; family Hominidae; genus Homo; species Homo sapiens. Next base: position 116,120,619 of record NC_000001.11, on the reverse strand, counting down.
TACTTGCCCTCTAGCTGAAAATATAGGAATAAATGTAGATATAATACATACTATATTATATATAATTGTAATGTATAATATCAATATTATAATATATAGTGTCATATCTGATATTATACACACAGACACACATATAAATGTGTATATATATGTATTCCTGTATATATATATGTGTGTGTGTGTGTGTTTGTGTGTGTGTGTGTGTGTGTGTGTGTGTATAATGTAATATCAAGTATGATAAGTCCCATGAAGAAAAATAAAATATGATAAGGGACTAGAGAATAAAGGGGCAGCTATTTTAGTTAGGGTGGGCAATGGACAAAGAAGACTTCTCTAAAGAGGTGACATTTGAGTGAGGCTGAAGACAGCTTAGGAGAGCAGATTCCATGTTCCTCCTCTGACGTAGGCAATGCTCTAAGGCTAGCAGTGAGGCCATTGTGGTTGGATCTGGCAAAAGGAAAGTGATAGGAGGTGAGTTTGGAAAGGAAAGCAGGGACCAGATCATCACACAGGGTTTTGTGAACCATGGTGAGACTCTACCATGGTATTGTCACGCCTGCTGCCCATGGTGTGAATATTAAACCACTTAACTTGTATCAGCACCCAGCAGCCTGCTTCCCACTGATGTCATCAGTAAATGATGGTTCTCTTTGCCTCCGTACTCACCCCTGCCTTTTGCTTCTAGACCCTTAAGAAAAGGCATGTTTCTGCTGACAGAAAGTTACCACAGTGAGTTATGAAGAATTGGGAAATTCTCATAGAAAACTCAACACTAATCAGATACTTAAAGTTTAGGGAAATAGATGTTTGTGGGAAACACAAAGGAACTTTTAGTAAACTCCAGAAGAGACACAGAAAAATCCAAATAAGATACGGAAGGGTCTGCAAGTTTTTTCTGAAATGGAGGGGGCACTTTGTCATCTTGCTCAGGAGGCACCTACAAGCTGCTGTCATGACAGCAAGACTCTCCTTCAGAGGCTCCTTCAGCCAGGGGCCAGTTTCAAGCAATATCTGATACATCTCAATCTAATGCCCATCTATGAATCTTTATACTCTCTCTGAATTTGGTATAATGGCTGTTTCTACATATTCTAGAGTCATTTTGAGACACCCATAAACTGATCACGACAGCCAGAAAAAAAAAGTCCAAGTCAAAGAGATTCCTGTTTTCCTAAACTAAGTCATCAACTAGGCCAGTCACCTGAGACCTCACTCATACTTCTCATCAACCAGCAAGCCAACTTCATATGTTCATAGTATAAGAATGTGACTGTGCACCTATTGTTAGACACGTTGTATATCACATATAGGGTCAGTTCATCAGTAAGTATTTGTTTAGCATGTCCTCTGTGGTGGGCACTGTTACATGCTGGAACACAGCAATGCACAAGATAGACCCGGCCATGCATTCACAGTAGTGAGGAAGACAAATGTAAGCACAGAATACAATTGTGGGATGCTATTATGGGAAAAATAACAAATGACAAAAATAAAGGTTTTAGAAGCCAAAACTTAAGGGTCCTCTCCAGCATAGGACTTCCCATCTGTGTTGTGATTCAATTCCATTTGAGTAATTTGAGTGGAACATCCATTTTATGCTGTGCTTTGTGCATACATGTTGCCACGAGGTTTATAGATAACTTGACAAAGCAAGACAGATGACCTGGAAATTAAAATCACTGCAATCTAGTGCAAGGTAGAGGTTTGCACAGATGCTATGGATACATAGAAAACGGATACTTCATCCAGTTTGGAGGTTGGGAGGCCTTTCTGGAGGCACAGTGTGTTGGAGTTGTATCTTGAAAGCTTACTAGGCGTTAGCTAGGAAAAAGGGGGCATGAAAGTTGTTCTAGAATGAGAAAATAGCAGGTATTGAGCCAGGCCTGAGGCGCACAAAGAGAGAATTTGTGCTCCTCATGCCTGTGCAATTGTTCCTGTGATATTTTTAGAACACAATTGCCCTAGAAGAGGTGGTGAAGTGGGAGAATAAACCGTGAGAGGTCCTGAAAGTAAAGGAAGAATTTCAAGAACAAAGTCAACAGTAAGTGCTTGAGTGAGTTAAGGCCCCCAAATGTCCATGGAGTCTGACAGCTAGAATAGGATTGCTGCATTGGGGGAACACTGGGCACTAGCATTAATGGTGGGGAAGAGGTGCACATTAAATGTGGATTAAGGGTGAATGGAAGAAAACCAAGTGAAGACAGAGGTAAGCAACTCCTCCAAGAATTTTTTTTTTTTTTTGATGGATTCTCGCTCTGTCGCCAGGCTGGAGTGCAGTGGTGTGACCTTGGCTCACTGCAAACTCTGCCTCCTCGGTTCAAGTGATTGTCCTGCCTCAGCCTCCCGAGTAGCTGGGACTACAGGCACGTGCCACCACACCTGGCTAATTTTTGTATTTTTAGTAGAGACGGGGTTTCACCATGTTAGCTAGGATGGTGTCAATCTCCTGACCTCTTGCTGTGCCCACCTTGGCCTCCCAAAGTGCTGGGATTACAGGTGTGAGCCACCGTGCCTGGCCCCAAGAACTTTTACCATGGGGAAAACCAAAACAACAGGGATGCGAACAGTTTTTTTTTTCCTTGCAAAATGACACACAGGTGTAAACATGTTTAAATGCTGAGAGAAAAGAGTCAGTGGTGAAAGAAGAGGTAGCAGAGAGCAAAACCAGTTTGTAAGGATTTCCCACCCAAAAGGAGTCATGCACATCCAGAGGCCTGAGTGAGGAATTCATCTTGGTGTGGCAGAAAGAAAGAAGGGGAAAAGGGTGCATGCAGATACAGATAAAAGGGTAGGGGGCAGTGAAAATCAGAGAGATTTCCAGTCTGACGTCTATGTTCTTTATAGAGTGGGAGATGTTAATGAGCTAAGAGTGAAGTGGAAGGCAAGAGATTTCAGGCGATAGACTGCTGAGATAGCTGCTATAAGGAATGAGAGACTGTTTAGGTGCATGAGTAAAGATAACCAGACAGTGTCAAGACTTGGCTGAGGCTGAGTCCCTGAGGCTGTGGGATATCAGTAAGTTCAGTTAGTGAGATCTGCTCCACCACCTCTTAGCCCTCCAAAGGTAAGAGTTGAGGTGCTAAGATTGGAGTTTGCTGGGCAAGAGATGGATAAAGATAAAAAAGCAACAGAGGGTTTCAGCAGTGGGCTATATCTTCCAGCCGGAATAAAGAACGGATAAAGCTAGTGGTAGAATAGGGAACATTAGGCCACTTCAGGGACCTGAAGTCTGAGCAGGTACAGTGGAGAAAAGTAATAAAAGTGTTAATTAGATAGAACATTGCAGGCAGAGTGGTTGAGAAATAGTATTCTCTAATAGTTAAGTTCTCAGAACGTGTTGAAGGCCAAGACTAGCCTCCTGAATCTGCCAGCCCCACGGATGTAATTCCATAGAACTTGAATGTTAGTAACATAGCAGTGACTATACATATATATATATATATATATATATATATATGTATGTATATTTTGATTCCTGAGTTAATAAACTAATGAAAAATTCATCACCATCAAATCATTTTTAAATAGAAGCTTAAGAGTGTGTGTGCATGTGTGTATGTATGTACATGTGTGTATGTATGCACATAACACACGTGAAGAGTAGCCTATTGGAAAAAGTACTTCATTGTAAATCTATTCTACAAATTGTGCCCTCATTTGATGGTGAAATTCTTACCGAGCAGGACAAGATCACGCACTCCTGGAAAACAACTATAATCTCTCACTTGTTACACAGGTTATTAGTTCACCCTTATGACCTGTTTTGATTACCAAAGGTGAAAGTCAGAATAAGATAATGCTTTTTGAGACCTAGAACCACAAATTCCAGTTTTAATTTTCTTCCTCCATCACTTCTGCTGCAACTTAGATTCAGGATCTTAGAAATGGAAGAGACCTCAGAAATTGCCTCGTCTGGTGTGACTTTATGGAGGACCAGAGTGACAAGGCAGCTTTCCTAACATCACACCGGCAGTTAGATGTAGAATTAGACAGGCTCTCCAACACTTCTTTCCATCACACTTTGCCACACCCTTAAGTACTGATGTACCAGAAGTACGGCCTACCCTTTATCCTCTTCCTGAACCTAAAAATGCCTTCAATTTAAAGTCAAGACTCATGAAATAAGGAGTCCTAGGTCTCCATGTATTTAGGCATCAGCAACTGTTCTGGCATCTAACAAGCACAAAGGGTCATGCAGCAAGGGCCAGACAGTGATGCTCCTGCTGTGGGACCTGAGCAGAAGCCTCTTTCTCTAGGTGGCGGGCAGCCTTGTCCCTCCCCACATCTCTGGCTACACTTCCTGCAATAAGTTCTTACCCACACAGCATCACCGTGCTATTTGGTAGCCCCAGAAGTGATTTGTGCTGGGGGTTTCCAGGCTTAGTGCCAGACACCTCTTGTCACCCTCATGGTGTGACAACACAGAACCCCCAGACTGTTTCTCTCCACTTATTCTGGCCACACCCTAGACAGATACAGCAAGAAGTTCATTTCAGGGTGTGGAAAAGCAGGCAGTGGGGTTGGGGCAGCTGTACAGTGATCTAAAGAAGGAGGCTCTAACACAAGTAGACACCCATTGCAAGCCCAACCCTGGAAATCCTTTACTGCCTCTCAAACTTTAGGAAGCCAGCAAGATACCAGTTGCAGCTTCAAGGCAGCCTTGAGGCAACCTTGTCACCAAACTTAGTTCATGGCAAAACATGGAAACAAATGTTGTTTGGGCCTTGCTCTTCCCAGGCATGTCTCCATGCTGTCAAGGTCCTTGTCCCATCTTGGGCTGCTTTCCCCTCCTCCTCCTTAACCACAGCATCAGGTTCATTGTTGCCCCACAAGTCATTTGCTGCTATTAATAGCTCAAGTTCATGAATAATTTACTGCTTCAAATATAAATTATGGGGATTTAAGGTTATCCCCTATAATAATATCACTCTGACTCACTTGCATTCCGATACGCTTCCTTGCAATGGAGACAGAGTGGTGGTGCTAAGTAGCATGCCAGGAATGTCACACAGGCCTGATCACACCCATGACCATGCAGACTATGTGTATGTCATTCCCAATGAGTGTTACTGAGAAGAAAAGGCTGAGGACTTCCTTCCAGAAAACAAGAAGTCAGACCTTTAATTCCAGAATTGCATGAAATCCAATCATCAGTTAGAAAAATTTCAACAAAACAAAAACTGGCATCATCTCTGTCTTTCAGGGGCTAATAATGTAAAGAAATGGAAAGTTAAATCCAGTGATAGATACGCACGAGACCATAGGCTTTCCACCATCATATCCCTTCCTTTGTAGACTAATTCTTCCATGAATCAAATGCTTGGGTCACGCAGAATATTTGCAGCCCCCAAATGTAGCAGAAGCTGTAGCAGCAGCATTACCGTGAAACTAAGATTATTTAGTCCTTCCTGTGTGCAAGGCATTTTATAAGAGTAGGCTCATTCCTGCCTACCCATCATTCTTTAAGGTGGATGCTATGATTATCCCCATTTTATAGATGAGGAAACCAAAGTTCAGAATATTTAAGTAATTTGCCCAGGTTCCCAAAGTTAGTAAGTTACAGAACACAGGTAGCAGCCTTCCAAAGCCCATATTTGTAACCACTGCCCTGTTCTGCTCCCCAAAAGAAAAAGGTGACTGGGAATGAAATACACCTTGAATGTTTGAACGGGGTTCCCTTAGCCTGGAAGACCTTTCCTATACTTCTCCACTTATTAAAACCCTACACTTCCTCCAAGGCTTTGTCTCTACTCTTCTTTCTGTAAGACACCTTTCCCATCACAACTAATGCACCGTGCTCCTCCAGCAATCTGTTGAAATCTCTACTGCATCCCTTACGGTCTACCATGCATTCTATTAAGCACTTGCCTGACTGCATGTGAAATTCCCTCCTTCTTCCTTTGGGGTTATGTACAAAATCTGCAGATGGGACAGGGCTATCCTAGAGACCAAAACCAAAATTTCTCTTTCATTTAGCAGGCCACATCTCAGGCCTTGGTCTACCCTCAAACCGTAGCACAGTATTTTGCACAAAGCAGGTGCTTAGTATGTGTTTGCAGAGATATAGAGGAGTTTGGCAGAGGACGTTCGGCCTTTGGAGTAAAGAAGACAAGGCTGAAACTTCAGTACCCTCTCAATTTAGCTGTGTAACTTTGGACAAGTTATTTAATCTCCACAAGCCTCTGTTTCCTCCTCTAAAAATGGAGGCAATATGTACATCACATAGTTGTTGATTAGGTTAAATGAGATCCTGTATGCACCTTGACCTGTCGCCTTCCACACCACTCTTGCCTTTAACGAACTCTAAAGATATTTCTGATCATATATGTGCAAGATACTCTGAATGTCAAAGGAAAGAAAGGTATGCAAGACACTGTTCTTCCCTCCAGAAACTTATAAAGAATGAAATGATATGACATGTAAGTTGCCAACCAAGATGATAATAGAAAAGTGTCAGGAGTTAATATACAAACTCATGATCAAATAAATGGTGCCAGTAATACTAATTATAACGGGAGTGAATATGTGGGCAAAATCATTTTGTGCTGGGGTGTCAGGGACTCTTTCTTGAGAAAGTGGACTCTGAGTTTGAAGGATGAATATGAGCCAGAAAAGTGGCGAGGAGGAGCTGGGGCCCTTGGCCTGCTCAGGGCCCAGTTCTTGTTGGGCAGAAATGGGAGACTCAACCACCTACAGGAATGGAGTAGGGGACACACGTGAGAGAGGCAGCGGGGACCAGGAGCAAGTGTCAGACACAGGATCAGCCTCCTGAGAATTGGCCAGCACGTGCTCTGGCTAGCAAACACTCAGCCCCAGCACACAGTTTCCAGGCAAGAAACTGGGACCTGTAGTTGCGAAATATTCTGATTTTTTTCCCCTGGAAAGACAGAAATCTGGATTTCTATGCAAAATCTATTTTGAAATGTTTGTGAAAAACATTAGAAATAATCTACAGGCCAAACAAAACATGAGCACACACTGGATTCAACGTGTCGAACACTGTTTAGGATTTCTGCTATTGGAAATGCAGGGGGAGCGGAGGGTAGAAAGATAGAGCAGTTGAAGTTACTTGAACACCACACTAAAAAGTTTGGAGTTTTTTCTTACAAAAAATACAGGACCCACGAAAAAAATGCCAGCCAATATCTCTTCCACTTAGAGCCCTCAAAGGGAGGAATTAATGGGAAATCACTTTGTTTACTCTAGTTTTTATCATCCCAGGTTTTCCTTATTTATCTCTCTTAATGGTTTTGCCTAAGAAATACATTTTACTTATCACTATGATAATGATCTTCTCTTTCGAACTTGTAAAGGCATGAAAACTGCAGACCAGTGCCTACTTCTTAGTCAATTTAAATATTTTGGTTTTAACATTAACATCATGCCTTAGTAGCTTCATCCGTAAATGAAAAGGCTTAAACTAGGTAATATTTAAGTTTCCTTCAAGTTCTAACATTTGACATGACCATCTAGACCATCTAGAAGAAATTAAGTTCTTAACTGATGTGTACTAAAAATATAATAATATTTAAAAACCTAGTACTTTCACAGTCTTTAAAAAGCTTTGTTTTAATTTCATTAGCTCTTTTTCCATTACCCCATGAAGCTCCTATTATTATTCCCATTTTACAGAGAAGAAGGCCAAGGCTCAGGCAGGTTAAGTGACTCACAACCACACGAGTGTCAGTGGCAGAGCTGGAGTTCCCCCTCATTCCCCAGATTCCTACTCTCCATTCTATATTCTATACTCAGCATGTCTCTGGGTACCAGACCCTCAAAGAGAAGTAAGGCTGATATATGTTAAGCCCCCAAACATTGTTATAGGTGACAGTCTGTTTTCTGAGGAGCATTTTATGTGTCTTTAGAAAGAGCCTGAGATCCTTTCTGGACGAAGGTTTGTTTGGAAGTAGTGTGAATGGGGAGGGGGTTCATGGGAGAGACCGGGTCTGTCCTTACCTTATTCAGTAGGCAATCTTCTAAGTCTCCCACAGTAAGGTATTTCATGGCTTCTTGGTCAGTCCTCAGTAGAACAGCAACTTCCTGGTTTTTTTTTTTTTCTCAATGGAGTGCAACACTTGTGAGTAGATAGCACTCCCAGTAATGTGAGTCTCTGGGTACTAAGTTTTTCTGGAAGTGTGTAATGGACCAGAGACTTGCCTTCCGAACCCTTCACTCATGTTTTTATTTCCAAATTGTGAAAATCCATCTGTCATCTTTTGGGAAATTAAAAAAAAAAGAATTTAAAAAGAAGAGTTGATAAAATTGAATTTGAGTCCAACCTAATCATACCTTAGTTAGCTACATTGACTGGTGCTTTCACCAGAGAGCAATTTTCCAAATTGTATTTCCCACCCAAGTACTTAAAAGTTCCATCCAAGTCAGAAATACCCTGTAGTTGGCTTCTCCCCACCTTTTATGCTCCTGTCCCAACACTAGATGCACCGTGGAACTCAGTATCTTATATCTCCTGGTCCTTATCCTGTTGACAGTAAACACCCCTTGCTCTCCAAGCCAGAAAATCCCACGGATTGATTTACCTTCTTTACAATAAACAAATAGGAAACTGCCCAACAACCAGCCTGACACCCATCATTATGCCCGCAAACAAGTGATCAGGTCTTGTCAGCCAGCGCAGAGCACAACGGTTGGCATTTAGAAAAGCATGCACACACGTACACACAGGCACACACATATACACAGGCACACACGTACACACAGGCACACACATATACACAGGCACACACACGTACACAGAGTGCACACGGGCACACACCCACAGGAATGGCTGGTCAGGAATCCTTCTGCTCACCTGCTGACCTTTAAACGTAATTTCCCTCTTCCAACTTGAAAGCTGGCAGTAAAAATAAAGTCAGTGTAAACAGGTCCCTTTAGAGTCGAGGGAACACTCACGTCTGGTTTTGCCAGCAAAACTTATGTTGGAAAACAGCTCAGGCAGTAAATTCCCAGTTGGGCTGGCTGGGGCTAGTTTTACTACAGAAAAAAAAAAAAAATTTCACAATGGTCTGATCTCCTTGAAGCTGGTAAACATCACGGAGTCTGCTATCAGATAATCTAAAGAAATTACAGCCCTTCTGGGAGCACTACTTACTTTTAAACAATGTTCCAAAGGCAAGTGTTTCCAAGCCCACCTGTAAGTGCTGCCCACAAAGGCCACTGCACTATTTGGGGCCTCAGCGTTTGCATATCTTCCCATACTCTGCCCCAAGCAAAAGCCGCATCAGAGCTCCCTAGCTGCTCTGTGCCCCACCCACGTCATTACCTCCAGCTTTCAGTCCAACTTCTACAGAACTCCTGCCAATGCACAGCCTGATATAAATATTGTAAAGCTACATCCTCTCCAATGACCCTCTGATAGCACCCCTCAAAACAGCCTTGATTTTCCATTTGTTTCTATATGTAATTCTAAATCTCCTTCTTTTGATATCAAGTGCTCCCAAATTTTTCAGAATCTTATTCCCTGGGCTTTTCTTATCATAGTAGTGCCAAACTATTTGTTTTTCACAGACAGCAAGAGCCTCTTTCTCTGAACTTGCAATTTAGAATTCTCTCTCCACCTCATTTTCAACATTACGAAAGTCCCACTGTTTCTCTCATGTGCTCATTTTTGTTGTTACTTCTGCTTTCACTGTAATCATTAACTTGTGAGTCCCTTTCCTCCGGTGGGGTCTTTCCTAATGTTCGAGGGTTACCCCAGACACCTGTCATCAGATGCACAAACTTTCATTATTTTTGCACCTGTGGCTGCCCTATCTTGATTGCTCCAGTACCGCAGCTGATCAAAATGTTATAACTGGAATATTCTCTTGCCCTACGATCCAGCGACAATTGCCGGCTGTGAGCAGGGAAAGCAACCAACAGGGCCAACTGAGCAATCAGGAAACGAAGAAATAATCATGTGCTCAGGGAAGCTACACAGTCCGATTTTACCAGGATGTCATATCCAGGGAATAGGTGTGTTGTGGGGGCACAACCCAATTCCCTACTCCATGATTTAGCTCCTTATGGGCAAATGCTCTGAAATACAGGGCAGTCCCACAAATAGACTCTCTGACAGCTCCTGTCTGACAGTTTGATGAAGACAAGCTTTTTTTAGATGTAGATATCTGGGTAATTGGATATAGGATTCGCAAAAGGATTGAATTACAGTAAGCCTAAGGCACTTGTATGCTAGGCCACTGAGGAAATTCAAAGTTAGCTCAGGTTCTCTTCCTTCCTCAGAAAATAAATATTCTCCTTTCTCATGACTCACACCAAATGCAAGTACGGAAATGTAAACCTGCTTTGGCTCAGTTTCCATTGTGAAGACTAAGAACTTATTACAAGTCAGGTTAACAAGGCATGCAAAACCCTACGCTGCCAATCTGAGAAGTCCCGGGGAGATAATGCTAGCCCTGGTTTACCAGCAGAAGTGTTTGTTACTGATTTACTTAGTGTCTGAGATTTTAATTCCAAGAAGGAGGAAGGTTAGCTTGATCAAAATCAACCTTAAATATACAAATTTGTTAAAGTTTGCAGGATTACAAACTCTGACTTTTTTTTTTTTTTTGAGACGGAGTCTCGCTCTGTCGCCCAGGCTGGAGTGCAGTGGCGCAATCTCGGCTCACTGCAAGCTCCGCCTCCCAGGTTCATGCCATTCTCCTGCCTCAGCCTCGCCAGTAGCTAGGACTACAGGCGCCCGCCACCACGCCTTGCCAATTTTTTTGTATTTTCAGTAGAGACGGGATTTCACCATATTAGCCAGGAACAAACTCTGACTTTTTAAAAGATTTCCTGTAATCCCAAGATGACTCAGACTGAATCTGACAATGCAGAATACCAGGCAGAGATAATCGTCTGTGATGTGCTGAAGTCCACAGTAGTGAACAACCCGAGGCAGGGGCCAGTCTGTTCTGTATCTCCAGAGAAGCCTCAGTACCTAACGCACAACTGGCCCTCAATAAACATTACTGAATGCTTATTTGTTTGCATTAAACATTATGCAAAATGACATTATTTATTAGAATGTCACATTATAAAGTGACATTCTAGTAAATAAAATATATTTTAAGATGTGTAAAATCACCTTACAAATTATAAATTTAATTATATACATGCATCTGTGACTGCTTAAATTGCTATCTTCTTTTATAGAAAGGCCTGATATAAAAAAAAATTTAGCATAGTACTTGGCACATGATAAGACCTCAATAAATATTTGTGTTTATACTCCATTTCACTCCCTGAGGAAAAAGATCTATTTTTTAAGGCTTGTTTGGTTTTTTGTTTTTAAATTTTTATTTCAATAGCTTTTTACGTACAAGTGGTTTCTGGTTATGTGGATGAATTGTATAGTACTAAAGTCTGAGATTTTGGTGCATTCATCACCCACATAGTGTACATTGTACCCAATATGTAGTTTTTTATTCCTTAGTCCCCTCCCACGTCCCCCTTCTGAGTCTCCAAAGTCCATTATACCACTTTGTATGCCTTTGCATACCCATAGCTTAGCTCCCAGCTATAAGTGAGAAGATAAGGTATTTGGTTTTTCCATTCCTGAGTAACTTCACTTAAAATAGTGGCCTCCAGCTCCATCTAAATTGCTGCAAAAGACATAATTTTATTATTTTTATGGCTGAGTAGTATTCCATGGTGTATATGTACCACATTTTCTTCATCCACTCATTGATCGATGGACAATTAGGTTGGTTCCATATGAAAGATCCTTCTTTTAATGTATGTGAGTAATTCTCCTGGTCTTACCTGGTGGGTAGGATTGTTCACTGGGTTGGTCTTCACAGTTCCATCAAAAAGCTGGTCTTCTTTCCTTTCACACCTGACATGGTAACTGAGATAGTTTGAATTTGATCTTTGGTCTGGGTTCAGAGGTAGGGAATCCCAAACACAAATGCCTACATAGGCCAGGTGGTTAATAAAATAAATCAGGATAGAGTAGAACAATGGAAAGCGATAGGGGTCTGCGGTGGATGCAAGAGTATATATCCTATCTGGGATATTCTAACTTGTTTGGGTTATTTGTTTATTTAATTTATCTTTTTTAAGCAACACTGTACTACACACAAGATTCACCCCTGCACTCTGCACTCCTGCAATACTAAAATAGTTACAGTTCCCTGCAAGACCCCCTCCCTCACCATCTTCTCTGGACCCTTGCACCGACAATGCTCACTGCTTGGACTCTCCCCTTACCTTCCACCCCTTCACTGGGCTTCTATTTGTTCTCCAAGATTTGTCTTAGCTGCTACCTGCTCCAGGGCCTTCTCTGATTCTCAAGACTGGGTGGGGGACTCTACACGATGCTTCTAGGCCACCCAGTGCTAAACTCCTACTTTAGCTCTTATCATACTGCATTTTGTTACTTTGCTTGTATCTAGCTCCTGTGGTACCAAAAGCTCCTTAAAGGAAAAGATTTACCTTGTTGGAAACAGTATTTGACATATAGTAGCTGCTTAATAAATGAATGAATGCATGCATGAATTAATGACTAAATGACGGTGGCCCCTTTTCTTATTCTACAATGTAATCCCATTCTATCTCCCATCTGCAGGCATAAGATAAAGTGAGAAAAGTAAAGTTAAATAATGAGTAAGCTCCCATTAGTTCATTTAGGAACACAACAAAAGTAGAAAAGGAATAAGGAAATTTTCCTTGGAAAGGCTGATTTCAACTCAGAAAGTGCAAAACAACAGGATAAGATGTTGTGTACTTGAAGGAAGCCACTATTCACAGCCGAAAGGTGTCAGGAATGTTGAAAAACTGCCCAATAATTAGAACATGCCGTGTAGAACTTAGAAGCCAAAAACCCATGTCTTTGAAAAAGTCATGGCTCCATCTGGCCATTTCAATTAAAAGTACATTATTTCTTAGCTGCAATTATTATCACAATACATATAGAAAGGACTAGTTCCCCAATATTAGACTGAAGGAAGAAAATAAAAGTTTATTTAACACCAACAACTCTACCACTGTAGAGCCTGTGGTCAACAAGAAAGAATGAGAAATAACCAGTGCTGTCAACGCCAGCTCTCTATGCAGCAAAGATGACCTGTTCTAGTTAAAAAATCGTACATCATAGAAGATCCTGGTTTGGGCCGGGTGCAGTGGCTCATGCCTTAATCCCAGCACTTTGGGAGGCCAAGGTGGGTTGATCACGAGGTCAGGAGTTTGAGGCCAGCCTGACCAACATGATGAAACCCCATTTCTAATAAAAATACAAAAATTAGCTGGGCATGGTGGTGGGTGCCTGTAATCCCAGCTACTCAGGAGGCTGAGGCAGGAGAATCGCTTGAACCCGGGAGGTGGAGGTTGCAGTGAGCTGAGATTGTGCCACTGCACTCCAGCCTGGGTGACAGAGCGACACCCTGTCTAAAAAAAAAAAAAGAAAAAAAATCTCGGTTTGTCGGTTTGGGCTGGGGGGAGACTATATCTGTTTCCATCTCTCTGCATGTCCACCTATCTATATTTTTACGCACTAGAATGTCGTTCTGGATCTTCCTCATTCAAATGGTGCAAGCTGGAGGGCAACCTGGAAACTTATTTTTAACAGAGACCAGTTGTCAAAATAATGAAGCTTCTGCTATGGCTTGGATGACACTTTATTTTCAAATCAAATAGTAAAAGGTGTTTCCATTTTCACATTTTCCTTCCTGGTTTAAAAAAAAAAAAGAGTTGTATTTTTATCTGAAACTTTTCCTTAAGTCTATGTGAAACTCCTTTTCCTCTGCCCTGAGCTGTGTGAGGCTGGCATATTTTTCAGTTGACACCACCAGAAAAACACTGACAGTGAGAAAGGCATTTAAGAAAGAAGACAAAGCCGAGTACAGTGGTTCATGCCTGTAATCCCGGCACTTCGGGAGGCCAAGGCAGGCAGATCATCTGAGATCAGGAGTTCAACACCAGCCTGGCCAACATGGTGAAATCCCGTCTCTACTGAAAACACAAAATTAGCTGGGCATGGTTGGGGGCACCTGTAATCCCAGCTGCTCGGGAGGCTGAGGCAGGCAGAATTGCTTGAACCCAGGAGGCAGAGGTTACAATGAGCCGAGATGGTGCAACTGCATTCCAGCCTGGGTAACAGAGTGAGATTCCTTCTCAAAGAAAAAAAAAAAAAAGCAGACATTTGGTTTTATTAATGTGTTATGCCATGGATCTAAGTGGTAACTTTATTGAGCTGTTCACCTCAGTTTCTGTGTTGTCTGAGTCAGGAGGTGGCAGGGACTAGCTGGTTGGAGGAAGTAATTGTTGCCCATTCTTGGGCACATATGGGACCGTTTTCTCCTCCTGGCCTCTATTGCTCATGACACATGACAAATATGTCTGTGTTTTAATTTAAAAAGACCCATAGCAAAGATATAGACCCAGAGATCAATGAAACAAAAGAGGAAGTACAATAATAGACTCATACAAATACAGCCATTTGATCTTTGACAACGTGTAAACACAGTTCAGTGGAGGCAACTTATCCTTTCCAGCTGGTGGTGTTGGAACAATTGGTCATCCACAGGAAAAGAAATAAACCTTAATATAGAGTTCACACCTCAGAATTATATGAAGTTAATAAAGATTAACTCAAAATAGCCCATAGATCTAAATGAATAACATAAAACTATAAAAGGTTTTAGAGGAAAAACCTTTATACAGAGAGGAACACAAAGAAATCAATAATTGTTATCTTTGGATGGTGGAATAATTATGGCTATGTGTGTGTGAATTTGTTTCGATACATGTTCTACAATGAGCATATGCTATTTACAACCAGAAAAAGGTATAAATGCTACAAATGCCATTAAAAATAAAATAAAATGAACTCGTTTCTTGATGCTTTTTATTTGCTTTTCAGTTTTGTCAACATTCGTCTGCATAATTAGAAAACAGACCCAGTCTCAATGCATTGATGTCTGAAAGCAGAAAAGTGTTATTAGCATGATTGTAAAGCATGTATTTCTGTGTTGGCTTTCTTTATTAGGATGTATCATGCTGAGGAAGAAAATATATAAATAAAAAAGAAAAATATATGTAGGTCAGAGGCAGTAATAGAACACTCATAAATCATTTTACATTACACATCTATCTTTTCAAGGTAGCTACACAATTTCAAGGGCAAGCATTTAACAGAAATATTTGAAAGTACATTGGAAAATGTTTATAGAATCTTCAGACTAGACACCAAATTCATTTCAATCCTGCTTGGTACAAGTCCTGTGGTGGGTGCCGAAAATGCAATGATACTATTGATTCCGTAGGTTCCTACTTTAGGTAAAATTAGAGAGTCAAGGCCAAAGCATAAAGATTGGGTGTCCTCAGCCTTGTAATGATGGGTCGAGTCCCAACTGGCCCAAGCCATAATTGCTTCAGGGAGGCATGGGCGGGAAGGCTGAGTGCACACTGGGGAGGTGACTGCCCAGAGAGGTGGGTGGGAGGGGTGTCCTAAGCCAGAAATAACAGCTGGGCAAAGGCATAGAGGCTTGCTCAGGGACAGGGGTCAAAGTAGAGGATGCCAGATTAGCTTGGAGAGATTACACAAAGTTCTGAATTCCAGCCTAAGGAAGGCAATAGAGAGCCTTTGGAGCATTTTGAAAGAAGATTGATATGATAGCAATCGTTCTTTAAAGTATTTGCTTTGAAGATAGTTGTCTCTGAAATTATCCATCTCTACTAACCTGTCAATCTTGAGGGCAGAGACTGTGTCTAGTTCATTGTTGCCATGGGACTCAGGGCTGCTACTAGCCACTTCAACATCACTGTGCCAATAGTGAAAGCAACCCCTCTGAGTGAACCTAGCCATGCAGGGTCAAGGCTCCATGAGCTTGCCACGCCCCTGTGAGAAAAATTATCCAGGAAGCAACAGGCCTACATAAGCACCCATGGGTTGGCCGGGAGAATATGTTAGATTTCAGCCCCACTTGCCCATCACTCAGACATCCTTGTGCTGTATGCAACCTGCATAACATTAGGTTGAGACCCTAAGGAACCACAGGGAGGGGACTGGTTTAGAGGTGAGCAGATTAGGCACTGAATTAGGCTAATGGCAGTGGGAAACGAGGGGAGAAAAGTAAGACAAGTGTCTAAGAGACATGTATATTCTCCTTGCATTTTAACAGGAATCACTGCTGTAAAGGATGCTGGGTACTGTCTATAATAAACACAGGCCTCTCTAACAAATTGCTCCATTCAGTTCCTCAATGATGTCTCTGCTAGAAAATTCTCTTCTCAAAGTCTTGTCCATAGGCATTGGCTTCTCCATAGATTGGCTCCAGTTTCTTCCATTCCCAGTTGATGATGTTTAAGCCTAAGAGCTAATAGTACATATAAATAACTGCCCTCATGCTGTCTTAAAAACAAGCTATGAAAAGTGCTAATTTTCTCTAGTGGTGGAAAGGAAATGAAGGCCGAGGGTGTTTATTTCTCTTACAGCCTTCTGAGACATCTATGGAGACCACTTCTAGCAAGGTGAGGTTCATTTTAGCCCTGGACCACTTAACATCTATTGTCCCAGAAACACTGATTTCCCCGTGGCATATCTGGTTGCTCCATCTCTTTCTCTTTCATTGGCTCTTCCTCCTCCACTGAACATTTCTCTGCTGGAGTTCCTGGTTTGGTCCTGAGTTTAACTTCACTCACCTACACATCCCACTTCGTGGTGCCATCCACTCCCACGACTTCAAATGCCCTGGGTGTGTGACTCCTTTGGATGACTCTAGTCCACACCTCTTTTCCAAACATCAGACCTTACAGCATCTTCACCACTCAGCATTTCTATTTAACTATCTTGAAGATTTCTCAAAATCAACATGGCTAAAGCCTCACGGATTGCTTTTTATTCTTATCATTAAAAAACTCTCATAGTAACAAGTACTGTGGCTCATGCCTGTAATCCCAGAACTTTGGGAGGCTGAGGCGGGCAGATCAGCTGAGATCAGGAGTTCAAGACCAGCCTGGCCAACATGGCGAAACCCTGTCTCTACTAAAAAATACAAAAATTATCCGGGTGTGGTTGCAGGCACCTGTAATCCCAGCTACTTGGGAGGCTGACACAAGAGAATCACTTGAACCTGGGAGGCAGAGGTTGCAGTGAGATGGAACCACTGCACTCCAGCCTGGGCAACAGAGTGAGACTCTGTTTAAAAAAAAAAAAAAAAGCTACTCAAAGATATAAAAATATAAGTTGAAAATTCAAAATTCAGCACCACCACATTCCATTTAGGTTTCCTTTTTGTTGTTTCGTTTTACAAAAATAGGATAATATTATATATATACTCTCTCTGTTCTCACGTCCTAAAAATATAGCATGGAAATTCCCACCCCTTCAGCCAGCCATGTCTACAGCTATAGATAGAATTCATTCTTTAAATAGGTATATAATAGTCTATAGTATGAATGTGCCATAACTTAACTCTGCTTCTGATCAGCATGCTCTTTGCCTCTGGGTTTCTGCCTGGAAACAAACAATGCTGCCATTACTCTATGCTTTTCAATCATCCAGAATAGCGTAAATAACTTAAGAAATGTCTTTTCTTTACAGGTTAGATGCAACTCAGCTGCTAAAGCATTTTGGCCTTTTTTTTTTTTAAATCAAAACTCTCAACTATTTTGGAACATCCTCATGGCTAATGATATGTTTAAGTTTTATATCTCTTCTAGGATCAATGTTGTCAGTTTATATTTGACTCAGAAATCATCCATTTCCCATAAACTTTCGAATTTACTGCAATAGACTTTTCCACAATGTTCCTTTATGATTCTTTTCATCTCTTTTGTACTAAACTCTTGCTCTTTCCCCTAAGTCTGCTTTTACCTCCAGTTTTATGAAGATCAAGAAACCATCATTATCCCCAAATTAAAGTCATCTTTGGGTCCTTCTCAGGCCTCCCACGTTCGATCTTCCATTCAATCCTGTCCGCCTCTAAAATAGCTCTTAAGTCTATCTATTCCTCCTGACCACCACTGCCATTGTGTCTCGAAAGCAACGCCATCATCATATCTTTTCTGGACTATTGCAATGCCTTCTATGTATCCCTCCACTTCTTCACTTCTGTCTATGCAGCATTTTCACACTGGAATCAGAGTGGTCTTAAAATTTATATTGGATCATGTTATTCTCCTGCTGAAAACCTCTTAAATGGAATTACTCTGTTAAGTTCTGAAGTCCTTTTCTATGCTCCCGTCACCCTTCATGACTTGATTTCTGCCTGCCTTTCAACTCTCAACTCCCACTATTATCTTCCCCACACCTCTAAAGTTTTAGCCCTATTGACCTTTTTTAAAAAATTATTTCTCCAAAAGCATCAAGCTAGAAAGGATAGTGCTATAAAAACTGGCTGTCCATCTTGAAGCAAAGTTAGTTAAAATCTACCTCACACTATAGTTTTAATGTAAAATACATTTGAAAATTTTAAATCTTGAAATAAATTGTAAGATAATTTATGTATAATCTAGGGATTAGGATGAACTTCTTAATCAAGAAATCCAGAAGCTATGCATGAAAAGATAGATATGTTTGAAAATATAAACATTACAACTAATTATGTGAACAAGAGATAACACATAAGTGAAAAGATAAATAATATTTTGGGATAAAATATTCATAATGTAAATAAATAAAAAGGGTCACTATATGTGGCAATAAAGAGTTCTCACAAATGAGAAAAAAAGGGTAAATCTCCCATAGAAAATATAGGCAAAAGATCATAAGAGGAGAATCTCCAGCTTCATCAAGCTATTACAGGATCAGAAAACCAAACACCACATGTTCTCACTCATAAGTAGGAGTTGAACAATGAGAACACATGGACACAGGGAGGGGAACCTCACACACCAGGGCCTGCAGGGGGTGGGGGACTAAGGGAGGGATAGCATTAGCAGAAATACCTAATGTAGGTGACAGGTTGTTGGGTGCAGCAAACCACCATGACACGTGTATACCTATGTAACAAACCTGCACGTTCTGCACATGTAACCCAGAACTTAAAGTATAATAAAATATATATATATATATATATATAGACCAACCTAGGGATTGCTAAGAGAGATGAGTATCTACCTTCAATCAATGACTTACTAGCATTAAACCTGTACCAAATTACAAGCTGTTAACAAGGGAGATTAGCAGATTTGGACTGCTTATGTGTATATTTGACATTGTAGGGGATGACGAGAAAACAAGGACTAGTCAATGTCACGAACAGTGACTGCATATTTATGAGACTTTCCTGCTAGGCCTATTAAAAAAGAAACATCAAAGATTAAAAAAAGAAAAGAAAAAAAGGAGAATCTCTCTCACACACACACACAAACAAACACACACACACACAAACACACCCCTCAAAATGACCAATAAAATAGGAAAAATGTTCAGCTTATATTCCCTTATGGTATGGGAAATGCAAATTAAAGAAGTAATATCACTTCTCACCTATCTGACGGACAAATATTCAAGAGTAGAAAATTTTGCTGCTGGTAAGGATGTAGGGGAATTGGTGCAACTATTTAAAAGAATGATTTGGATTAGTGGTTCTCAACTTTGGCTACACATAGAATCATCTGGGGAGCTTCTGAAAACCACAGGTGCTTAGGCCCCACCCCAAACCAATTAAATCAGTGTTTAAGGGTCAGTTAGGACAGAAGTCATTGAGTTAGATATGTGGCAGTTAACTTGGAAGAATGTCCAAAGCAAACTGTCAAAGATCTCAAGAAGGTACATAATATAATCACATATTTAAAAACAATGACATATTTAAAAACTCATCTGTGCATGTATCTATCTATATCTATATATATACAATATATACTATATAATGTATATATAGTTTATATACAATATATACTATATAATGTATATATAGTTTATATACAATATATACTATATAATGTATATATAGTTTATATACATATTATATATTTTATGTATATATTATATATTTATACATTTAATATATCTGAATGTTTATAAAAATAATTTTCTATATTTATAAATTATTACATGTAAGACAAATATTTATATATAAATGTTATATATTTATAAATATATTTTATATTATATATAATAACAGAAAAGTATGGAAATATACACACATGGTTAATATTAGTAAGAAATGAGGCACAATTGGCTTATGAGTAGGAGACAGGGAGGAGGCAGGAAGGATGGGAAGAAACTGGAAAGAAGGCTTAAAGCTAATTGCCACATAAAACAACATATATTCTCATAGTAGTTATCTCAAGAAAATAGAATTTTGGGTAATTTTAAAATGCTTTCTTGTGTAAAAAAACATTTTCTATAAGTATGTCTCATTTATATAATCAGAAAAGCTTTCTCATCTTTTATTTAAAAGCTAGTTTTCACTTAATGCTTTAGCACATGTAACCCTGTCTGCTGGAACAGAGTGCCTTCAATTCTTGCCTGACTGACTATTCCTTATTTGTGAGGCCTCAACCTACATGTCAGTCCCTCAGAATTCCTCTGAGAGGGATCAGAATTCATTCTCTCTGACACACTCAACTCTGTCACACTGTCCTTTGCATTCAGAGCACTTGTCACCATTTGAAATAATCTGTGTGGCTGTTAGACAAAGGTCCGTTCCCATCCCTAGAGTGGAGGCCACAGAGGCCAGGAGCCAGGTCTGGTGGGCTCACCAGCGCACTTCCATGCCTGGCCCACTGCTGAGCACAAAGAGGGCTCAACAAAACATCGGTAATTATTTGGATCGTTTCTCTGCATTTAATAACTTTTCACATGTTCTCTCATTGTGCTGTGTGCTCTCTGATGTCTGTGTCCACGTCTTACACCTCTCAATACTTTCCTGAGCGCTCCACAGATCTCTGGCTAATTGGACACGTTGACGGGTTTCTCATTTCCATTAGCTTTTCTCCTTATATCATGTGCTCATTATTGCTGTCCCCTTCTCCTGCTGCATCAGGAGCAAGCTAAACTGGGATAAAGGTCCTAACCTACCTGCCCGGTTTCAGTTCTTTTGCCTACACTTGAGATCTCATGACTATACTTCAGTGGTCATTAGCTCCCATGTCAATCACAGCTCCTTTGTTGTGTGCTCCCTGCTTTCTCCTCCCAGTAGTGAAGTTTACTGTCTCTTCTTGTTATCAACTGAACTACGTCCCCACAAATTCATATGTTGAAGTCCTAACCTCCAGTACCTCAGAATGGGACTGTATTTGGTGACAAGGCCTTTAAAGAGGTAATTAAGGTTCAATGAGGTCATAAGAGCCCCAGTCCAATAAAACTGGTGTCCTTATAAGAGGAAGACAGACACACATGTACACAGAGGAAAGGTCACATGAGGACACAGCAAGAAGGCAGCCATCTTAAAGCCAAAAAAAGAGGTCTCAGGAGAAACCAAGCCTGAAATTACCCTGATTTTGGATTTCTAGCATCCAGAGCTGTAAGAAAATGAACTTCTGTTGTTTAAGTTATTCAGGCTATGGTATTTTGTTATGGCAGCCCACACAGACTACTATACCTCTGTTGAAGAATTCACTTGGGTTTCCCAGAGCTAGACAAAGACCGTTTAATGGTACCACCCTTTGTTGCACTCCTTACCACCCACCAATCAATTACCTCAGGCAGGGACAACAACCTTTCAGCTGGTATTTTCTGAAAGGTGAGTTTTTTGCTTTTTAAGGACATGTTTCTGCTACACTTCCCATGCCCACCAGAAGCTGGGGACAGATTTATCTTCCCTCTTTACTCAGGAGTCTCAATCCTAGTATCATAGGAAGCTAACTATTACCACCACCACTTCAATTCCTCCTTTATTATTTTTCTTTAGAAGACCTGGCAGGTACTCTTCAAATCAGTCTCCTGGTGATCAGTCATGATAACGTAAAGTTCCTGATTCAGGCATCCAAATTAGAATCAAAAGATTTCTTCTAAGCTTTCCCTCAGGACCTTGGGAAGCTAAAAAAGCTCACAAAATTTACCTTGGAGATAATACCCCGTCCTTCCTCGGAGAATAATAAAACCTCTCATAGTGAATGTTGGAGTCACTATCACCAAAAGGAACACTCAGATCCCACATTTTGGTTTCACTATTCAGAAACCACAATATTTGTTCTTGAAACATGATTGAGGAAACCAAATACCAAGAGAACATGGCTTTTTACCATAGGTTTATGGGAGTTTATAATCTACAATCAATGTTGAGAAAATAAAATTTGGCCTTTTGGGCAGGAGCTCCATCAATAAAAGTGGTCAAGTTCAACCTATCCAGACACAACAATAACAATGATAGGAAAGAATAGAAATGAATGATGTTTGATACCTAAACAGCAATTAGTCTGTATTGTTAAACGTTTCATAAAAATAACTCATGAAACAAAGTGCCAAATGACGGGCACCAATTGAAATAGCTGTTTTACATTTGGCTTTATTTTCTAAACGTATCATAAAAACATTACAATATTTCTCACTACCAAGTTTCTGCCCCAGTACCCAAGCCTCCTTGGGGTCATCAGAAAATGGCACAAAAATAGAGATAAGTTTGATTTGCAGAACTGTAGGATACTTTTACTGTCTTCATTTTTGTACTCTAGTATCAGAAGGGGCAACTTGACATTTCAAGCCCTATTCAAAGAAAGGCTATTAACAAAGTCCTACTAGATAATATGTAGGTTAAATTATCTTATTCCGTAATGCAATGCCTATCACAGCCACCTCCCAATTCATTCTCCCCTATCACCATGAGAAACCCTATCAGTCATAAGCAGCCAGGACACTACCAACCAGGAGTAAAGAGCAGGCATTTATCCCTAGATCATGTGGCTTTATTTCAAATAATCTTATCACTTGGTGAATTCTTGCCATATTACAACACTGAGTAGCCAGTCATTAGCACAGGAGGCTTCTAGGCTTTTGGCACCAAGGACTACTCAGATTCTGGTTTCTTCTGTAACATCCAATTAAGAGCAAGATTATACACATCCTCAGCTTCCAGCTGTTTAACTTTGCCTCAATCATTAAAAGAGATAAAAATGATTTAAGATTAAAAAGTAACATTGAATAACACTGTGCAGCAAATAAGTCATTTAAAGGCTATATCAAAAAGGAAATGAAAGACATGGCATATAAGTCAACCACATCTGCAGCTCTTTGTACCTTAGCTTGGTTGCCCAGTACAGCTCACCATAACTACTTTTGATTAACCACTTCTAGAAGTCTTCTCAACCAAACGTCTTCTCTAAATATTTCAGGCTGAGATTACACAGCCATAGCTGAAATTACTAGGGATTTATAGTAGTTTTTATCCCCAAGCTGGGCACACAGTGATTCTTCTTCACATAGTTTGTAACCCTGAATTGTCTAAGGCCCAACCACACCCAGAAAGACTCCTAGGTATGGTAGGCAGAAGAATATATCATTGACATATCTGTTTATTATGTAGAGGTTTATCAATAACTTAGTTTTATTCTTTTGGTAAGTGGAGTTTGCATTTTCTCCTTTAAAGCCTTAAGTGAAGTCTCCCAAGATAGGTGTGTGCATTTAAGTTAAGCTATAGAACATTGATAACACCTTTCTTTACATTAAACTTGGCATCACACTGAAGAGTTGCAAACTCATAAAATAGAAAGGGTTCATTTTAATGTTGAGAAAGACACAGACAAATAATTGAAATGTGGAAAGAATTCGTGCAGGAGTTTAGGAATGGAAGGGTGATCCAGGAAGAGAAAATGAGTTCAAAAGCACAAAGTGGGCTGTGTGCAGTGGCTCACACCTGTAATCCCAGCACTTTGGGAGGCCAAGACAGGTAGAATGCTTGAGCCGAGCAGCTTGAGACCAGCCTGGGCAACATGGCAAAACTCTGTCTCTACAAAAATTAAAAAAAATTAGCTGGACTCTGGTGGTAGGTGCCTGTAGTCCCAGCTACTCAGGAGGCTGAGGTGGGAGAATTACCTGAGCCCTGGAAATTGAAGCTGCAGTGAGCTGTGATTGCACCACTGCACCTCTAGCCTGGGTGTCAGAGTGAGACCCTGAAAAAAAAAAAAAAGCATACAGCAAGTAATGTCAGTGAAAATGGCAGAGTAAAAATCTCCAAAAATTCTCTAATCCATAAAATTAATGAGAAAACTGGCAAAAATTGGATTGCCAAAATCAACTTTCCCAGAAATCAGGATATTAACAAAAGACTTGCAGCAATCTGGGAGCATTTATTCAAGAAAAACAGCTGAATCTCGGTAAGAAGAGTGAGCTTTGTGGTGTTTTTAATTTGTCCCATAATTTACTCTTCAGCTCCACAGTAGCCTTGAAAATTTAACAGCACAAGCTCATGTTGAAAACTAGCACTTGGCAGTCACCAGAGGACAAAGAACAGGGCTAGAGTTCCTTTGAACCTCATTCCAGAGAATTATCATTTGACCTGGTTAGTGGTTCCCTGGGAGACCTCATTTGCTGTCTATTTCACCTAATTCATTGCTCCCCAAGTGCAAACAGCTTTTCCCCTGAGGGCATTTGTCTAAACAATTGTGGGCAATTGTTTAACTTCATGGCTGCCTGAAGAGGCAGTGGAATGACAAACACAAAGTGCTGCAACAAAAGAAAAAAAAAGCCTAAAAACCAATACCTGAAAACTTAATATAGTTTTCTTGGTTGACATTCAAACCAAGAATACTTAATATAGTAACAAGTTAACATATGTAAAACAATTTAATAATAATACATATAAAAATTTAACATATTTAACAATTATATATTCTTGGTTGTGAATGTCAACCAATAATACTATACTAAGCAGTGCTATCTTTCAAAAATGAAGAAATTAAGACATTCACAGAAAATAAAAAACAGAGAAGTTATCACTAGCAGGCTGGCCCTACTAGAAATGCTAAAATGAGTCCTTCAAGCTAAAATCAAAGAATACTAAACAGTAGCATAAATCCACATGAAAAAAAATCAAAAGCATCAATAAAGGTAGCTACATAGATAAATATAAGAATGGAGTACAAATGTATATTTTTTGTCCTTCTATCTGATTAAGAAAACAACTGTAAAGAGCAATTATTATAACTCTTTGTTGATGGGCAAATAAAGTACAAAGATGTAATTTGTATGACAATAACTGCATGAAAGCAGGATTCAGGAACAGAACTAGGAGAAAAGTTTTTATATCCAATTCAACTTAAGTTGGCATCAATCTGAATTAGATTGTTATGAGTTAAGAATGTTAACTGTAATCCCCATGTCAACAAAATAAGTAAAAATTACATAGAAAAGGAAATGACAAGAACTTTTAAATGGTATAATAGAAAATATCTATTTAATACAAAAGAAGCCAGTTAATGGCAGAATATAGGAACAAAAAGAAAATAAAACATATGGAAACCAAATAGCAAGATGACAAATGTACATTATACCTTATCAGCAATTACATTAAATGTAAGTGGTTTAAGCATGCCAATTAAAAGGCAGAGATTGACAGAATAGATTTTAAAAACTGTAAAACAACTACATGCTATTTACAAGAGGCATACTTGTTAGAGTCAGAAACAAATGGATTGAAAGTAAAAGAATTAAAAAACAAACAGTAAGCAAAAGAGAGCTAGAATGGATACACTAATATTGGGCAAAATATACTTTAAGATAAACATTGTTACTGAAATAAAAAAGGATATTTTAAAATAATAAAAGTGCTGATTTATCAAGAAGACATAACAATTACAAGGCCAGGTGTAGTTGCTTATGCCTGTAATCCCAGCACTTTGGGAGGCCAAGGCAGGTGGATCACTTGAGGCCACTTAGAGATCAGCCTGGCCAACATTGTGAAACCCCATCTCTACTAAAAATATAAAAATTACCCAGGCATGGTGGCATGAGCCTGTAGTCCCAGCTACTTGGGAGGCTGAGGCGGTAGAATCTCTTATACCCAAGAGGTGGAGGCTGCAATTAGCTGAGATTGCACCATTGCACTCCAGCCTGGGTGACAGAGCAAGGCTCTATCACAAAAAGAAAAAGATATAACAATTATAAACATTTATACACAGCTAACAACAAAGACCCTATGTCCATGAAGTGACAGAATTAAAGAAAGAAACAGAACATTCAATAACAATAGTTGAAAACTCCAATATCTCACTTTCAATAATGGATAGAACCACTAGGCAGAAGATCAAGAAGGAAACTGAAGACTGGAATAATACTATAAACCAACTAGACTAAGAAACATCTATATAATGTTCACCTAACCACAGCATTATAGACTTTCTTCCAGAGTGCATATTGATCATTTTCCAGGAAAGACCATATGCTTGACCATAAAACAACACTTAAATTTAAAAGGGTAGAAATCATACAAATTATGTTCAACTTTTAATAGATTGAAACTAGAAACCTGTGACAAAGAAATTTGGGACATTTATAAATATGTAAAAATTAAACAACACAATCCCAAATAATAAGTAATCCAAAAATGAAATCACAAGGGAAATTAGAAAATACCTTGAAATAAATGAAATGAAAATACAACATACCAATACTTACGAGATGCAGGTAAAACAGTAGTTAGAGAGAAATTTATAGCTGTAAGTGACTATGTTAGAAAGAAAGAAAAATCTCAAATCAATAGTTTTTTTCCACTTGAAAAAAAACTAGAAAAAGAAGAGTAAACCAGGTTGGTTATTTTAAAAAGATCAATAAAATCAACAAACCTTTAGCTAGAATGACCAAGAAGAAAAGGGAGAAGACTCAAGATACAAAAATTAAAAAATGAAAGAGGGGACATCACTATTGATATTATAGAAATACAAAGTATTCTAAGGGAATACTGTGAATAACTGTATATCAACAAGTTAGACAGCCTAAATCAAATGGACCAATTTCTAGAAAGACAAAAACTATCAAAATTGGCTCAACAAGAATAGACCTATAATGATTAAAGAGATTGAATTAGTAATCAAAAAAAAAAAAAACTTCCTAGAAAGAAAAGTTCAGGATCAGATGGCTTCACATGGGAATTCTACCAAATGATTAAAAAACAATAGCAGAAGAATAAAATAAAGAACAAAACCATTTTCTTGGTGTTGTTGTTGCTGTTTTTCCAAGATGAAGGAATGGAGGCAATGTGTGCATGCTTCCCTGACTCAGAAAGACAAAATCGTGTGTAGATATTTACATTGTGAACTTTTTTTCCAAGAAGCAACACAGGCACTAAACAGGAAAACTGAAATCCACAGATCCTTTGAAAGGAGGAGGCTGCAGCCTACATTGTAAGCCAGGCAAAAAACTGTTAAGTCCCCAGAGAGTGACAGAGTGATATACAGCCCCACAAGGGAACCTGGAAATACAGCTCACAAGGGAAAGCCTTAACCCTGCCCAGTGCTGGAACTGGTTTAGTGAGTGGTAAAGAATTTAAAAGTAGAAGTGGCAGTGAGAAATACCTTGCATGTGTTCCCAGTCTCCAGCACTAACCAAGAGAAGCCATTCCTTATTCTGCCTCACAGGGGACTTCATAGAAGTCTCCCAACTAACTAACTCAGGCAGTGGTTGCAGGTTAAAAGAAACTCCCAACTGAATTTCATGACATAATCTTGAGTAGAGAAGAACTCCCTTGGCCAAAACCAGGGAGTAAGTGGGAAGTGTGCTGCAGCCACAAGTGTAGGAGCTGAGTGTCTGGGAGGGGTGTGGTCTGAAAGCTTTGGTTGCTATCTCTGTGGGGGAAAGTTTATGGCCTGAGGTAGTTGTGAGTTCTGAGCGTAGACAACCTGGAACTTAGCTCACTGCTACTAGTGGAAAACTGCGGGTGTGAGACTTGCCTTGCCAAGTGTGTAGGAGCATGGTAGGGCTTACTGACACCTGCTACTCCCAACTCCCTGTGCAAACTCTTCTGCGCAGCAGAAGCAGCTAGGCTCTTGGAACATTACCCCAGCGGCCAGAAAACCTCCCCCCAACTCCAACAGGAACCACTGCTTGTCACAGAGCATGAACCTGACTGACCCAGCCCCAACCTGGCTTTGCCCCTCCACACACTCTGGTAGCTTAACACAAAGAAAACTAACTTTTGAGAGCTCTATGGCCCCACCCATTGCCTGAGAAACCAGAGTACCTTCCCGGGGTACTCTTATGTCCCTGGGTAACATAAGGCAAGCACAAATCTCACCACTACTACCATAGTTGGTGCTGTTTTGCAAGTGCCACCTCTTGGCTGGAAGCCAACCAACGCAATCCATTATAGTATCTCCAGGTATAACAACACAGCACCCAGGAGGCAGAAAACTTGTGTGTGACCTCAGCTATCACCTTTGCCTGCACCACCCTGGCTAACCAGGAGGTCCTGAGTCTGTCCATATGACCAGTTCATCACATCTACAACTGGCATTTGAGAAAGCCAACACATCAAGGCTATCTATAACAAAAGAATCTTGCAGAGTCTATGTCACTCCCCTGCCACCCCCAACAGAGCTGGTGCTGGTATCTGCTGCTGGGAGACTTGAGGACAGGTCACATCTCTGGGTCCCTTGTGGACATTCCCCAACACCAGCCTGGAATGTGGCAGCCCCACTGGGTGGCTGGACCTAGAAGAGCAACAACATTTACAGTAATCTGGTTCTCAGGGACTCCCACACCTAGGGGAAGGGAGAGGGCACCACATCAAGGAAATACCCCATGGGACAAAATAACCTGGATGGCAGGACTTAAGTCCCAGATCTTTCTGCTTCTGGGAAGTTTCTTTCAGTAGAAGCACAGTTGCAGTGCTGGGTTTAACAGGGAAAGCCTGAAAGTCTACCCCAACACTCAGGCAGCCCTGGTGCTCATTAAGGATCTTGGAGAAGGAAACTTCTTTTCCCCCTCATATACCACTGCAGACACAGCTGGGGCTTTTCCCAGAGGAGACGGGTGTGTGCACCTAGAGGCAGCCTTTCTGGAATACTACAGAGTAACTGCATCCCCACAGGAGGAGTATCCTCCAAGTACAGGTTTACATGAGAGGTAGAGTCACAATTCTTCTCTACTTGAAACATCAACATTCCTGCATATGCAAAAAGGTGTCTGTCTGATCTGAATAGTTGAAACACTGGGTCAGGTGTGTGTCTGGGTGTGGGATGGCGTTCCTGCTGGCCTAGTAGGGGAGCTGAGGTAGATCCAGTCCTTCCTTATGATACGACTTCAGTTTGTTTCACTGAGAGCTCCCCCAGCTATCTCTGTCAAGGCTGGGACCTCTGCCCACCATTGAATTTACCCACCTGCTTTAACTACAGCTAGCTTTTATCCATGGACACCTCCCCTATTGGCATAAACTGAACTGTTCAACCCAGTAAGTAAAACACTGGGAAAAAAATAAATAAATAAGAAAGTACACACCACAGGGGAATGAGATAAGCTTCAAGTGACCTCTGCCATTCCAGTGTGATAGGAGATAGTGAACTTGCTCACACACTGATCACATCGCTACTACAATCAGCATCTGAGGAAGACTCTCCATAACCAAGGAACAAAGACTCTCTGTAGCCAAGGAACTCATACAGAGTCTTCACCCCAAAAGCACCAAGAGTTGATTTAGGCTATAATAAACTATAAGCATTAAAGTTACATCCTTAAGGGGAAAAAAGAAATTTTTAAAAAGTCAAATCAAAATTAAACTCAAAAATAATTATTAGAAATAGCCTAACTAAATGAGAAGGAACCAGAAAAATAATTCTAGTAATATGACATAACACAGTTCTATAACACCCCCAAAAGATCACACTAGCCCTCTAGCAATGGATCTAAACCAAGATGAAATCTTTGAAATATCAGATAAATAATTCAAAAAATTGATTATTAAGCTACTCAAGGAGATACCAGAGAAATGTGAAAACCAACATAAAGAAATTTAAAAAACAATTCAGGATATGAATGAAAAATTTCTAAAGCGATAGATATCATAAAAAACAGTCAGAACTTCTGGAAATGAAAGATGCACTTAGGGAATTACAAAATGCAGTGGAACATTTCAACAATAGACTAGAACAAGTAGAAGAAAGAATTTCAGAGCTCGAAGATAAGGCTTTCAAATTAATCCAACTAGACAAAAAAAAAGAAAGAAAAGAAAAAAGAATCAACATAAATGAACAGTCTCCAAAAAATATGGGATTATGTAAAACACTTAAACCTAAGAATAACTGGTGTTCCTGAGGGAGAAGAGAAAGCAAAAAAGTTTGGAAAACTTATTTGAGGGAGTAACTGAGGAAAACTTCCCTGGCCTTGCTAGAGATTTAGATATCCAAATACAAGTAGCTCAAGGAACTTCTAGGAGATTCACTGTAAAAGATCATTACAAAGACATATAGTCATCAGGCTATCTAAACTCAACATGAAGGAAAGAATTCTAAGATCAATGAGACAAAAGCATTAGGTAACCTATAAAGGGAAACCCATCAGGCTAACAGCATACTTCTCGGCAGAAACCTTTCAAGGCAGAAGAGATTGAGGTCCTATCTTTGGCCACCTTAAATAGAATAACTCAGCCAACAATTTTGCATCCAGCAAAACTAAGTTTCATAAATGAAGGCAAAATGAAGTCATTTTCAGATAAACAAATGCTAAGGGAATTTGTTACTACCTGACCAGCCCTATAAAGAAATGATAAAAGGAGTTCTAAATCTTGGAGCAAAAGCTTGATATGCACAAAAGTAGAACCTCTTGAAAACATAACATTCACAGGGCCTATAAAACAATAACATAATGCAAAAAGAAAAAAAACCAAAGTAGGTAACAACTAACATGATGAATTGAATAGTACCTTATGTCTCAATATTAATATTGAACATAAATGGCCTAAATACTTCACTTAAAAGATACAGATTGACAGAATGGATAAAGAATCACAAACCAAATATCTGTTGTCTTCAAGAGACTTATCTAACATGTAAGGATGCCTATGAACTCAAGGTAAAGGTGTGGAAAATGATATCCCATGCAAATGGAAACTAAAAGTGAGGAAGAGTAGCTATTCTTATATCAAATAAAATAGACTTTAAAGCAACAACAGTAAAAAGAAAAGAAGGTCATTATATAATGATAAAAGGATCAATCCAGCAAGAAGATAGTACAATCCTAAATATATATGCACCCAACCCTTGAGCTCCCAGATTCATAAACCAATTACTAATAGACCTAATAAATGAGTTAGATAGCAACAAAATAATAGAGGGGGACTTCTATACTCCACTGGCAAGCACTAGACAGATCATTGAGACAGAAATTCGACAAAGAAACGATGGGCTTAGACTATATGCTAGGACAAATAGACCTAAGATATTTCCAGAACATTCTGCCCAAGAACTACAGAATATACACTCTTCTCACCAGCACATGAGACATTCTCCAAGATAGGCCACAAGTCTCAATAAATTTTTAAAAATTGAAATCATATCAAGTGTCTTCTCAGAACACAGTGGAATAAAACTAGAAGTGAACTCTAAAAGGAAACCCCAAAACTATACAAATACATGAAAATTAAATAATTTGCTCCTGAATGATGTTTAGATTAACAATGAAATCAAGATGGAAATGAAAACATTCTTTGAAATGAATGATAATAGTGACACAAGTTATCAAAACCTCTGGACTACAGCAAAAGTAGTGCTAACAGGAAAGTTTATAGTGCTAAATGCCAACATAAAAAAGTCTGAAAGATCAAAAATTGACAATCTAATGTCACACCTCAAGGAACTAGAGAAATAAGAACAAACTGAACCCAAAGCTAGCAGAAGAAAAGAAATAGCAAAGATCAGAGCAGAACTAAATGAAATTGAAACACAAAATACAAGAGATCAATGAAACAAAAAGTGGTTCTTCGAAAAGGTGAACAAAATTGATAGAACATTAGCTAGATTAACCAAGAAGAGTGAAGGTTCAAATAAGCTCAATTAGAAATGAAACTGGATTACAACTGACACCACAGAAACACAAAAGATCATCTGAGAGCACTATGAACCCTTCTATGCACACAAACTAGAAAACCCAGAGGAAATGGATTCATTCCTGAAAACAGACAATTCTCTTAGATTAAATCAGGAAAAAATAGAAACCCCAAACAGACAACAAGCAGTGAGATTAAATTAGTAATAATAAAAAAATTTTCCAACTTAAAAAAAAAAGAAAAAAAAAGTCCAGACTAAATAGATTTATAGCTGAATTCTACTAGACATTCAAAGAAGAATTGGTACCAATCCTATTTAAATTACCCCTAAAGACTAAGAAAGAGGGAACCCTCCCTAAATCATTCTATGAAGCCAGTATCATGCTGATACCAAAACCAGGAAGTTACGTAACAACAACAACAACAACCAAAAAAACTACAGACCAATTCCTGATGAACATATCTATGTTCATCTATGCAAAAATTCTCAACCAAATACTAGCTAACCAAATCCAACAACACGTTAAAAAAGATAATACACCATGATTAAGTGGGTTTCATACCAAGGATGCAGGAATGGTTTCATCCCAGGGATGGTTTAACATACACAAGTCAATAAATGTGATACATCACATAAACAGAAATAAAAACAAAAACCATATGATCATCTCAAAGGATGCAGAAAAAGCATTCAATAAAATCCAGCATCCCTTTATTATAAAAAGTCTCAACACACTAGGCATAGAAGGGACTCAAATTAATAAAAGCCATGTATGACAAACCCACAGCCCACACCATACTGAGTGGGGAAAAGTTGAAAGCATACCCTGTGAGAACTGGAACAAGATGAGGATACCCACTTTCACCCCTTCTATCCAACATAGTACTGGAAGTCCTAGCCAGAATAATCAGGCAAGAGAAAGAAAGGGCATCCATAATGGAAAAGAGGAAGTCAAATTTTTACTGTTCACTGATGATATGATTATATGCCTGGAAACCCCTAAAGACTCCACCAAAGACTTCTAGATTTGATAAATGAATTCAGTAAAGTTTTAGGTTACAAAATCAAGGTACACAAATCAGTAACACTGCTATACACCAACAAAAACCAAGCTGAGAATCAAATAAAAAACTTAATCCCTTTTACAACAGCTGCAAAATAAAATAAAATGTCTAGGAATATATTTAACCAAAGAGGTGGAAGACCGCAACAAGGAGAACTACAAAACACCACTGAAAGAAATCATAGATGACACAAACAAATGAAAACACATCCCATACTCATGGATTGGAAGAATCAATATTGTGAAAATGACCATACTGCCGAAAGCAATCTACAGATTCAATGCAATTCCCATCAAAATACTCACATTGTTTTCACAGAACTAGAAAAAAAATCCTAAAATTCATATGGAGCCAAAAAAGAGCTCAAGTAGCCAAAAAGAATCCTAAGCAAAACAAACAAAAAAAACACACACAAAACAAAACAAAACAAACAAACATCTGGAGGCATCACATTGCTGGACTTCAAGTTATACCACAAGGCTATAGTTACCAAAACAGCATAGCACTGGTATAAAAGTAGGCACACAGACCAATGGAACAGAATAGAGAATGCAGAAAGAAAGCCAGATACTTACAACCAACTAATCTTCAGCAAAGCATACAAAAACATAAATTGGGGAAGGAACACCCTACTTAATACATGGTGCTGGGAAAACTGGCTAGCCGCCTGCTGAAGAATGAAACTAGATTTCTATCTCACCCTATACAAAAATCGACTTAAGATGGATCAAAAATTTTAAGACCTGAAATCATGAAAAGTCTAGAAGATAACCTTGGAAAAAGTCTTCTGGCCAATGGCCTAGGCAAAGATTCTTGACTAACACCCCAAAAGAAAATGGAACAAAAATAAAAATAAATAAATGGTACCTGATTAAACTAAAAAGTTTCTGCATAGCAAAAGAAATAATCATCAGAGTAAACAGACAACCCACAAAATGGGAGAAAATATTTACAAACTATGCATTCAACAAAGGACTATTATCCAGAATCTATAAGAAACTCAAATCATCAAGAAAAAAAAATAACCCATTTGCAAGTGTGCAAATGACATGAATAGACATTTATCAAGAGAAGATACGCAAATGGGGAAGAAAAATGTGAAAAAAAAAAGCTCAACATCACTAATCACCAGATAAATGCAAAATAAAACTGCAATGAGATACCACCTTACTCCTGCAAGAATAGCCATTATTAAAAAGTCAAAAAACAACAGATGTTGGTGTGGATGTGGGTGAAAGGAGAATGCTTACACACTGCTGGTAGGAATGTAAATTTGTATAACCTCTATGAAAAGCAGTATGAAGATTCCATAAAGAACTAAAAGTAGATCTACCATTCAATCCAGCAATTGCACTAGATCCACTCAAAGGAAAAGAAGTCATTATATGAAAATGACACATGCACATGTATGTTTATTGCAGCACAATTCACAATTGCAAAGATAGGGAACCAATTTAAGTGCACCAACACCAATGAGGGGATGAAGAAAATGTAGTATAGGCCAGGCGCGGTGGCTCACACCTTTAAACAGAGCACTTTGGAAGGCTGAGGTGGGCAGATCACGAGGTCAGGAGATCGAGATCATCCTGGCTAACATGGTGAAACCCCATCTCTACTAAAAATACAAAAAATTAGCCGGGCATGGTGGCACACACTGTAGTCCCAGCTACTTGAGAGGCTGAGGCAGGAGAATGGTGTGAACCCAGGAGGTGGAGGTTGCTGTAAGCCAAGAACACACCACTGCACTCCAGCCTGGGTGACAGAGCAAGGCTCCATCTAAAAAAAAAAAAAAAAGCAAACAAACAAAAAAACCCGAAAATGTATTACATATACACCACGGAATACTACTCTGCCATAAAAAGGGGCAAATAATGTCTTTTGCAGCAATTTGGATGGAGCTGGAGGCCATTATTCTAAGTGAAGTAACTCAGGAATGGAAAACCAAATACCATATGTTCTCACTTACAAGTGGGAGCTAAGCTATGAATACACAAAGACATACAGTCAGGAGTCTGTATGTCTGAAATAATGGACTTTGGAGACTCAGAAGGGGGACAGTGGGATAGGGGTGTGGGATTTAAAAACTCCATACCAGAGTACAATGTACACTACTCTGGTGACAGGTGTACTAAAATTTCAGAATTCATCACTATATAATTCATCCATGTAACCAAAAACCACTTGTACCCCAAAAGCTATTGGAGTGAAAAAAAAAACAACTAAGAAAAGAACAAAACCAGCCAGGTGCAATGAATGGCTCATGCCTGTAATCCCTGCACTTCGGGAGGCCAAGGTGGTAGGATTGCTTGAGGCCAGGAGATCAAGACAGGACTGCACAAGCAAGAGACCATGTCTACAAAAAAATTTTAAAAAAATAGCTGGGTATGGTGGTACATGCTTGCAGTCTCAGCTACTCAGGAGGCTGAGGCAGAGAGATCATTTAAGCCCAGGAGTTCGAGGCTGCAGTGAGCTATGATTGCACCACTGCATCCCAGCCTAGATGACAAAAATTCATATGATCCACTCAGTAGATGTTTCTGTTTTCTATTCACATTGGACCAAAGGTGCCATACTATCCTTATGTCACAAATGGCAAGTGAATACAAATTGGAAGACTGAGAGCCAGTTATCCATAATCATAAAGTGAAGATGGGATATGTTTTACAGTAAGTAGATATGGGTTCTGCCAAAACCCATTAATATTCCCTAATTTGGAAAGAGAGGGTAGGATCCAGCCAGAGGAGAGGCATTTCACCTCTCTCAATTCACAGTTCATAGTTGGTGGCCACCAACCTCAGAAGTTGTTGCACTGGAAATTCCTAGACGAGATAAAGCCCAGACAGACAGTGATCCTTCTAGAACTGGGGAGAATAAATTAGTAAGAACCTAAATGTAGTCACATCAACCATTGGTATGGCAGCCAGGCCAAATAGAAAATTATGTTCTGCAAACCAGAGCCTGGTTCAGAAGCTTCTTCAAGCCTGAAGGAGATGAAGTTCCCCTGCTGACACAGCCTGCAGCCTCAGCCCTGCACCCACTCCCTTCAAGTCCTGGGACATTGAATTAGTCAGGTAAACTTTTATCAACAATCTACCAAAGTTAAAATCCAGGGAATAAGATTCTAGTATTCCAGGTGAGGGGTTTCAACAAGACTCCAACAAATTTTCTTGGAAGCATTAGGGTTGGATTTGTCATTTTGGTTCACAAATCAGTTAACAATTAACATGAAATTATGAAAATATTATATACCCTAAAAACATGGTGGAAAAAACCTCATTCAAAAGGTGGAGCATGAGGATACTTATGAAAGATTCACTCTAAGATTTAGGCAGCTTCCACTTCATGGTGTATATCAAAGCCAAGAAAACATGGAACTGATTAAATAAAAGGTGAATGATAACGTTCTATCTAAGGCAACAAAGAGAAACTTGGCTGAACTGAACTAAAGGAGTGTAAGGAAAGTAAAAATAATCAAAATGAATTTAAAGCAGAATTAAAAACAGAAGAAGAATCTATATTACTAAAATCATGTGGAAGTCACACTTGAGAAACCTCCGCTAATATAAAAGAACAAAAATATTACATTTATGAGATGATGAATATGAAGAACATCAGATGGAGACCTAGCAGAGAAAATTGTTGCAACAAACAGAGCAGAATCAATACTTATTTAAATAAGTAACAGAAGAAAGCTTTTTTCAGTGAAAAAAGACCTGAATCCACTGAATGATGACTTACATGTTCCATACAACATAAATGAAGAGACAATATTAGTTAGACATGTCCAAGCAATTCTTTAACATTCAAATGATAAGCAAAGAATTTTACAAATATGTAGGATGGAGAAAAATAAATAACCTAAAAAAGAACAAAAATTGGGCTGGCCTCAGTCTTCTCTATGGCAATAAATGATAGCCTACAATTAAGCAAGTTGACAACATTTTAGGAAAAAATGGTCTTTTGCATTTGTGAAGACAGCAAAAATATTATCAGCTATAAGAATTCAGAAAGCATATAACTACATACCCATCCTCCAAATTTTACTCAAATTCATGATGGGACAACTGGATTTCCACATGTAAAAGAATGAAGTTGGACCCCTACACCATCTACAAAAATTAATTCAAAATGAAAGAATGACTTAAATATATGTACTAACACCACAGAACTCTTAGCAGAAAACATAGGGGCAAAGCTTCATGACACTGGATTTGGCAATGATTTCTTGGATATGACATCAAAAGCACAGGCAACAAAAGTCAAAATAGATAAACCAGACTACATCAAAATTAAAAACTTGTGCATCAAAAGACGTTATCAAGAAAGTAAAAAGACAATCTACAGAATGGGAGAAAACATTTGCAAATCATATAACTGATAGGGCATTAAAATACAAAATATATAAAGAACTCTACAACTCGCCAATTAAAAAATGGGGAAAGGACTTGAATAGACATGTTTCTAAAGAAGATCTATAAATAGGCAATAAGCATATGAAAAGATGCTCAACATCACTAATCATTAGGGAAATGCAAATCAAAACCACAATGAGATATCACTTCACACCTGTTAGGATGGCTATAATTAAAAAATTGGAAACTAACAACTGTTGGGGAAGATGTGGGAAAATTTGAACACTTGTGCACTACTAGGAGGAATGTAAAATGGTGGTGCCACTGTGGAAACTGGTATGGCAATTCCTCAAAAATATTTAAACATAATTATCATATGATCCAGCAATTCCACCTAGATATCTGTACACCCATATTTATAGCAGCATTATTCACAATATCCAAAAGGTGGGAGTGACCACGTCTGTTGAAGATGATTGAAGAAATAAAATGTGATATATACATATAATGAAACATTATGTAGCCTTAAAAAGGAAGGAAATTCTAACATATGCTATAATATGAGTGAAACTTGAAAGACATTATACAAGTGAAATCAGCCAGTCACAAAAGGACAAATATTGTATGATTTCACTTACATTAGGTATTTAGAGTAGTCAAATTCAGAGTCAGAACATAGAATGGTGGTTCCCAAGAGCTGTGGGGAGGGAGAGTGGGGATTTAGTGTTAAACAGGCATAGAGGCCAGGCGCAGTGGCTCATGCCTGTCATCCCAGCACTTTAGGAGGCCGAGGTGGGCAGATCACGAGGTCAAGAGATCGAGACCATCCTGGCCAACATGGTGAAACCCTGTCTCTACTAAAAATACAAAGAATTAGCTGGGCCTGGTGGCGCACACCTGTAGTTCCAGCTACTCGGGAGGCTGAAGCAGGAGAATCACTTGAACCCAGGAGGTAGAGGTTGCAGTGAGCTGAGATCGTGCCACTGCACTCCAGCCTGGTGACAGAGCGAGACTCCATCTAAAAAAAATAAAATAAAAATAAATAAATAGGCATAGAATTTCAGTTTTGGAGAATGAAAAAAGTTCTGAAGATGGATGGTGGTGATGGTTGCACGACAGTGTGAATGTATCTAATGCCACAGAATTGTATACTTGAAAATGGTTAAAATGATCAATTTTGTTATGTGTATTTTATCACAATAAAAAATCCCACAATCCATACAGAAACAGAAAGCACATAATATGGCAAGGAACATACAAGCCAGAAAACATAAGAGGACAGAGGCCCAAAATATCAATCATAACAATAAAGGCCAATGGGTTAAACCCCATTATAGACTTTAAGATGGAACAAGATTATTACAATTTTCTGCTATCTATAATAAAGATTATGAGGTATATTAGTCAAGCCAAAATTGTTATATACCGTTACTAACATTAAGAATAATCACATTAAGCATAAATTACTAGAAGTACTAAAAGAAGTTGGCAAGAATACAATGGTCAGAGGAAGTTTTAATACATCCCTTTCAGTCCTTGACAGATCAAGTAGGCAAAAAATTATTAAACTAGAGACATGGACAATGGTATCAAGTGCTAATAAGTAATGTGGAAAAACCACAGCAAAGAGAACCTTATTCTTTAAAAAAAAAATGTACTTGCCACATCCTTTGGCCAGAGAGCAAAACAATTTTTAAAAATGATGATTATATATAAAATAATTCCAACTACTTGAAAAATTTTAAAGTTAATTGAAAAACAACAACAAAGACACTCAAAGACATTTTGGCTGATCTAATCAGGTAAAAAGAAAATGACAAAATACACAATAGGAATCAAAAAGATATAGTCACAGATAGAGAGCTATTACTCTGCTAAACCTTATGTCAATCTATTTAAAATCAGAATAAAGTGAATGATATCACAGAAGAAAGTTAATTAGGAAAATTGACTCAAAAGAAATAAGAATATTTTAAGGGAAACCACTATAGAAGAAATTATAAAATTGTTAAAGCATTGCCTCTTTAGAAGATTCTGGGCTCATTTGACTGGTGATTCTTTTAAGCTCCCAGGGAATACAGTTCCCATGTATGTATATATATTTTTTTAGAGCACCAGAGAAACACAGAAAATACTCCTGGGTGGCTCACGCCTGGAATCCCAGCACTTCGGAAGGCCAAGGCAGGCGGGTTGCTTGAGCCCAGCAGTTCAAGACCAGCCTGGGCAACATGAGGAAACCTCATCTCTATAAGATATACAAAAATTAGCTGGGTGTGGTGGTGTGTGCCTGTGTACCTAGTTGCTTGGCAGGCTGAGGTAGAAGGATCACCTGAGTTCAGAGAGTTTGAGGTTGCAGTAAGCTATCAGAGGGAAACCCTGAGAAAGAAAGAGAGAAAGAGAGAGCGAAAGAAAGAAGGAAGGAAAGAAGGAAGGAAAGACAGAGAGAGAGAGAGAGAGAAAGAAAGAAAGAAAGAAAGAAAGAAAGAAAGAAAGAAAGAAAGAAAGAAAGAAAGGAAGGAAATGGAAAGAAAGGGAAAGAGAAAGAAAGGAAGGAAGGAAAACAAAGGGGAAGAGAAGAGAAGACAAAGTAAAAGGAAAGGAAGGAGGGAAGGAAGGAAGGAAAGAAGGAAGGAAGGAAGGAAGGAAGGAAGGAAGGAAGGAAGGAAGGAAGGAAGGAAGGAAGGAAAAGAAAATACTCCTGGGCTCATATGGCCAGATTTCACAATGAAAACATTTGTCATTTTTGCTGTTGATCTTTTTTTTAAGTAAAACATAAAATGCTACTCATAAAGTTGAAGTCTCCTTATTGCCTCATTTCCTTCCAACCACTCCCCTTCTCCTGCCTAAACAATCATGGCCATCCCTGGATCCTTAAGGTTCTGAGATAAAGATGGCATTTTTAATTGGTGGGGACAAGATAAATGATGAAGCAAATGGTGGAAAGGAAAATGCTCTGCTGGTAGGAAAAAAGTAAAGCCAGGCCCCTATGTCATTCCACACACCAAAATAAATTCCATGTAAATTAAGAAGTTA
Organism: Homo sapiens; assembly: GCF_000001405.40. Classification (NCBI taxonomy): domain Eukaryota; kingdom Metazoa; phylum Chordata; class Mammalia; order Primates; family Hominidae; genus Homo; species Homo sapiens. The sequence goes on along the minus strand of NC_000001.11, from coordinate 116,080,313 downwards.
AATATAAAAACAAATCATAAAAGAAACCAGAAGTAAAAGGAAGTGAACGTTTATCTCCACTTGTGTACATGAGGAACTTATGTTGAAGGTACTGAAAATGTTAGCTAAGTAAAAACTTTACACTTCAAGATTAGAAAACATAATTTTGTAACAGGATGAGGCAGAGAATCTGAAAAGGCAATTCACAAAAGAAGAAATACAAATGGCTAACAAGCATAAAACTATTACATCTCTAGTTACCAAAAACATGCAAATGAAGCCCTAATAATGAGATATCCCTTTCATTCAACCCTCTCACCCCCCATATTTTGATGATTTGGCAAAGATAAGGAAAAGGACACTGTGGGGAATCTGGTCCTATATATTAGCAATGACAGTCTAAACTGATATGAATATTTTCATTAAAATTGTCAAAATCATGCTCATTGACCCCATGAATCTGTATCTTAAAATTTAACTGAAGGAAACATGGGAAGTACGCTAACTCCCTGTATGCCTGATTTACAAGAGGGATAATTGGACACAAACTAAATATCCAATAAGTAAACATTGGGTAAATACATTATTATACAGCCATATAATACAAGGCTTTGCAGCCTTTAAAATAATAAGGAAAAATAATAATATCAGGAAAATATTTGTAACATATCAACAAATGGGAAAAAAGCAGGTCACAAAACATTACCCACAGATGGTGAAAAGGTTAGGTGTGGTTATCGCGGGGTGGCAGAATTGCATTTAAGTTTTCTTTTCCATGTTAGTCTTTCTTGTATTGTCTTTTTTTTTTTTTTACAACTGAAGCAGTATTATTTTTATAATAAAAAATAAATAATATACAAAATAAAGCTCAATATTCAGAGAAGATAGCATTAAAGTAGCTCAGGGAGAATATATAAAGTAGAAAGGAAAGAGGGCAAAGGATAGAATCTTTATGTGAACAACTAGGTAGAACTGAGTCTGGTAAAATTTATTTGTCCTTAAAACAATGAGACTTTCCCATCCACCTAAAGGGTGGTGTATATAATGTGCAATTCAATTTGCTTTCTGTTCATTCACCTAAGTTTTCCTTAGGTTTCCATAATTTAAACACAAATGTCACTCTGGACAGATCGCACTCTTTCCCTGAAGGCACCCTTAGCCAGAATCCTCAGGATCCTTCTCTCCCTAGATAATGGTGCAGCCAGCGCTCCTGGTTTCTCTCCTAGGTTCCCTTGTAGAGCTCTAGATGGAATACACAGACAGACAGACAGACAGACAGACACACACACACACACACACACACACACACACGAGTCCCCAGTTACCTTTCTCCCATACTCACCCCTGCAAAAAGATTCCAAAAACAGAAGAGAGAAGGTCTTTCGTTTAGGGTCAGAAAGTTGTTTTTTCATGTAGTCCCTCCAATTCCTCCCACAAGGAGGCTATGGCCTCCTCCCCAGTTTTGCTCGAGGTATTCTTCAGAAAAGTGGGAGGAGAAGGCAGATTACAGGCATTCCTCTATAGGAAATGAAAGATCGAAAGATCTTCAAGGACAATAACAAGAGAAATAATCTTACAAAAGTCACATTTCTTCAGTTATATTATTAGTTGGCAAATGAAGTGGATCAAGTGAAAATGTTTTCTTGAAACATTTCATGTCGATTTCATTTTTTGGAAAAAGTACAGCAATATGAGATGTCCCTTTAAAAAACAACACTTTAAAAATGTTTTTTTAAAATAAAAGGGACCTCTCTCATTGCTATTTACAAATACATAAATGCTACGCTTCTTCCAAATACATAAATGTGCATTAAATTCTTATTTTAAAATCTTTGACAGTTCCTAAGGGGTATAATTTATTGAAGCCCTATTACATAGCAGTTGGCATTTTACATACATGTCACTTAGTAATCATCACAGCAGTTATAATAAAGATGGTATTATTAACATTTCATGTTACATATGAGGAAAATGAGAATGTTTCTGATTCTAAAATTAATTTACATGATATTATGAAAACTTCAGAGAGTACTTACAATATATTTGGGGAATATTTTGAACTATTTCAAAGCTAAAAGTTATTAAGCATCAAATAAATTTAATGAGGAAAATGCAAAAGAAAAATTGGTGGTGATTGGGAAGCCCTGTTTGTTTACTCTGGGCTTTGAAACGTGGCTGATCTGATAATGGGCCTACTGTGTGTCAGGTAAGAGGATATGTATATGCATCCCTTTCCTGACAGCAGCAAGCCTACTCTCAGGTAACAGGTTTTAGCTAGTGACATAATTAAAGCGTGGGGTGAAGAATAATTTAGAAGTTGTGACTTGGATTTCCATGAAACTCTAGCAGAAATCCCAGCCTGAGATATCATTTCTTAAGAAATTCTTCCTTAAAAGAAATTATTTTCTGTTACTAGCTAGTTTCCAAAACTTGGATATCTGAGGTTCCCTCTAATTTCACTAAGGCTTTTACCTTTGAGATACTTCAAACCCCTCCCCCAATCCCTCCTACTTCCTATTCCCTATATCCTATTCAGGTCAGACTCTGGAAAGGCTCAGGCTTGAGGAACCCAGCTCACTGATCTTCGACAGCACCAAGCCTACTATGGTGCCTGAGACACAGGAGGCCCTCAGTGAATATTTCTTGAATGTACTTGGCAGAATGTCAGGGTAATATTTTCCCCAAAGCAAATAAAGTGATCTCAAATGGCACCCTAGAGATACGGAGAAGAATTTTGCCATCTTCTCTATGAGATCTTAACTGGATTCAGCCCATTAATGAATCTTGACAAACTTCTCAATTCATATTATTGACTGGCAAATATATTCCTCCACTAATTCTGGAGAAAAAAACTCAAATGTTTATAAAATACAGGGAGAATCCTTAACTAATTAGAATCCTTCTTTAAAAGGCCTTCGTCCAGAAGGAGCCTAATCAAAATGTCCAAGCCTTGGCTTCATGAGGATTCCACCAGTGTCTGTTCTCAACTTGCATTCTTGTCCTGAAAACTAGGGAGGGGTTGGAACAATTTCTAATTATCTTTGAAAAATAAGTGACACTATTTCTCTTGAATTAACTCTTTCACAGGAAGCAGGGCAGAAGGGGCAGATAAGTGCTAGGCTTTAACACATGAAAGATAGGGTCTAGACCTAGCACTGCCACTTACTGTGACCTTGAGAAAGTTATGTAATGTCTCTTAGCTTCATTGTTCTCATCAATAAAGTAGGGATTATAAAACCACCTAATAGAGCTGTGAGAATTAAATGACATAATAACCATGGAATGCATTTAACATGATGACTTGGTGCATGTACTCAATGGATGGTAGTGATGACCATCATGTCATCATCACCACCATTAAACAGAGCCTGAGGAAAAATAAGACATGTTATCTATTTTATTTTTTTAACTTTTTTTTTTAAGAAAGAGTCTCACTCTGTCGCCCAAGCTAGAGTGCAGTGACACAATCTCGGCTCACTGCAACCTCCACCTCCCGGGTTCAGGTGATTTCCGGCTAATTTTTGTATTTTTAGTAGAGACAGGGTTTCAACACATTGGCCAGGCTGGTCTCAAACTTCTGATCTCAAGTGATCCGCCCATCTCGGCCTCCCAAAGTGCTAGGATTACAGGCGTGAGCCATTTCTCTCTTTTAATCCAGCACCTAGAATACTTACCAAAATATCTAATGAATAAATAAATGTGATTTTTCCCTTAAATAATATCTTGAATACTAGAAAGTAGTTGAAGAAATCTTTTGTACACATCTACCTAAGGATAAACTTGAAGCTAATTGGGGAGGTTTGAAATGCTTGAAAGGAAACTGAAGATATACAAAGTCTAGGTTAGCACTCTGTTTCTCATTGGTGTGATTTTATGACGCCTTTGCTAACCAATTTTATTAGTGATTTTATTCCTCTACTTAATTCACTCTAATATTCCACATAACCAAAATAACACTAACTTTACTCTTTGGTGAAATTTCTTTTCCAAAATTCTTTGCTGTTGCTCTGGGTCTTCAATCTTGGCAATTCTTCTCCTTATCATCTAAATCCTTATCAAGGCCTTCCCTCTCCTGGTGGACTGGATTGGGAAAATCATAAATTCTTTCATGATGACATTAGTGAATCAATAACTAAGGAATTCAACAGCCCAGTGGCGTCCGAAGGCATTTTCTGGTCTTGAAGATGTTTTTGAACCTACTTAACAATAAATACCTTTTTCGAGGATGTGGCAGGATGAATACATAAATACAACCAGCCTGTCAAACTTTCCCCTTAGGCTTTACTCTCTGTTGTTTTCAGCTATTTATTCGTTCCTCTAGCAAAGCATTCCTCTGACAAAGGTGACCTATATTTAGTCAACATATGAGAGCCATCTTCTGAGTTATCTAGCAAACAGAAAAACCTAAACATTGATCAAACACCTAATGATTTTTTTCTTAATGTGTTTGATGATCCTCAAATGCCCAGAACCAAATAGATATCATTTCTCAACCTTTTATATGGTGTTTCCATTAGATGAATTATTTTAAAAGACCTGACTATTACAATATTGATGACTATGTCAAAAATTCATCCAAAGAATACCATCATAGGATAGACTGCCTCTCTGTTGAGACAGGGAGATATCTCAATTTTTAAAAATCACCAAATTCATTCATTCTACAAATCAGTAGGCTGAATGGTACTATGGTAATAAGTCTATAGGTACACGGACAAGATTATTATTTAATAATTAATCTTTCTTTGCCTACCTCCTTTCTCAAGGTAGACATCATTAACCCTATAAAAAAGGGATCAGTTCTCTCTTGAATGTATTCTCATCCTAACTACAACTTTAAACAAAATTGTGAGATTAGATAATGAGAAGGTTAAGGTGAAATGAAGGTTTTTCTAGTATCTATAAGCAGCTTTCTCAGACATAAATAATCAAAAGTCCTTTTCTCAAATTGATTTTGGGGAAGAGTATCCCTTTTGAGTACATTGCTGAATAGACTAGTTAAACTAATCGTGATTGCCTTGTGTCTGGGCACCCACTCATTCAGAAATGTAGTGACTACTGTGTCCCAGATACCATGCTAGTTTTTAGGGTTACTAAGATGAATAAGATAAGGTCCTTGCTTGCCTTTGAGTTCAATGTAACAATAGAGCTCATATGAAAGAGTGGTGAATATCTGAATGCCCATGATACATTGGGCCCAGAGCTATGGGTTGGAAAAAAGAAAGACATGTACCCTGTTTTTGTAGAGCTTATGGCCTAGTAGGGAAGACATCATCATTTATTAAATGACACAATAAGACTTTAATGGAAGGCTGAGGGCAATGGCTCATACCGGTAATCTCAGTACTTTGGGAGGCTGAGGCTGTCACATCACTTGAGCTCAGGAGTTCAAGACCAGCCTGGGCAACATGGCAAAACCTCATCTCTACAAAAAAATTAGCCCTGCATGGTGGCGCATGCCTTTAGTCCCAGCTGCTTGGGAGGTTGAGGCAGGAGGATCACTTGAGCCTGGGAGGCGGAGGTTGCAGTGAGCCAGGATCGTGCCACTGTACTCCAGCCTGGGCAACAGAGCGAGACCCTGTCTCAAAACAAACCAAACAAAGAGTTTAATGGAAAAGTATAGGTTGATTACAGAGAACATAACAAAAGTATAAGTAATAACAGAACTGATTAACTGATTTTGATAACTGCTAAAACACTGTTAAGATACAGCAACAAATGAAACTCAAAAACACTTATGAGTTTTAAATTATTTTGTAAGCAGTGTATTCTTTCAAACAACAAGTGACAAAATGTCTCAGTGGGAGACCTCAGGCTTAAATAGTTAGAAAAGATCAACAATAAATGCAGATTTGGGGCTGTTACCCATGATTTCTGTCTAGCTTCTCCAGGTGATGACTGAATTATTCATTAAATTAATAACATACACCGATGACTCCACTAGGTCTTGTCTACCTATGATCTTTTGACACACACTTTAAGACACCTGTGACAGGCTGAATAATGTTCCTCCCCAAAGCTATCCATATTTAAATCCCCAGAACCTGTGGATGTTACCTTTTATTGCAAAAAAAGAATCCAGAAACCAGCTCTGCTGACATCTTCATTCAAGCCCCTTAGGACTCATTTCGTAGTCTGACTTTCAGAGCTGTCATAAAATAAATTCATCTTGTCCAAATTACCACTAAGTTTGTGGTAATTTGTTATAGCATCAATAGAAAACCAATGCAAGACCCCATTACTTACGAAAACTGAGAAGGCCTTTGGGAGTATTCTTTAAAGAAAAGTTGGTTTGATTGGCATTTCCTAACCACTGGTCTTTTTGGCTGCCATTCTTCCTCTAAAAGCAAAATACTCTTCATCTTCTTGCTCTTCCTTTGTTATAGTACCCACTCAGAGGAAACTATCATGGAAAAATTAATTACAACAAATAATTTGGAAAGAATATTATTTGAAAGTAAATTGCTGCTCTTTGCCAATATTCTTCCCTGTCAACTTCGGAATTAAGTTTTCCAATCTAACTATGTTGCATCAGAGACAGGCATATTATAGCTATTACAATTTATTTCAGGTCACTGTTTTACTATTTTATATTATCAAGGAAATGGGGGGGGGTGTGTGTGTAAGTGTGAGGCCTTAAGGCATCTGCTGATCATAGTTGATCTTTGTTTTCCTCAAAAAGAATCACGAGTGTGGTGAGATGTAGTATTTGATGTAGTCCTCAGGTCATTCAGTACCCACTGAAAGCATCAGAGGGCAAAGGGAGTTGTTTGGCAAACCACACCCTAGTTGTAGACAGTGTAAGGCATGTTGTAGTCCTTCTTCTTTTACACTGATATGGTGACATGCATCTATAAAAGTGACTCCAGGAAGCAAATTAATCTGTTGTATTATCATCACCAAGAACTGCTTAGCTTGAACGCTTCTAAAGCTGTAATCATCTGATGTGACAGATATTCACCAATTTTTAAGGGTTTCCCAGTGGTGAGTGAATATCTTCTGTTTGCCTCTGCCTCTCTGGATCCACTCCTCCTGTGGTGCCGTGCTCCACAAGGCTGACCTTTACAGACTCTATTAATGGCTTCCTTTTGTATAATGCTTTATCTTCCATGGTTTCTAGAAGCTCTGCACACATACTGGTAAATCACTCATTAATTAAAGTCCTCCAAGTTGACTGTGTGCTTTTACATTCATGCACAATCATTTTATTCCATTTCTTAAAGTTATATTTTGAAGCAAAGCAACTCTATCAATCAATTCTATTCAAAATCAATTGTTCTGCAGAGTCTAGACTGAAGTTCTTTTAATACTAATTTAGCTACATCTGCCCTTCACATTTTTCAATAAATATGTAATCTTTTCTAAGCTTTATAAGACAGCTCTAGAGTCTTGGCTGAAAAGTTGTCTAAATGTTTCCACAAATGCAAAGCTCTTTTTCAAGAGAAATTGAGACTTGCAGGTGGGCAAGTTTATAGACTTTCTCCATAGGGAAGAGGGATAATTCTTCATCTGGGAGGAATAAGAGTGAGATTTCTATATTTTTGTAACAGAATATCAATAGTCTTGACTTTAAAGTATGACATGAAAAGCATTTAAATCCCTTTAATTAGCAAGTACTCCAATCATTTACTGGAAAATTTAAACATGAAAGGACTTTGATCCAATAAAAATTTGCCAACATTTTGTTCAACATTATTGAGATCCAACCACCTAAATCATAGAACTATGTTTTTACTTCATCCTATGCATATGAAATTATATACATACATTTCCCTACTGAAGGTATTTACCTCCATTGTTTTATTACAACTAACAATGCTGCAATGAACATTCTGTAAAAATCTCTTGTACACATGTATATCAGGCAAGTACCAAGGCAAATATTAAGGGTAGTATGTTTCACTTTTTCCAACTGCATGTTTTGATCCATTCAAAACTGTGAAATCATTTTTGTGTGTCTTCACTAGTATTCCTTATGAAATGAAATAAAACAGAAAATATAATGCAGTGCATATATTAAGTGAAGGTATTGTTTTATAACACCATTTCAATTATATATATGCACACACACACGTGGGTATGTATGTAGGTGTGTGTACTGTGTGTCACAGTATAAAACATTTTCTTTACAGTGGGTTATAGTAAAATTTTCTGAAAATACTCTTTCATGATACATACATAGAAGCAGAATTTCTGAATCCTAGACTATGTACATTTTCAGCCTTACTTGCTAATGACAACCTAGTTGATGAATAAATTTATGCTTCTATCAGGATGTCACTAAATTCCTTTTTCTTCATAGCTTTAACATTTGATATTCTCTTATTTTCCCAATCTAATGGATTTTTAAAGATATCTTCATGTGGTTTCAGTTTGCATTTCCCTGATCCTGTAGTGAGGTTGAGCATCTTTTCATCTGTGAATCGTGAATTGCCTAATCACAGTTTTTGTAAACTTTATTACTTTTATCTCTGATTTGCAGTAAATCTTTATATAGTCTGGATATTAATCCTTATTGCTTATAAATGTTGCCCTAATCTATTGCTTTCTTTTTTTTTTTTAAGATGGAGTCTTGCTTTGTTGCCCAGGCTATAGTGCAGCAGTGTGATCTTGGCTCACTGCAACCTCCGCCTCCCGGGTTGAAGCGATTCTCTGGCCACAGCCTCTTGAGTAGCTGGGATTACAGGTACATGCCACCACACCTGGCTAACTTTTTTTTTGTATTTTTAGTAGAGATGGGGTTTCACCACGTTGGCCAGGCTGGTCTCAAACTCCTGACCTCAGGTGATTTGCCCATGTTGGTCTCCCAAAGTGCTGGGATTACAGGCATGAGCCACTGCGCCCAGGCTGCTTTCCTTTTAACTTTGTAGCATGTTCAGTCATACAGAAACAAGTTTTAAATTTAGATCAAGTCAAATATATCAATTAAAAAATAATTTATAATTTTCAGTTCTTGTCTGATAAATCTATCCATCCTCCAAGGTCATAAGAATATTCTATAATTTTCAAATAGTTTTAAAGTTTTGCTGTTTTTCATTGAGGCCTTCAATCTATTTGGAATTTATTTTTATTATGGGGAGAAGATTTAGTATCAATAATTGTTCACTTTTTCCTCTAATGTGTCATGCTATCTTTAACAAATCTGTTATGTTCTATTGATCTATTTGTCTACTGCTGACCAATAATACAGCTTCATAAGTTTTTATATCTAGAAAGTCAAGTCCCTTCTGTTTGTTCTTCTTTATCAGAATTGTCTTGAATATTTTTGGATCTTTGCTTTTCCATTTGAATACCAGAAGTATTATTCCAGGTTTATTAAAAAATCTTGTTAAGATTTTAATCAGTATTGCCCAACTGACAACATCTCTGGCTGATACTGCCTCAGAGAAACCAAACGGCTCCAGCACTGTGAATCTGAGCAGAAAAAAGCATACTCATCAAAAGTATGGCCTCCACCTTGCTTCTACCTTCCAAGCTCCATTTGTATCTGATTGAAGGAAACCAAACTGCACCTGGCTGCAAGGGGTAAACTTATCTGCAAGAAATTCAGAAAATGTACATTTTAGCTTTAAAGCTTCTGTAGTATAAGAAGATAGAGTAGAGCAGTGGATTTCAAACTATGGGTTGCAACCTATTAGCGAGTCATGATATCCATTTATTGAGTTATAAATGGCATTTTGAAAAGTGAAATAGAACATAAGTTATCAGTATGCCTAGCAAGATTAAGTATTATTGCATAAAATATATACATTTTTATGATTCATAGATATTTTATATATACATATATATTTGTAGGTGGGGAAGTATGACACGATGAATATGTAAAATGCATTTCTTACTGTGGGTTATGATAAAAAAAAAAAGGCTGAAGGCCAAGGTACCAGGAAGGTGAAGAGATGCTGTGTGCCAGTTTACCATATCTACTATAGTATCTCTTATTTTATTAAGGAAGCATCCTTTTATTCCTACTCTGCTAATAGCTTTTATTTTGAATGGATGTTGAATTTCATCAAATAATGTTTATTTTTCTATTGAGGTAATCATAAGCTCTTTCTCCTTTGATGTACTACATTGATGGATTTTCCACAATGCATTGTCTTTGCATATTCCTCATTCTAAAAGTATTTTGATAGTTAACTTTTGTGTCCATCAGTCTACAACTTTCCTACAACCCCTGTCCCACATATTACTTAACTTTACTAGCAGGTTCTGCATTTGCCCAACTTGTCAAAGCTACTACTGTAGATTTTGAGACATTCTGGGAGAACAAAAAAAAGGTCTATGTTTTATGATTCTTTATTACATTCACAAGAAGCCAAAATATCTGCATTTTATTTAGCTTAAAAATGTAATCATTTATAGATATTTTTCCAATTTAAGAACCAATGATAAAGCATTTGTATGGAGAAGTCCTAATGTGAAGCTGGTTTTTAATTCTGATACAGTAGTGACAATTATTTCAATATGTATTTGTTATGAATATAAATCACCTACTAAAAGTATCTTCATCAATTTGCCCACCATAAAAATATCTGTCTGATTTATGGTTACCTAAACAGTGTCTCAGAAACTCATTTTCTTCATTTATTTGCCTCATTTTGTTTATTTGCTCATTTTTAAATACTAAAGAATATCTGCATTGCTTGAAAGTAGCCAAATAACAAGTATTGGTTTTACTGGGCTGTGGTTGTAACTCACAAAATCAGAAAATTTCAACATGGTTTCTTTCAAAATATTTGTGAGGTGTAAATATTTTGGACAAGCTGCTAATGTGAACTTTCACCCTGGAAACTCTGGGGTTTCTTATATATCTTACATTTATTTTTCTTGCTTTATTTTAGGAAAAAAAATTTTTAATTTTGAATAGAATTAAAAAAACAGGATACTTTTTACAAACCATCCGCACAACCAAAATACATTACCTGTCAATGAAAAGTTTTCCAATAATTTAATCAATGCAAATATACACATATACACATTCTCTACATCAATAGTATTCAACAGTTTTTATCAAAAGGAGAAAATTTTGATTTTATAAAGGCAGTGGAAATAAAAAACAGTAATTATTAAGTTTTGCTCAAGGACCATCTAGAAGGAAAATTTAGTGACACATCTGAAATAAGCAACTGATGGCCAGCCTAGCCTTATTAAGTAACACATATTCAAATTGTAGATCTCCCCCTCCTATCTTCCACCCCATAGCTAAGAAAGGAAACCCAGGGATAGAACTAATTGAACTCTATTAGCCAGAGGCAATCGAACCCAGTGCCAATAGAGAGATGGACTCCCAATTAGTCTTCAAATGGAACAAAGTCATAACACTGGTTTTCTTTCGATGTTGGACGTATGGGTGATACGTTTCTAAATTTATAGTTTCCAAATTTTCTGTAATGAGATATATTACTCTTATAATACAAAGAAAGCTCCAACTAATCAAAAATTATATATATGTTAGTTCACTGTTTTAAATGCCCAACCACCATTTAAGAATAACTTTTAAGTGTCTTTGTAAGTTCTTCCTCTCTTCCTATTCTGATGTTGAGAAGGGGTCTATTTTCCAGAGAAAGTTAAGCAGGACTTGACAATTTGGGAGTTTGGGTCAGATTTGCTTGGAGTTTGTAAAAATTATACTGGGAGGAGTTCCACAATCTCCCTGATGGCTAGAAACAGTAATATTTACTAGGTTCTTACTGTGTCTACGCCAATGTTCTGGGCACAGCAGGGAAAAATAAACAGTAGTAGAGATGGCCTCTGTTTATGAAGAGCCCAACTAATAATCAAGGGCATAAAAGACATAAAAATAACAATTACAAAGGTACATACTGATACAGTGGAAACCAGAAGTCAGTGTGCAAGAAAACATGACAGTATTTGGAGCCAATTGGGGTGATGCTTCCAGCACTTCCAGAAGCAGCCACAGTGACGTCTTCTATTTACCTCTAATTCAATTTCTTTTTCTCCAAGAGGTTAGTAGAAATGGAAATTCTGAAAACACAGAAATTTTCCTCACTGGGAAAGTGACCTAAATCAATGCTGCCTAAGCTTGTTGACTCCAGGTTTATATTCCTATTTGAGATAGTATTCAAGTTTCATGAGAAAACATGTTTTCAAGACATGATTTTAGGAAATCAAATACAAGATTCACTTGAAAGTTGGTAGCACTTAATGAAAAACCAAGGTTTCCCATGAAATTACTGAACCTTCCATTTTGATTAAACAGATTGGGGCTGATCTAGGACAAGAAGTTCTTAAATATTGTCCAAATCCCTCATGGCACAATGCTGAAAGCAAAACAAACAAAAATTTATCAAAGATAATTTCATTTTCTCTCTTATTAAAAACTGCACCTTTTTTTTCCTCCAGGTGCTCAACATGTCACTGTTTAACTGCCCTCTACTTAAAGCTTTCTCATTTACTATGCATGATTTTGAAGTACTAGAATCTCAGATGGAAATTTTTCTGGATGTGCATATTAGTGGGAAAGGAAGAAATCATACAATATAGTATCCAAGGGAGCTGACAGGCAGCCAGAGCTACACCCCTGACTCTGAGTAAACCGCTTTGGTATATCTGGCTTTTCCTAATGAATCATCTGTGGGACTCAAGGCACCAGCAGCCCAAGTCAATCAGCAGGCTGGGAACCAAGCTGAGGACTCATATTTCATCAGCTAAGAAAAAGCTGGAGGGTCTCGGGACACACAGATGACCTCTGGGTGCTTTTCCCTGGACACAAAATGAAAATGCTGATGTTAACCTGTACCAGAAGATTCCTGAGGAGCAACTGATAGGGGCAAATGTCCAACATGGTATAAGGATTAAATCTTAATAATAGCTTATCTTACCCCACCAAAATGGTGAGAAATTTTACATATCTGCCTTTATTTAGATCATGATGAAGGAAAAGCGACATGATGAAATCTCTAGAAACAAATGAGCCTACCACTTTGGAATGTGGGTTTGGGCTGTTCTGCCAGATGTTATGATTCTGAGTAGAACTTAAATTCTAAACAAATTAACAACTATTCTCTCAATGCAGTGATGTTGTCTTTCATGAAATCTCTTCTCCAACTTCTGTGCCTAAAAACATCAGTCCATGCCAGGTACCATCTATGTACATTCAAGCCAAGCCTCTATTTTTACAACTCTCTTAGGAGTCATGGAAGAACCTGCCTTAGCCAGAGGCATAAAAGACGATCCTTTGCTTCTTAGGGGGAATCTGGGGCTCTTCACTTGATCATCTGAGTCTCTTCATCTGCATCATAAAATTCTTCCTCTTCCTCACTCTCACTCCCTAAAGAGCTCTCCTTGTCCACACACTGAAACAGGAAAGAAGAAAAGGGCAGTGAAATGATGTTATGACATTTCTGAAATGGAAACTACCATCTAGCTATTCAACTGACAAATGTATTTATATGACATTCATTCCCCCAAGAAATAGCCCCTAAAATATTCTAGGAAAGCTAATGAATCATCGATCATCCTTATTTCTCTGAAAATCAGCTGCTGTTAGATCCCACTTTTGTTTTCCAGCAGTTTTACTCAGTTCTATTTAATTTAACGCAAACCTTCTTTTTTTCATTAACTGCCACTATCCAAGCGGTATAATAATTAAGAAAAATATCACACCTGTTGGGGGTCCAAAGCCTGTAAAGATAATGCTTCTTCTCCCAGCCTGCGATACGAATACACCTGAAGGTCGGAGAATGTTTCTAGCAGCGGACTGTTAAGGGTCTCCGGCAATAACAAACTCAGGAGGCCGGAGGTCAGACCCGTGGCTCCGAAGACAATGAATGGTAAAGACCATTGCACATATTTCTGCAGAGGCGGGGAGTGGAATGAAAATAAACCAGAGAATTAGTTTCCTTAGCATGTAATACAAGCAGTCTCATGACTGAAAAACTGTCATGTTTACCACCTAGTTCATGACCTCGCACTAGACAACACTATAAGCCACTTCTTTCCACATAAAGAATTATCCTGGGAAATCAGAGAATGATTCCTCAGGCATGTAGAGATGGGAGTGAGTAAATAAAAGGACAGCACTAGTCTGTACATTAGAAGCAGCAATTTCATGTCCGGGGTGGGTACTGTAGGAGAAGAGGCCAGGCTGCCTCTGAGCAGGCAGGCCTATATGGCCAGAGCTGACAGGACATCTTGTAGTTCAGCTTCCATTCCAGGTGAGCACACTTTGCACAGAGGCATCCCAAAATACTTGCTGATGATGAACTTTAAAGTTCTTAATCCTGGAATTGGCCAAACCATCCTATATACCTTAAGACCGTAACTGAGAGTTCCAGGGATTAAAGGTGTAAAAACTCTTTTAAAAAACCAACCCTACGACATACATATGGCTTATAAACTTCTAAACTGAACATGGTTAAGGGCTGGTGATACAAGCAATTGTTTCAGAGATCCAAAACATATTCTCAGGAAAACGGAAACATTTCATCACAAAGAGATTCAAAGAAAACATGAAAAACAGTTGCTTCCAGGGTGTTTCTCTGGGGCTTTTCTGAGCTGATCAACATTTTAGAATTCCTGCTAAGCTTTATGATCTTCTGGTTTAGGCTTCCAAATTTCGTGGGTAGGTCCACTACTAATTAGGATTTCCCCTCAGACAATTTTTTCCTGATTTTTCAAAGTGAAGAGATGATGGAGAAGGAGGTGGAAAAGGGAGAAGGGGGAGGAGAAGGGAGAGATGGAGAGAACCGAGCAGAAGACAGGGATGAGGAGGAAGAGGGAGGAGGAGAATCTCTCATCTCTAGCCATCTACACTCAAACATATGTCCAGCACTGTGGGCCTGTTGTTGAAACAAGGGGAACACACACTTTCCCTTCTTCTAACCTTGTAGGAAGCAACAGAGACACAGTGCTGGGTATTATAATGTTGTAGGATAGCTATCCAAAGTCAGATATCTCTAACAGTACCTATATTTTGCAGAATAAAACACAGACCTACATGACTCCTTTAGGAGAAGGGTCTTGTGAACTAAAATTAATCATGAGACATGGAGAGAGATACTCTGAGAAGGGAAATGTACTGCACCTCAGAAAATGAAAAGGTTATAATGGCATTTCAGAGACCTGCCTAAGTAATGAACAGTTGTCTACAGAACAGGTCCACAAGTCCCACATCAAATCTAGTTGCTTTCAAAAAGTCTTGGCTGTGGAAAGTCACAAATCAAACCAAGGAGAGACTTGCGTAGGGGTCCCCTGGGTTCTTTCACAGAATCTGAGCATTTTAAGATGAAGGATTTTAGGGCTGTCATTTAATCTGGTTCCCTTTCTTTGACTATACAAGTTAGAAAGTTTCAAAAAAAAAATATTAACAGACACAGTGAGAGACATATTTCTCCTCTAATGTTATTTTCCAGGAGGTGTGTTCTTGGGGGAAGGTATTTAACCTCTCTGTAGCATGTCTCATATTTAATACAGGGGTAACAACAATGCCTTCCTCTTATGGTTACTATGAGGACTGCATGTGATGATATGTAGAAAGTGCTTGGCATAGAGCCCAGCACACAGCAGAAGTGTCATACATACTTATTAGTTGACTAACTTTTTCATGGGGACAGGAATGGGGCACACTGGCATTAGCAGACCCTCCAACAAATCCAGATGAACAAAAAATCAGACCCACTGGAGGCAAATGAATCCTCGATAAGAGTCCATCTGCCCTGACGGAATACTATCTAAAAGGGCCAAGGTTCACATTTGTGTCAGCTGATCTTAAATGACATCTGTTCATCACCTCTTTCTACTAAAAAGCATAAGCATTTCCAAAGCAGAGAATCAAGAAAAACAAAACTAGAAGGTACAAACCAACCAGTGAGGGGATGAAGGGAGCAATAATCCCACCAACTCGGGAGAACATGGAACAAGTTCCAAGCCCAACATTCCTGAAAAGCATAAGTAAAAATACATCAGTAAGTTCTAGCGGAGGAATTAAGAGACCCTTGGGGGGCAGCAGCGGGCCTTGAATAACATGTCCTGAAGTGGAAGCACAGGATCCTAGAGAACAGTGGGTTCTAGAGCTGCCTACTAGATGTTCCTGAGATGCTAGGAATGTTCTATAATTACCCAGTCCAATGTGGAAGCCACTAGACACAAGCACTACTGAGTGCTTGAAATGCAGCCAGGAAGGATGAAGAACTGAATGTTTAATTTATTTAATTTTAATTAATTTACACTTAAATAGCTACATGAAGCCAGTAACTACCATATTGGACAGTGGATCCACAAAGGATGATATAGAAATGAGCATTTGAATATTTTTAAGTTAAAAGTTCTCATGGATTTTCATGCCTTAGATCTCCTACAGACTGCCAGGGTTTTATGATCTGAAAAGGCTGCTCATTTATTTAAACTCAACTAACTAATTAACAATTAACAGGTCAATCATATAAATAGAAATTGACTAAGCGTGTACTGTCAGGAAACCAAGAACACCTTTATGGGGAGTGCAGGCATAAAAAAGATAGGAAGGAGAGAGGGAGGGAGGGAGAGAGAATGATAATTAATGGTTTTGGGTAGAGGGATACAGCACTCTGTAATCCCAGCTGAAAAGTTCATACCCACATTTGCTCTCAAAATTGTCCCAGAGTGGACAAAATCATCATCCTAGTTTTATAGCCAGTAGCCAGGTAAAGTAGGTTATAGGACCAGCTAGGAAATTACTAGCCAATTGCAGACACTCTGCTCTCTTACTAGGAAAAATAATTTTAAATTAACAGGCAGAAAGAACCATGAAGCTTCTTGCATGGATAAGGGAAGGAGAAGGATTGTTTGGAATGATCCTCTAAAAGACTGAGAAAGAGCTGGCTGAGCGAATACCTGCCCAGGCCACAGAAGCAGTTCTGCAAAGCCTCAGCTGCACCCCCATCCTTCAAATTTGGGTGTGTTTCTTGCTTTCAGACTTATTTTATGAAGGGAAATTTAGGCTGGATATTTATTCTTTTCAATATAAACATATCCTATTCATTAAGAACCCAGTTTTAACAATTGCTGTTTAACTCTGATATTCACTTATTACTATATGAAATTATCTTCTAAAAATGTGTGTATTTTGTGTTAAAATGTAGGCTCTGTGAGAATAGGGAGCTTGTCCCCATGTCTGTGATGTGTGATGCAGGATGGGTGACTGAATAAATAAAATTCACCAAAATAATAATAGCATCTGTGCACTGTTTGGGTGACAGAATATGCCTAGCATAGAGTACTTCTCTTACAACTTACACTAAGGAATTCAGTCCACCATAAAGTGACATTTTCCTAGCAGAGCAGGCAGAGAGCAGTCTGCCAAGGCAAGCTCTCACCCTAAACTGCTTGCTGAATTACTGCTGCCCCAAACTAACTCCAGAAGCAGATGAAATGAGTACCACACCTCTGTTGGTGCAAGAATGGATGACAAAGTGTAGAATGTGTGAAGAATGAGGCTGTGTGAGACACGTACCTGATGACTGTAGGGTAAAGCTCAGAGGTGTAGATATAAACAATGTTAAAGGCAGCACTGATGGTCAGCTTCCCCAGCAAGGACAAGGAATGGCTGTTCACCACTGCAAACACACCTGTGTCTGAGGAGGACAAGGGCAATGCCTGTGAGACCCACAGTTGAAACAATTCCTCTAAATGGCACATTTCATTTTGATGGAGCAGGTGGCATTCATGTTGATCTCAAAGAGCAAAGAGATAGTGTAACCAAATACACATTCAGAAGGTTTAGTAATCACACAACACATGCATCTATTTTCTCAGTGTTTTGGCTCTACCCTTGGAAACTTACATAGTGGTGTCATTAAGTGTGATAAACTTTCACTCACTCCTGAATGACAGAGTACCCTGAAAACTTCTGTACTGTCATAAAGTAAGCTTCATGGAAATTATAAGTTTCATCTTCCAAGGGTGTAACTTGACTCTCCTTTCTTCCCTCTTACTCACATAATCAATGACGTAAAACAGTGGTCTGCACAACAAGCCCTGATAAGTACATGAGACAGAGGTAAGCTCCAGAAAAGCTCTTATATGCAGTTTGCATTCTCTGGTGTTTCATTGAGAAGGTAAGGAACAATGCCATTCAATTACTATCAGAAGATCAAAGACATTAATGTTCTTTCTTTCTGTTTTTTGAGACAGAGTCTTGCTCTTGTCTCCCAGGCTGGAGTGCCACAGCGCGATCTCACCTCACTGCAACCTCCGCCTCCTGGGCTCAAGCGATTCTCCTGCCTCAGTCTCCCGAGTAGCTGGAATTACAGGCACCCACCATTACGCCCAGCTAATTTTTGTATTTTTGGTAGAGACAGTGTTTCCCCATGTTGGCCAGGCTGGTCTTGACCTCCTGACCTCAGGTGATCCACCTGCCTCAGCCTTCCAAAGTGCTGAGATTACAGGTGTGAGCCACCACGCCCAGCCGATGTTCTTTAAATAACAAGAATCTAAATATGAAATTACTTTTACTCCTCAACTTCTCACTTGAATTACTAATCAATAGTAATATTTTAGTTTCTTAATGTAATGCTTTTATTTAAAATGCAAAAAATATATTTTATGTCAGTTCATTTCTTTACCAAAAATGCTAACAATTATCTTATTTTTTTTCCTTTATTAACATTATACTTTCTGGGATTCTACAATTTAATGATTTTTTTTTTTTAGAAAAGTTTAACCTCTCCCCTTCAATAATCATTTGCCTCTACCTTCAAAATAACAATTTACTTCTTATGAGGCAAAAAAGTTCTCACTGACTCTGTTGTACTTCCTGCCATTCCCTATCAAACGTCCCAGTGAATGACCACCACTCCATTTTCTCCAATGCACCTGTCCTGGCAACTTACTACAATCTGGCTTCCATACCATCCTCTCCTGAAATTCCTACTCTTGAAGGTCAGCAGCAATGTCCTCATCACCAAATGTAATTGCCTCTCATTCTCCTTGACATTTCTGCCAAAGAGAACACTCTCGTTCCTTCCTTTGGAATGTATGGCTCACAGAAACCACTCTTCCCCTAAGCAGCTCAAATGAAATATGCTCTCTTTCCTTCAACCTCCACTGCCCCTACTTTCCAATCCATTCAACTGGCGTGCCTCAGACACTGCCTTGTGGCTGCTTACTTTTCCATCTTGCCTGTCCAAATTGGGATTTCGAGTTCTCTCAGACCCAGGTTGGTAACTTCCTTGTATTCGTGTTCCTCAAGGCACCTCCCATAGCACTATGTACACTGGTGCTCATTAAATATCTGCTGAACTAATAAGTGGAAGGACTACAAGAGGGATTAATTTAGTGAATAGAACCTGTGTTCATGCTCTCTCAACTTGAAAGGAGGGAGGCATAGACATGCCCCAGTCCAAAAAATAAGTTTCACCTTCCCTGCTTAACTATAAAATAAATCTTCTTTAAAGAGTGTGTCTTGAACAGAGTAGTCCAGACTCTGCCAGACTCCACCTTCTGGAGCTGCTTTCTCAAACTCTTCTGCCAGGCTATTTGGAAGACGATGTTAGCTCTTCTAAGTCCTGGATATATATTTTTAAGCCACAAGGTGCTTCTGATAAAGAATCATGTCTTTCAGCATTTACCCTGAGATATGTTTCTCAACTTTTGAGATCTAACAACATTTTCACTTAAACCAATAATGAGGGCAAATTAAATTCATCAATTATTTTCCAGGAAACAGAATGAGTTGGGAAAAGGTATTGGGAGGCATTGAACCAAACAGAAATACGCACATATGCTTGATTGCAAATGATCTCTGGGACTGTTTTCAACCCATACAGAATGGTATCTTTCAGAACTGTATGGAGGCACTATACATCTTTAACAACAGGCTAAAGAACTGCCATCCTTGAAATCTGGATTCCAAGGGTGTGTCACAGAAAGTGTATCTTCTTAATACCCACAAGATCCAAAGCTAGATGAAGTTTTCCATGATAGGGTCAGGATAGCTCCAGCTGTAGCCCATTTGGGAAGCCTGGCTCCAGCTACATGTCCACAGAATGCGTGCATTAGTCCAATACCCCATCTGATGCTTAAAACTTCTCTCGTATGTGCCTGCCAATGGGGTCTGCAGTTGCCATTTAAACCAGGGTAATTCACTTTTTCCTCAAAATAGCCCATGTCCATTTCAGACAGTTTTGGTTATGAGAAAATTATTTCTTTTTCTTTCTGGGACTCCTGCCTGTGGGGCTGCTGGGCTGTTTGTCCTGGCAAATACTCAGGAAGGCTTTGCAGCCGTTAGACTGGTTCCCTGGATTCTTTATCTGAAAATCAGATATTATTGGCTGTTACCAATGAATGTCCAAAGTGATGGTCGAGAAAAAAGAGCGATTTAAAAGACATAAGCAAAACTAAACTATCTTTTTAAAAAAGGAAATCTCAAAAAACACTTGTATACTTCAAATACTAACTCAAGGAGGTTATACATTTATTCCAATGATGCGACTACTACAGACATCATTTTCAGAACTATTTTTCTGGAAGGTTTTCCAGATACCATTTGGGATCACCAGCAAAAAATGTCTTAGTATGATATAGTCACATTTCACTGACCCAAAATGGCAAAAAATTCAACTTTCACATCCACTCATTCACTGTGTGATTACAAGAAAATTGTTCATTTTGATTGTTCACATGTTAAAAATCTTTAAGACAGGTACAGGTCCTCTGCTATGATACATAAATGGGGTAAGAATCACAATGCATTTTGCTTCCCTCTGGCTTTTTATAAAAAGCATATACACACAAACTTCTGTCACCATAGTTTCACCTTTTCAAGGATTTCACAATAATATAATACTGTTTGTAGACTTTTGTGTGTGGTTTCTTTCACTCAGCACAGTAGGACATAGTTCTTTCCTTTTTTGTTGTTGACTAATATTCCATTATATTGATATACCACAATTTGTTTATCCATTCATCAGCTGAAGGGCATTTGAGTTCCATCCAGTTTGGGGCTATTATTAATAAATCCACTATGAACATTTGCATCAAAGTCTTTGTGTGGATCTAGGTTTCCACTTCTCATGAGTAAAGCTGGGTCATATAGTAAGTGTATATTTCACTTTAAAATAAGCTGCTAAACATTTTCTGAAGTGTCTATACCATTTTGTATTTTTACTAGCAATGTATATGAGTTACAGTTCCTCTTTATCACCAACACTTGCGGTCTCTGTAATTTTTGTCATTTTAATCAGTGTCCTGTGGCATCCCACTGTGGTTTCATTTTTATTTTTATTTTAGTTTCCATAATTTATTGAGGTACAGGTGGTATTTGGTTACATGAGTAAGTTCTTTAGTGGTGATTTATGAGATTTTGTTGCACCCATCACCCGAGCAGTATACAGTGCACCCTATTTGTAGTCTTTTATTCCTTGCCCCGCTTCCCTCCAAGTCCCCAAAGTCCACTGTATCATTCTTATGCTTTTGCGTCCTCATAGCTTAGCTCCCACATATCAGTGAGAACATACGATGTTTGGTTTTCCATTCCGAGTTACTTCACTTAGAATAATAGTCTCCAATCTCATCCAGGTCACTGCAAATGCCATTAATTAATTCCTTTTTATGGCTGAGTAGTATTCCATTGTATATATACCATGGTGTCTTTATCCACTCGTTAACTGATAAGCATTTGAGTTGGTTCCACGATTTTGTAATTGGGATTTGTGCTGCTATAAACATGCATGTGCAAGTATCTTTTTTGAATAATGATTTCTTTTCCTCTGGGTAGATACCCAGTAGTGGGATTGCTGGATCAAATGGTAGTTTTACTTTTAATTCTTTAAGGAATCTTCACACGGTTTTCCATAGTGGCTGTACTAGTTTATATTCCCACCAGCAGTGTGGAAGTGTTCCCTGATCACCCGCATCCATGCCAACATCTACTGTTTTTTGATTTTTTGATTATGGCCAGTCTTGCAGGAGTAAGATGGTATCGCACTGTGGCTTTCATTTGCATTTCCCTGATCATTAGTGATGTTGAGCATTTTTTCATGTTTTTTGGACATCTGTATATCTTCTTTTGAGAATTGTCTATTCATGTTCTTCGCCCACTTTTTGATGGGATTGTTTGTTTTTCCTTACTGATTTGTTTGAGTTTGTTGTAGATTCTGAATATTAGTCCTTTGTCAGATGTACAGATTGTGAAGATTTTCTCCCACTCTGTGGGTTGTCTGTTTACTCTGCTGACTGTGCCTTTTGCTATGTAGAAGCTCTTTAGTTTAATTAAGTCCCAACTATTTTTTTTATGTATTAGTCTGTTTTCTTTTTTTTTCAGTATTATTATTATTATTATTATACTTTAAGTTTTAGGGTACATGTGCACAATGTGCAGGTTAGTTACATATGTATACATGTGCCATGTTGGTGTGCTGCACCCATTAACTCGTCATTTAGCATTAGGTATATCTCCTAATGCTATCCTTCTCCCCTCTCCCCACCCAACAACAGTCCCCAGAGTGTGATGTTCCCCTTCCTGTGTCCATGTGTTCTCATTGTTCAATTCCCATCTATGAGTGAGGACATGTGGTGTTTGGTTTTTTGTCCTTGCGATAGTTTACTGAGAATGATGATTTCCAATTTCACCCATGTCCCTACAAAGGACATGAACTCATCATTTTTTATGGCTGTATAGTATTCCATGGTGTATATGTGCCACATTTTCTTAATCCACTCTATCGTTGTTGGATATTTGGGTTGGTTCCAAGTCTTTGCTATTGTGAATAGTGCCGCAATAAACATACGTGTGCATGTGTCTTTATAGCAGCATGATTTATAGTCCTTTGGGTATATACCCAGTAATGGGATGGCTGGATCAAATGGTATTTCTGGTTCTAGATCCCTGAGGAATCGCCACACTGACTTCCACAATGGTTGAACTAGTTTACAGTCCCACCAACAGTGTAAAAGTGTTCCTATTTCTCCACATCCTCTCCAGCACCTGTTGTTTCCTGACTTTTTAATGATCACCATTCTAACTGGTGTGAGATGGTATCTCATTGTGGTTTTGATTTGCATTTCTCTGATGGCGAGTGATGATGAGCATTTTTTCATGTGTCTGTTGGCTACATAAATGTCTTCTTTTGAGAAGTGTCTGTTCATATCCTTTGCCCACTTTTTGATGGGGTTGTTTGTTTTTTTCTTGTAAATTTGTTTGAGTTCATTGTAGATTCTGGATATTAGCCCTTTGTCAGATGAGTAGGTTGCGAAAATTTTCTCCCATTTTGTAGGTTGCCTCTTCACTCTGATGGTAGTTTCCTTTGCTGTGCAGAAGCTCTTTAGTTTAATTAGATCCCATTTGTCAATTTTGGCTTTTGTTGCCATTGCTTTTGGTGTTTTAGACATGAAGTCCTTGCCCATGCCTATGTCCTGAATGGTAATGCCTAGGTTTTCTTCTAGCGTTTTTATGGTTTTAGGTCTAACGTTTAAGTCTTTAATCCATCTTGAATTAATTTTTGTATAAGGTGTAAGGA
The DNA here is from genome assembly GCF_000001405.40 of Homo sapiens. Taxonomy (NCBI): domain Eukaryota; kingdom Metazoa; phylum Chordata; class Mammalia; order Primates; family Hominidae; genus Homo; species Homo sapiens. Next base: position 116,056,878 of record NC_000001.11, on the reverse strand, counting down.
AGGGATCCAGTTTCAGCTTTGTACCTATGGCTAGCCAGTTTTCCCAGCACCATTTATTAAATAGGGAATCCTTTCCCCATGTCTTGTTTTTCTCAGCTTTGTCAAAGATCCGATAGTTGTAGATATGCGGCGTTACATCTGAGGGCTTTGTTCTGTTCCATTGATCTATATCTCTGTTTTGGTACCAGTACCATGCTGTTTTGGTTACTGTAGCCTTGTAGTATAGTTTGAAGTCAGGTAGCGTGATGCCTCCAGCTTTGTTCTTTTGGCTTAGGATTGACTTGGCGATGTGGGCTCTTTTTTGGTTCCATATGAACTTTAAAGTAGTTTTTTCCAATTGTGTGAAGAAAGTCATTGGTAGCTTGATGGGGATGGCATTGAATCTATAAATTACCTTGGGCAGTATGGCCATTTTCATGATATTGATTCTTCCTACCCATGAGCATGGAATGTTCTTCCATTTGTTTGTATCCTCTTTTATTTCATTGAGCAGTGGTTTGTAGTTCTCCTTGAAGAGGTCCTTCACGTCCCTTGTAAGTTGGATTCCTAAGTATTTTATTCTCTTTAAGCAATTGTGAATGGGAGTTCACTCATGATTTGGCTCTCTGATTGTCTGTTATTGGTGTATAAGAATGCTTGTGATTTTTGTACTTTGATTTGGTATCCTGAGACTTTGCTGAAGTTGTTTATCAGCTTAAGGAGATTTTGGGCTGAGACAATGGGATTTTCTAGATATACAATCATGTCATCTGCAAACAGGGACAATTTGACTTCCTCTTTTCCTAATTGAATATCCTTTATTTCCTTCTCCTGCATAATTGCCCTGGCCAGAACTTCCAACACTATGTTGAATAGGAGTGGTGAGAGAGGGCATCGCTGTCTTGTGCCAGTTTTCAAAGGGAATGCTTCCAGTTTTTGCCCATTCAGTATGATATTGCCTGTGGGTTTGTCATAGATAGCTCTTATTATTTTGAGATACGTCCCATCAATACCTAATTTATTGAGAGTTTTTAGCATGAAGTGTTGTTGAATTTTGTCAAAGGCCTTTTCTGCATCTATTGAGATAATCATGTGGTTTTTGTCTTTGGTTCTGTTTATATGCTGGATTACATTTATTGATTTGCCTATATTGAACCAGCCTTGCATCCCAGGGATGAAACCCACTTGATCATGGTGGATAAGCTTTTTGCTGTGCTGCTGGATTCAGTTTGCCAGTATTTTACTGAGGATTTTTGCATCAATGTTCATCAAGGATATTGGTCTAAAATTCTCTTTTTTGGTTGTGTCTCTGCCCGGCTTTGGTATCAGGATGATGCTGGCCTCATAAAATGACTTAAGGAGGATTCCCTCTTTTTCTATTGATTGGAATAGTTTCAGAAGGAATGGTACCAGTTCCTCCTTGTACCTCTGGTAGAATTTGGCTGTGAATCCATCTGGTCCTGGACTCTTTTTGGTTGGTAAGCTATTGATTATTGCCACAATTTCAGATCCTGTTATTGGTCTATTCAGAGATTCAACTTCTTCCTGGTTTAGTCTTGGGAGGGTGTATGTGTAGAGGAATTTATCCATTTCTTCTAGATTTTCTAGTTTATTTGCGTAGAGGTGTTTGTAGTATCCTCTGATGGTAGTTTGTATTTCTGTGGGATAGGTGGTGATATCCCCTTTATCATTTTTTATTGCGTCTATTTGATTCTTCTCTCTTTTTTTCTTTATTAGTCTTGCTAGCGGTCTATCAATTTTGTTGATCCTTTCAAAAAACCAGCTCCTGGATTCATTAATTTTTTGAAGGGTTTTTTGTGTCTCTATTTCCTTCAGTTCTGCTCTGATTTTAGTTATTTCTTGCCTTCTGCTAGCTTTTGAATGTGTTTGCTCTTTCTTTTCTAGTTCTTTTAATTGTGATGTTAGGGTGTCAATTTTGGATCTTTCCTGCTTTCTCTCGTGGGCATTTAGTGCTATAAATTTCCCTCTACACACTATTTTGAATGTGTCCCAGAGATTCTGGTATGTTGTGTCTTTGTTCTCGTTGGTTTCAAAGAACATCTTTATTTCTGCCTTCATTTCGTTATGTACCCAGTAGTCATTCGGGAGCAGGTTGCTCAGTTTCCATGTAGTTGAGCAGTTTTGAGTGAGTTTCTTAATCCTGAGTTCTAGTTTGATTGCACTGTGGTCTGAGGCAGTTTGTTATAATTTCTGTTCTCTTACATTTGCTGAGGAGAGCTTTATTTCCAACTATGTGGTCAATTTTGGAATAGGTGTGGTGTGGTGCTCAAAAAAATGTATATTCTGTTGATTTGGGGTGGAGAGTTCTGTAGATGTCTATTAGGTCAGCTTGGTGCAGAGCTGAGTTCAATTCCTGGGTATCCTTGTTTAACTTTCTGTCTCGTTGATCTGTCTAATGTTGACAGTGGGGTGTTAAAGTCTCCCATTATTATTGTGTGGGAGTCTAAGTCTCTTTGTAGGTCACTCAGGACTTGCTTTATGAATCTGGGTGCTCCTGTATTGGGTGCATATATATTTAGGATAGTTAGCTCTTCTTGTTGAATTGATCCCTTTACCATTATGTAATGGCCTTCTTTGTCTCTTTTGATCTTTGTTGCTTTATAGTCTGTTTTATCAGAGACTAGGATTGCAACCCATGCCTTTTTTTGTTTTCCATTTGCTTGGTAGATCTTCCTCCATCCTTTTATTTTGAGCCTATGTGTGTCTCTGCATGTGAGATGGGCTTCCTGAATATAGCACACTGATGGGTCTTGACTCTTTATCCAATTTGCCAGTCTGTGTCTTTTAATTGGAGCATTTAGTCCATTTACATTTAAAGTTAATATTGTTATGTGTAAATTTGATCCTGTCATTATGATGTTAGCTGGTTATTTTGCTCATTAGTTGATTCAGTTTCTTCCTAGTCTCGATGGTCTTTACATTTTGGCATGATTTTGCAGCGGCTGGTACCGGTTGTTCCTTTCCATGTTTAGTGCTTCCTTCAGGAGCTCTTTTAGGGCAGGCCTGGTGGTGACAAAATCTCTCAGCATTTGCTTGTCTGTAAAGTATTTTATTTCTCCTTCACTTATGAAGCTTAGTTTGGCTGGATATGAAATTCTGGGTTGAAAATTCTTTTCTTTAAGAATGTTGAATATTCGCCCCCACTCTCTTCTGGCTTGTAGAGTTTCTGCCAAGAGATCCGCTGTTAGTCTGATGGGCTTCCCTTTGTGGGTAACCCAACCTTTCTCTCTGGCTGCCCTTAACATTTTTTCCTTCATTTCAACTTTGGTGAATCTGACAATTACGTGTCTTGGAGTTGCTCTTCTCGAGGAGTATTTTAGTGGCGTTCTCTGTATTTCCTGAATCTGAATGTTGGCCTGCCTTGCTAGATTGGGGAAGTTCTCCTGGATAATATCCTGCAGAGTGTTTTCCAACTTGGTTCCATTCTCCCCGTCACTTTCAGGTACACCAATCGGACATAGATTTGGTTTTTTCACATAGTCCCATATTTCTTGGAGGCTTTGTTCGTTTCTTTTTATTCTTTTTTCTCTAAACTTCCCTTCTCACTTCATTTCATTCATTTCATCTTCCATCACTGATACCCTTTCTTCCAGTTGATCACATCAGCTCCTGAGGCTTCTGCATTCTTCATGTGGTTCTCGAGCCTTGGCCTTCAGCTCCATCAGCTCCTTTAAGCACTTCTCTGTATTGGTTATTCTAGTTATAAATTCGTCTAAATTTTTTTCAAAGTTTTCAACTTCTTTGCCTTTGGTTTGAATTTCCTCCTGTAGCTCAGAGTAGTTTGATCGTCTAAAGCCTTCTCTCAACTCATCAAAGTCATTCTCCGTCCAGCTTTGTTCTGTTGCTGGTGAGGAACTGCGTTCCTTTGGAGGAGGAGAGGCACTCTGCTTTTTAGAGTTTCCAGTTTTTCTGCTCTGTTTTTTCCCCATCTTTGTGGTTTTATCTACTTTTGGTCTTTGATGATGGTGATGTACAGATGGGTTTTTGGTGTGGATGTCCTTTCTGTTTGTTAGTTTTCCTTCTAACAGACAGGACCCTCAGCTGCAGGTCTGTTGGAGTTTGCTAGAGGTCCACTCCAGACCCTGTTTGCCTGGGTATCAGCAGTGGTGTCTGCAGAACAGTAGATTTTCGTGAACCGCGAATGCTGCTGTCTGATCATTCCTCTGGAAGTTTTGTCTCAGAGGAGTAGCCCGCCGTGTGAGGTGTCAGTCTGCCCCCACTGGGAGGTGCCTCCCAGTTAGGCTGCTCGGGGGTCAGGGGTCAGGGACCCACTTGAAGAGGCAGTCTGCCTGTTCTCAGATCTCCAGCTGCGTGCTGGGAGAACCACTGCTCTCCTCAAAGCTCTCTTCAAAATGACAGGGACATTTAAGTTTGCAGAGGTTGCTGCTGTCTTTTTGTTTGTCTGTGCCCTGCCCCCAGAGGTGGAGCCTACAGAAGGAGGCAGGCCTCCTTGAGCTGTGGTGGGCTCCACCCAGTTCGAGCTTCCCGGCTGCTTTGTTTACCTAAGCAAGCCTGGGCAATGGCGGGCGCCCCTCCCCCAGCCTCGCTGCCACCTTGCAGTTGGATCTCAGACTGCTGTGCTAGCAATCAGTGAGACTCCGTGGGCGTAGGACCCTCCGAGCCAGGTGCGGGATATAATCTCCTGGTTTCCTAAGCCCGTCAGAAAAGCACAGTATTCGGGTGGGAGTGACCCGATTTTCCAGGTGCCATCTGTCACCCCTTTCCTTGACCAGGAAAGGGAACTCCCTGACCCCTTGCACTTCCCGAGTGAGGCAATGCCTAGCCATGCTTCGGCTCGCGCATGGTGCACTGCACCCACTGTCCTGCGCCCACTGTCTGGCACTCCCTAGTGAGATAAACCCAGTACCTCAGATGGAAATGCAGAAATCACCCATCTTCTGCGTCGCTCACGCTGGGAGCTGTAGACCAGAGCTGTTCCTATTCGGCCATCTTGGCTCCTCCTTCTTAGTCTGTTTTCATGCCGCTGATAAAGACATACCCAGGACTGTAAACAAAGCTACTGTTTGATCCCAGAAAACTCCCAGTTAAATCACAAATCTGCTGTTTTTCTGCAGTCTGTGAAGAGGATGTATCACCGCGGTGTGGACCTCGAGCAGCTGCTGGACATGTCCTACGAGCAGCTGATACAGTTGTACAGTCAGTCCCAACTATTTATCTTTGTTTTTATTGCATTTGTTTTTGAGTTCTTGGTCATGAAATCCTTGCCTAAGCCAATATCTAGAAGGGTTTTTCCAAGGTTATCTTCTAGTATTTTTATAGTTTCCGGTCTTAGATTTAAGTCCTTAATCCATCTTGAGCTGATTTTTGTATAGGTGAGAAATGAGTATGCAATTTCATTCTCCTACATGTGGCTAGCCAATTATCCCAGCACCATATGTTGAAAAGGGTGTCCTTTCCCCACTTTATGTTTTTGTTTGCTTTCTTGAAGATCAGTTGGCTGTAAGTATTTGGATTTATTTCTGAGTTCTCTATTCTGTTCCACTGGTCTATATGCCTATTTTTATACCACTATCATGCTGTTTTGGTGACTATGGCCCTATAGTATAGTTAGAAATCAGGTAGTGAGATGCCTCCAGATTTGTTCTTTTTGCTTAGTCTTGCTTTGGCTATGTGGGCCCTTTTTTGGTTCCATATGAATTTTAGAATTGTTTTTTCTAATTCTGTGAGGAATGATGGTGGTATTTTAATGAGGATTGCATTGAATTTGTAGATTGTTTTTGGCAATTTTCACAATATTGATTCTACCCATCCATGAACATGGAATGTTTTTCTATTTATTTGTGTAATCTATGATTTCTTTCAGCAGTGTTTTGTAGTTTTCCTTGTAGAGGTTTTTTGACTCCTTGGTTAGGTATATTTCTAAGTATTTTATTTTTTGGCAGCTACCATAAAGGGGTTGAGTTCTTGATTTGATTTTCTGCTTGGCTGCCATTGGTGTATAGAAGAGCTACTGATTTCTGTACATTAATCTTGTATCCAGAAACTTTGCTGAATTCTTTTATCAGTTCTAGGAGCTTTCTGGAGGAGTCTTTAGGATTTCTGAGGTAAACAATCATATCATCAGCAAACGGTGACAGTTTGACTTCCTCTTTACTGATTTGGATGCCCTTTATTTCTTTCTCTTGTCTGATTGCTCTGGTTAGGACTTCCAGTACTATGTCGAAGAGGAGTGGTGAGAGTGGGCATTCTTGTCTTGTTCCAGTTCTCAGAGGGAATGCTTTCAACTTTTCAGTATTATGTTGGCTGTGGGTTTGTCATAGATGGCTTTTGTTACATTGAGGTATGTCCCTCGTATGCCGAGTTATAATCATAAAGGGATGCTGGGTTTTGTCTAATGCTTTTTCTGCATCTATTGAGATGATCATGTGATTTTTGTTTTTAATTCTGTTTATATGGTGTATCACATTGACTTGCATGTGTTAAACCATCCCTGCTTCCCTGGTATGAAACCCACTTGATCATGGTGGATTATCTTTTTGATATGTTGTTGGATTTGGTTAGCTAGTATTTTGTTAAGGATTTTAGCAACTATGTTCATCAAGGATATCAGTCTGTAGTTTTCTTTTTTGGTTATGTCCTTTCCTGGTTTTGGTATTAGGGTGATGCTGGCTTCATAGAATGAGTTAGGGAAGGTTCCTTCTTTCTCTGTCTCATGGAATAGTGTCAAAAGGATTGGTATCAGTTTGTTAAATGTCTGGTAGAATTCTGCTGTAAATCTGTCTGGTCCTGGACTTTTTTTTGTTGGTAATTTTTAAATTACCATTTCAATCTCGTTGCTTGTTATTGGTCTGTTCAGGGTATCTAATTATTCCTTATTTAAACTAGGAGGGTTGTATTTTTCCATGAACTTATCCATCTCTTCCTAGGTTTTCTAGTTTATGTGTGTGAAGGTGTTCATAGTAGCCTTGAATGATCTTTTGTATTTCAGTGGTGTCAGTTGTAATGTCTCCTGTATCATTTCTTAATGAGGTTATTTGGATTTTCTCTCTTTTCTTGGTTAATCTTGCTAATGATCTATCAATTATATTTATCTTTTCAAAGAACTGGCTTTTTGTTTCATTTATCTTTCATATTTGTTTGTTTGTTTGTTTCATTTAGTTCTGCTCTGATCTTGGTTATTTCCTTTCTTCTGCTGGGTTTGGGTTTGGTTTGTTCTTGTTTCTCTAGTTCCTTGAGGTGTGACCTTAGAATGCCACTTTGTACTCTTTCAGTCTTTTTGATGTAGGTGTTTAGGGGTATGAACTTTCCTCTTAGCACTGCCTTTGCTGTATCACAGAGGTTTTGATAGGTTGTGCCATTACTGTCATTCAGTTCGAAGAATTTTTTAATTTCCATCTTGATTTTGTTTTTGACCTGATGCTCATTCAGGAGCAGGTTATTTAATTTCCATGTATTTGCGTGGGTTTGAAGGTTCCTTTTGGAGTTGATTTCCAGTTTTATTCCACTGTGGTCTGAGAGAGTGCTTGATATAATTTCAAATTTCTTAAATTTATTGAGGCTCATTTTAGGGCTTATCATATAGTCTATCTTGGAGAAAGTTCCATGTGCTGTTGAATAGAATGTGTATTCTGTGGTTGTTGCATGAAATGTTCTGTATATATCTGTTAAGTCCATTTGTTCCAAGGTATAGTTTAAATCCATTATTTCTTTGTTGATTTTGTCTTGATGACCTGTCTAGTGCTGTCAGTGGAGTACTGAAAGTCCCCCATTATTATTATGTTGCTGTCTATCTCATTTCCTAGATCTATTAGTAATTGTTTTATAAATTTGAGAGCTCTAGTGTTAGGTGCATATGTGTTTAGGATTGTGATATTTTCCTGTTGGACAAGGGCTTTTGCCGTTATATAATGTCCCTCTTTGTCTCTTTTAACCACTGTTGCTTTAGTTTGTTTTGTCTGATATAAGAATAGCTACCCTGCTCACTTTTTGTGTCCATTTGCATGAAATGCCTTTTTCCACCCCTTTACCTTAAGTTTATGTGAGTCCTTAATGTGTTAGGTGAGTCTCCTAAGGCAGCAGATAGTTGCTTGGTGAGTTCTTATCCATTTTGCAGTTCTGTATCTTTTAAGTGGAGCAGTTAGGCCATTTACATTCAATGTTAGTATTGAGACATGAGGTACCCTTGCATTCATTGTGCTATTTTTTGCCTGTCTACCTTGGGTTTTTTGTTGTTTTTGCTTTTTAACTCGTATTTTGTTTTATAGGTCCTGTGTGATTTATGCTTTAAAGAGTTTCTGTTTTGATGTGTTTCCAGGATTTGTTTCAAGATTTAGAGCTCCTTTTAGCAGTTCTTGTAGTGGTAGTTTGGTAGTGGCGAATTCTCTCAGCATTTATTTGTCTGAAAAAGACTATCTTTCCTTCATATATGATGCTTAATTTCACTGGATACAAAATTCTTGGCTGATAATTGTTCGGTTTGAGGAGGCTGAAGACAGGGCCCCAATCCCTTCTAGCTTGTAGCGTTTCTGCTGAGAAATCTGCCGTTAATCTGAGAAGTTTTCCTTTATGGGTTACCTGCTGCTTCTGTCTCACAGTTTCTTAAGATTGTTTCCTTTGTCTTAACTTTAGATAACCTGATGACAATGGGCCTAGGTGATGATCTTTTTGTGATGAACTTCCCAGGTGTTCTTTGTACTTCTTGTATTTGGATGTCTAGGTCTCTAGCAAGGCCAGGGAAGTTTTCCTTGATTAATCCCCCAAATATGTTTTCCAAACTTTCAGATTTCTCTTCTTCCTCAGGAACACCAATTATTCTTTGGTTTGGTCATTTAACATAACCCCAGACTTCTTGGAGGCTTTGTTCATATTTTCTTATTCTTTTTTCTTTGTCTTTGTTGGATTGGGTTAATTCAAAAACCTTGTCTTAGAGCTTTGAATTTCTTTCTTCTGCTTGTTCAATTCTATAGCTGAGACTTTCCCGAGCATTTTGCATTTCTATAAGTGTGTCCAATGTTTCCTGAAGTTTTCACTGTTTTTTATTTAAGCTATCTATTTCCTTGAATATTTCTCCCTTCACTTCTTGTATCATTTTTTGGAGTTCCTTGCATTGGGCTTTGCCTTTTCCTGGTGCCTCAATTTAATAACTAACCTTTTATCTGTCAGAGGGAAGGTCTAGGCTGAAGGCTGCTGTTCAGATTCTTTTGTCTCACGGGGTATTCCTTTGATGTAGTACTCTCCCCCTTTTCCTATGGATGTGGCTTCCTGTGAACCAAACTGCAGTGATTGTTGTCTCTCTTCTGGGTCTAGCCACCCAGTGAGTCTACCTGGCTCTGGGCTGGAACTGGGGGTTGTCTCTATAGAGTCCTGTGATGTGAACTGTCTATGGGTCTCTCAGCCGTGGATAACAGTGCCTGTTCTGGTGGAGGTGCCAGGAGGGTGCAATGGACTCCGTGAGGGTTCTTAGCTTTTGTGGGGATTTTTGTTTGTTTTTTGAGACGGAGTCTCGCTCTGTCGCCCAGGCTGGAGTGCAGTGGCACGATCTTGGTTCATGACAATCTCCGCCTCCCGGGTTCAAGCGATTCTTCTGCCTCAGCCTCCCGAGTAGCTGGGACTACAGCTGCGTGCCACCATGCCTGGCTAATTTTTATATTTTTAGGAGAGACGGTGTTTCACCATCTTGGCCAGGCTGGTCTCGAACTCCTGACCTTGTGATCTGCCCGCCTCAGCCTCCCATAGTGCTGGGATTACAGGTGTAAGCCACTGTGCGCGGCCAGTTTTTGTGATTTAATGCTCTATTGTTGTGCTAGTTGGCTTCCTGCTGGGAGGTGGCACCTATCCAGAGAGCACCAGCTATGGTAGTATGGAGAGGAACCAGCAGTGGGTGGGGCCCTAGAACTCCCAGGATTTTATGTCTTTTGCCTTCAGCTACCAGGGTGGGGAGGGAAGGCTGTCAGGTCGGGTCAGGTCTAGGCCACCCTCCCAAGGGATCCCTGTGGTGCCAGGCAGGAATGGCTTCCTTAGGGAACCAGCGAGCTCCCAGGGCCTTCCCTGCTGCTTCCTCCACCCCTGTATTTTGCTGGCTGTCTTAATTGACTCAGCTCCAGGTAAGGTGGGAAACTTCTCCTGCAGTTTCTCCAGTGGGGGTATGTGTTCAGGAGAGGAGGATCTCCCTTTCCCACTTCCGAAATTGGGGCACTCAGTATTTGGAATGTCTCCGGGTCCTGCAGGAGCAGTCAGCTTCCTTCAGAGGGACTGTGGGTCCTCTCGGGATTGCTGGTTTGTTCTTGCTGTCAATCTGGAGCTAAAGTTCATGATGCGAGCCTCCACACAGCGCTCTGTTCATCTGAGTCAGAGCAGCAATCTACTCCTGCTTTCTGTCCGCCATGATGATCCTGATATTGTGGTTTCAATTTCCATTTCCCTAATGTCTGATGATGTTGAACAACTTTCCCCATATTTATTTGCCATTTTTATATCTTTTTGGAGAAGCATCCATTCAAATCTTTTGCCTATTTTTTCCTTATTATTAGAGTCCTTTCTATATTCTGGATACAAGTCTTTTATCAGATACATGTTTTACAGATATTTTCTCCCAGTTTGTGTCTTACTTTTCATTTCTGTAATAGAGTCTTTTAAAAAGCAAAAGTTTTTAACTTTATGAAGTCTAGGTCATGAATTTTTTTTCTTTTTGTGCTTTTGGTGTCCTAGTTAAGAAATATTTGCCTAACTCAAAGTCACTAAGATTTTTCTCCTATGTTCTCTTCTAGTAGTTGTACAACACAGTTTTAGCATTTACATTTCAGTTAAACAACCATTTCAAGTTTATTACTGCATATAATGTGATTTACAGGTTGAAGTTATATTTTTTGTATATGGAGATCCAGTTATTTCAGCACCGTTTTTTAAAAAGGTTATGTTTTCCTCATTGAATTAACATGTCATTTTCATCAAAAATTAATTGACCATGAGCATTTTTCTGTATGTATATTATGACTGAGTAAAATATTTTTAAAAGGTGAATGAAACCTCAGCTCTGTCAAAAAAAAAATCAATTGACCATATATGTGGTTCTATTTCATACTCAATTCTGTTCCATTATCTATAGAGACATTCCTATGCCAATACTGTACTGTCTTGATTAATGTAACTTCATTATAAGTCTTTTTTTTTTTTTTTTTTTGAGATGGAGTCTCACTCTGTAGCCCAGGCTGGAGTGCAGTAGCACGATCTTGGCTCACTGCAACCTCTACCCCCCGGGTTCAAGCAATTCTCCTGCCTCAGCCTCCGGAGTAGCTGGGATTACAGAGGTGCACCACCACGCCCAGCTAATTTTTGTATTTTTAGTAGAGACGGGGTTTCACCATGTTGGCCAAGCTGGTCTCAAACTCCTGACCTCAGGAGACCCACCCACCTCAGCCTCCCAAAGTGCTGGGATTACATGCATGAGCCACCATGCCCAGCCTATTGTAAGTCTTATAATCAGGTAAGTTAAGTTCTTCAACTTTGTTTTTCCTTGATAAAATTATTTTGGATAGTCCAGATCCTTTGAATTTCCATAAAAATTTTAGTATTGGCCAGGCGTGGTGGCTCACACCTGTAATCCCAGCACTTTGGGAGGCCGAGGTGGGCAGATCACCTGAGATCAGGAGTTCGAGACCAGCCTGACCAACATGGTGAAACTCCGTCTCTACTAAAACAATACAAAAAATTAGCTGGGCATGATGGTGGGCGCCTGTAATCCCAGCTACTTGGGAGGCTGAGGCAGGAGAATCCCTTGAATCCTGGAGGCAGAGGTTGCAGTGAGCCGAGATCACGCCACTGCACTCCAGCCTGGGCATGACAGAGCAAGATTCCATCTCAAAAGAAAAAAAGTTTTAGTATTAACTTGTCAATTTCTATCACCAAAAGAAGACTGATGGAAATTTTACTGATATCACACTGAATGAAGATAAATCAGTTTGGGGAGTGCTGATATCTTAATATCTTCTGGTCCATAAGCATGGTAATCTATTTATTTATTATTATTGCTATTACCAATTCACTTAGTTCATCTTCTTTAATTTTTCTCATCAGCATTTTAAAGTTTTTTGTAGTCATATACATATTTCATAAAATTTATCCCTAAATTTTTCATATTTTTTATTTTATTATAAATGGCATTGGTTTATTTCAGTTTTAACTGTTTGTTGCTAATATGTAGAAAGAAAATTGTTTATACATGACTCTGCTAAGCTCATCTATTAATTCTTACAGATTTCTTTTTTGTATATTCCTTAGGACTTTCTATGAAGGTGATCATAATGTAGTCTGGTGAATAAAGACAGTTTTACTTCTGTTCCAATTTAAATCCCTTTAATTTCTTTTTATTGCTTTATTATATTCACTAGTACTTTTTGTACAATGTTCCATAGAAATGGTAAGAATGGACATCCTGGCCTTTCTCCTGACCTTAGAATATAAGTATTCAGTCTTTCACCAGTAAATGTGATGTTTACTGTAGGTTTTCCCTTAATACTCTTTATCAAGTTAAGAAAATTCCTGACCGCCTGCCTCGGCCTCCCAAAGTGCTAGGATTACAGGCGTAAGCCAAAGCACCTGGCCACTAATTGGCTTTTAAATGTTAAACCAACCTTGCATTTGTGGGATAAAACTTGCTTAGTCATTATGTATTGCCTTTTTTATGCAGTGCTGGACTCAATTTGCTAATATTTTGTTTAAGATTTTTACATCCATATTAATAAGAGAGATTGATCTGTAGTTTTCTCTTCTTATAATGCCTTTATTTTGTTTGGTTTAGGTACCAAAGTAATTGCAGGCCCTTAGAGGCTAAGCCGGGAGAGTTATTCTCTCCTCTTTATTTTCTGGAAAAGTGTGTACAATTGATGCTATTTCTTTTGCGTTTCATAGAATTTACCAGTAAAGCCATCTGGGCCTAGAATTCTTTTTGTGGGAATGTTTTTAACTACAAATTCAATTTTTTTAGTAGATATGGTGCTATTCAGGTTATCTATATGTTTTTAAGTAAGCTTTGGTAGTTTATAATCTTTCAAGAAATTTGCCCATTTTACCTAAGTTGAATTTATTGACATAAAAATGTTCATAATATTCCCTTATTAAATGCCTATAGGTTCTATAGTGATGTCCCCTCTTTCATTCCACATATTGGTAATGTGTGTCTTCTTCCTTTTCTCTTTATTATCTTGGTTAGAGGTTTAATAATTGTATTGGTCTTAAGGATTTTTCTCCATTGTTTGTTTTCATTCCATTGATTTTTTTGCTTTTATATTTATTATTTTCTTCCTGTGCTTGCATTGTGCTTAATTAGCTCTTCTTTTTTAAAATTTGTTATCTACTTTCTTAAGTTGGAAGCTTAGATCATTAATTTGAAAACTTTCTTTTTTTCTGATACTTAAAAGAATTATATAAATTTCCCTCTAAGCATTACTTTATTTGCCTCCCATAAACTATGATACAGTATACTTTATATTTTTTTGAGACACAGTCTCACTCTTTCACCCAGGCTAGAGTGCAGTGGTGCAATCTCGGCTCACTGCAACCTCCACCTCCCGGGTTCAAGGGATTCTCCTGCCTCAGCCTCCCAAATAGCTGGGATTACAGGTGCACACCACCATGACTGGCTAATATTTTTGTATTTTTATTAGAGACAGGGTTTCACCATGTTGGCCAGGCTGATCTTGAACTCCTGACCTCAAGTGATCCACCCACCTTGGCCTCCCAAAGTGCTGGGATTACAGGCATGAACCACTGTGCCGGGCTGATACAGTATATTTTACTGTTCAATTGAAAATATTTTCCAGTTTTCCTTGTGATTTTTTTCTTCAATCCACATGTTTTTAGAAGGATGTTGTTCCATATCCATATATTTGAGGATCTTCCATATATCTTTCTGTTGGTGATTTTTAGTTTAATTCTAGTCTGGTCAACTAACTTGTTTTTGTAAATTTTCAATTCTTCTAAACTTATTGAAACTTGTTTTATGGCCTAGAATATGGTCTCTCTTGGCAAATGTTCTGTGTGCACTTCAAATGGAATACATATTCTATTGGTTTAGGGTAAAGTGACCTATAAATCAGGTCCTATTGGTTGTTCAAGTCTATATTTTCTGTTTACCTTTTTATCAATCATTGAGAAAGTGATAGTGAAGTATTGTGTTTCTTGGATTTGTCTATTTCGCCTTTCAATTCTGTATGTTTTTGCTTTGTGTACTATAAATTTATTACAAGTATACACAAACACAGTTAGGACTGCTCTATCCTCTTGATGAACTGACCACTTTCTTATTATGTGTTTATAGTTTTTATCAAATTTGCAAAGCATTTGAGCATTTCTGCAAATACTTTTTCTTTATCCCCTCCTTCTAAGACTAATATTACACTTATGTAGGTCACTTAATATTGTCCCACAATTCACTGATGTTTTGTTAGTTTTTTATTCAATTTTTTTGTTTCATGTTGTATAGTTTTTTTATGTCTTTAACTGATCTTTTCTTCTGTTTAGTGTTTAACCTGTTGCTAATCTCATCTACTGTATTTTTTTCATATATTATATGTTTCATCTCTAGATGAAAGTGTCTTTTTCTTTCTTTTGGCCTCTCTGCTTGTATTCTGCTTGTATTCTTAAGCACATGGAGTACATTTATAATAGCTGTTTTAATATTCTTGTCTCTTAATTCTATCATCTGTGCATTTTTGGTTTTGTTTCTATTGATTTTTCTTCTACTTGTGGGAGGTATTTTCCTGCTTATTTGCATGCCTGGTGATTTTGAGTGGAGGCTACACACTCAATGTTTTTTTTTTTTGTTAATGTTATTTTTTGGGGTGCTGGACTTTATTGTTCCTTTAAGTCTTGTTGGTCTTTGTTCCGTGATGCAGTTAAGTTACTTGGAATCAACTGATCTTTCTGAGTTTTGTTTTTAAGCACTTTTATGGCAAAACAAACAAACAAACAAACAAACAAACCAGGGTTTTCCTAAAATGACTTTGACCTAGGATGTCTCTATCCAATGCTCTGCAACTGGCTGAAGAGAACACAAACCATTCATGGATTCAACAATCCAAGGATTGTTCTGCCTGCCACTTTCTGGTGGTCTCCCCCTGGCCTCAGTAGTTTCTTCAAATGCATGCTCAAATCAAAGACTAGGAGGTTTCTTCTGCAGACCTCTGGAGTTCTCCCTCTGTGTATCTTACTACTCTCCAGTATTTTGCTCAACAAATTCCAGACATCTTGGCTTCCCCAAGCTTCAATTTCTGTTTCTTCAATTTAGTAAGAATGCTATGATTTGTTGGGCTTCCCTTCCCTGCACTGTGGTTTGGCAACCATGTGCTAGGGCATTTTCAGAGCCTACTTTGTTTATTTTCTCCTCTCAGGGATCATTGCCTGTCCTATGCAGTCTGTTGTCCAATGTCTGAAAATCAATATTTCTTATATGTATATATTTTGTCTGGTTCTATTGTTGTTTAAAGCAAGTCAGCTGGTCTTCATCACTATCATGGCCTGAGCTTAAAGTTCCCATAGCATTTTGTTGTCAATTCTCATATAGTACTGATTTTTATTATTATTTTTGAATCCCTAATTACTCTCATTAGATTGTAAATTCTTTGAGACCAGGAACTAGATTTTGTTTATGAATAGTATCTTTTGTATCATAGACACTAGAGAAGTCAAATAAAGAAATGTGCAGACCAACATTAGGAAAAGAAATGAGATATGAAGGTTCCACTAGGGCTGAGTCTAAGGACACTCCTTCACTAAGAACCGTGTTTATCATGCCATGATCTCCTACTGTTCAGATTCTCTGGCAGGACCACAACTGCCATAATCCTCATCAATGAGAGCCCAATGCCACTCTGATAACCCAGGTTCTTCAACACTGGCCAAGTCCTATCAGGCCTGCACACTAAAGAGTTAAGAACTGGGTTTAATCAGGCAGCATTAATCCTCTGACTTCAGCTTCATTATTTACAACGAATACTTTGGTTCTAAAACTCTTATCTGGCCAGGCATGATGGTCATGCCTATAATCCCAGCACTTTGGGAGGCCAAGGCAGGAGAATCACTTGAGACCAGGAGCTCCCGACCACCCTACAAAAATAATTTTCTTTTTAATTTAAAAATTAGCCTGGCATGGCTGGCACATGCCTGTAGTCCCAGCTACTCAGGAGACTGAGGTGGTAAGACTGCTTGAGCCCAAGAGGTCAAGGCTGCAGTGAGCTATGACCACACCATTGCAGTCCAGCCTGGGAAACAGAGTGAGACCCTGTCTCAAAACAAACCATACAAAAAAATCTCTCTAAGAGTTTGAGAAAACAGCATACCCAAAAGAGGACTGACTTTAGAGTTGGAAAGAATCTGAATCCCGGATGTGCTACTTACTTGCTATGCAACCTTGGACGTGTTGCTTGACCAATCTGAGATTTTGCTTCCTTATAAAATGGGGATAATATATAATACCTTCTGCATATAAAGAGAATCCAGCACTTGATTAACACTTAATAAATGGTAGCAAGTGTTCTAAGGTTAATTAGAATCCTCCAGGCAAGCACAGAGTTCAGGTAAAATGTCTGATTACTAATCTGGGAAAAACATTAGTGGCCACCTGCTAATATTACTCCCAGAGGAGAACATTTACTTCAATGCCAACCAGCATGCAAATATATACTGGGCAGGACACTTCTGTCTAACAATTATAAACCAAAGGCTGAGGAATGCCAAACAATCTATTTTCTGGCTTACTGGCTATCTCTTCTAGAGATACATTGTCACAGTCTCCACGAATGCTTCTGACACAGAGAACCACAATCAAATACAGGTGCTAAAAAATAATGGTGGGTAGAGGGTCACCTGAGTTGGCAGAAAGGCAAGACTGAAGGCATGTTTGGTAAGGAAAAGTGAGGGCAAAGGAACACAAAATGCAAACAGAAAATGAGTAATCTCCAAACTAACACAAGATGCTACAGAATTTTTCAAACAGCTAGGTCATTTTCTTTATATGTACTTATTAGAACTTTTATAAATGTAGCCTAAAGCTTTGAAAAACTTGAGATAAAAAAAAGTCAACAAAATATTTTAAAGAGTAAATACAAAAGGTTTAAAGAAAGTTTAAAGAACAATTACTATTTATCTGAAAGAAGAGAAAATTCAGGCATAGCTGGAAGACTTTGCAAGCATAGAAAGGATTATACAAAAAAGGTGACCATATATTCTCTCTCTAGTGATGAATTAAATGAAAGACAATGGCTCAGTGGTAGTGGAAGAGGATAATTTTAATAGTAATGGTTATTAATTATAGAAATTATTTATTAAAATTAAATAGTAGAAATATTAAAAATAGAAATAATTTCCCTGGAAATCTTTTTTTTTAAATTGAGACAGAATTTTGCTCTTGTCACCCAGACTGGAATACAATGGCACCATCTAGGCTCACTGCAACCTCCAGCTCCTGGGTTCAAGCAATTCTCCTGCCTCAGCCTCCCTAGTAGCTAGGATTACAGGCACCCGCCACCATGCCCAACTAATTTTTGTATTTTTAGTAGAGATGGGGTTTCACCATGTTGGCCAGGCTGGTCTCGAACTCCTGACCTTAGGTGATCCACCCACCTCAGCCTCCAAAGTGCTGGGATTACAGGTGTGAGCCACCATGCCCAGCTAAGAAATCGTTAAAAATAGACAATACATCCACGTTTTCTAAGTATAACAGAGGCAACATGCTCCTGAGGCACATTTGTGGAGTGCCAAAGATACTCTGCTACGCTGTTTCTTATTCAGTGTCCATAAAGGGGCACAATCAACAAAGGTCCAAGCTGCTCTCTTAAAACAGATTGTAATTAAATAGAGTGGTACTTGCTGGTCTGGAGGGGAGACCATACATCTGCCTTCACCATGGATTTTTGTCTTGTTATTTATAAGGAGAGATCATTTCAAGAAAGGGCCACATGTAGAGTCCTAGGGGATAGGTTACCTGGAGTGTGCAAATAAGTGGGAGGGAAGGAAAGATATTAATTGGCCTGGCTTATGAAGGTGTGATAGGTTACACGTGTGTATATAGGACTAGTGACAAGTTTTTCTCTATGAGGCAATAAACAGAAAGCTGGACTATTATTGCAGCTTAAAAAAAAAATGAAACTGAATTCTCAAGGTACCTGTGCAAAACAAAATCTGCTGAATATAAAACTACAACGATTTGAAGTCCATCACAGTCTTACCAGAAGACAAACAAAACTGAGCACCTAGTTCTACAAGTCTATGTCAGGGCAATAGCTGGGGAGTTCCTCCTCTACTTAGCATTAGCAGGAGCACCCATTTGCTCAGAGAATAAAAAATGGGCAAATTTATTCAATTCTCTAGTTTCCATGATTCTATGAAAATCATTTTAAAGCTGTTCTAAGTATTGGGTAAACTCTAAGTAGTGAGCAAATTACACTCGAGGCTCAAGGTATAGAACTCAGGGGGCAATCAACAGCAGAGTAGATATACTGGAGGGTTATAAAACAGGGAGAACACATGGCCTTGGGGTCTTTAATGAGACACGCAGAAATGAACCACAAGAAGCAATTTACAAAAGGAGTATTTAATACCTGATATACTCTGACAAAAAATGAATTCTTCATGCATTTCCAGTAGTTATCAAAACTTTACGTCAAATCGTCTCACAATGATTGCCTACTGGAGTGCAAGCTCCATAACAGAACCCTATCAAAATCCAAAAGCCCCTAAGACAGGGCTCTTGTTATATCACATGCTCCAGCATGAGAGAGTTGTTGTGACTCACTCCTCCTTCTAGAAAATCACGGCCAAAAACACAGTTCCCAAGGCAATCACTGTCATACCTCAGGTGTGCTAGTGAAAAAAGAGATTGAAAACCAGCAATAGCTACAGAATGTCTACACAGGGGCAGTAATCAGGTTATATTAGAATGCTAAAGGGATCCTTCTTGAAGCTGTGTTTGCATAGAAAAGCTACACATATATAAAAATATCAGTTTCCTAACTAGGTGTTTTCACATTTATATAAGACTAAGAGACTATCCATTGTCACCAACAGTGAATACCATCCCCATTATTCTTGTTGTCGGAGTTCCTTGAGAGTCATGGTGGAGATTTGAGGGGTACCAAAGCCACCTTTGAGAACCAGTGGCTCTGCTCTGCAATCTTGTGGTTGGCTGTAATGACGAGTGCAATTTGCAACCTTGGATGAAGTTTCTTTCTGTGAAGAACTAATCAGTCCTCCTCATCATCAAATAAACAACTCTAACATCACCAATACTACATCTCAGTCACCCCAGATGGTAGCTTAATAGCCTGAAAGAATTAATAGTGCACCTCTACACACATTATTCACCCAGAGAATAGCTGAAGCAAAGGAAAGAATCTGGCCCATTATATCCCACACAATTGCTAAACAATATGCAATCACAGAAATGAAGCATGCCATATGGTCATCTCTCCACTATATTATGATTCATTGTAATGAAAGTACTGTTCAAAACCCTTGTAGAAATTTGAAAGGCATACCTTTCTTTTCTGGAAGAAACATTACAATAAGACAAGCCAGTCCTCCTAGGCACAGAAATGCTGATAATGTTCGCTTCCGACCAAACCTAAACAATAGAAAGAAATTACACAGTTCTCTTAAGAACCTTATAAATTCATCTGTTTCTTCCCAACCTTCTTATTTAAAAATCTTCAGTTTCATTATATATGTTCATCTCCTCTTAAGGCTAAGTGGCAAATGTGACTGATAGGAAACTGACTAGGACTCAAAATAAATAACCACTATAAAACAAAGGGAAAGTTGCTGGATGGCAGGATTAAGTGATTTGTGTGAGAAAAGGGCATAGTATCATTCTATCTATTTCCATAAATCCTAAGTTTCAGACACTGTTTTAAATGTTTACCATCTATTATCTTATTTAATCCTAATAAAATTCCTGTAGGCATGTACTATTATATTCTCCATCTTTTAGAGAATGAAACTGAAACAAGGAGAATATTCTAACAGCTCCCTTTATTTTCTGGTTACCTTTTCTGGTTTTATGCAGTTTAAAGTTTTGGCATTTTTCTTAAGTCTCTCTCTCTTAAAAATACACACAGAAAAAAATTTGTCAGTGGGTTAGAAATAAGTGAAATGCTATTTCATACTTTGTTGAAAGAAGCAATTTTCAAATAAAAGCCTTAGACTTGGAAGAAAGATATTAACATTAGAAAGTCTCCCTTTTCTAGGGGCTTACAACATGCTAGGTACTTTTACTAGGAACCTCAATAATTTTGATAATTTTGCCAGTGAATTTTACAATCCCTGGTTTGGGGATAAGTACGAAGGGAGGCTTAGTGAAGAAACTTGTCAAAGTCATAAAACGAACACATGGCAAAGACTAGATCTGAATTCAGGTCTGCCTGGTCACAAAGGTAGCATTCCTTCCCTCTGCTTCAGATTTCAATCCTAACTCTGGGGGGCGCTAAGAAGGTCTTGAGTGTTCTTTTCCAGGTCATTTTGCTTAATTTAACAGTCAATATGGAAGGCCTTTCAAGTAACACACACCATGCTAGGCAAGCACCAGGGATACAAAGACACATAAGATACCCCCATGGACGGCTTCCTTATAACACTTTTAAGTGGCCCCAGAGGTATGCACAGGGTGCTAGAGCAGCACAGAGGAAAGGCATCTGGCACAACTGGGGGTGCTGGGAAAGATTTCTGAATACAATACCTGATCCAGCTCTTGGATCATGATGAGAGTAAGCTGTAGCCTCTATCACAGGGATCAGCAGAGGCAACTGGGAACACTCCCTGGGAGACAAGCCTTCAATTTAACAGAATCCAAACCTGCCCTTCAAAACACTCTAGACTAAAACCTCATGACAAGGGCATTAAGCACAACACCAAAGAAATTCTGAGTTTGGCTGGAATGATGATTTTTGGAGAAAAAGAAATGGCATAATCCAACTGATTCCCAGCTCATACAGAATGGGATTTTTAAGTGGCCTGGTCAGGCACTAAGTAACAGAAGCAATCTCAAAAACTGAGGAAAGGGTGCTCTATAAAATAACGTTTAAAATCTATCTCAAAACTGTGCCCACTGACAATGAGTAGCAAAAGAAGGTTTTATCTTCTGCCTCCTCAACAAAGTAAGATGGGCCACAGAAGATAAGAAAAGTCTTTCTAGTTCCTTCAATTATTTGTCTTCTTGTAAGAACTTCTAAATATTTATTGCTAATTGGGTTTATAGAGTTTCATCTACACAGAACTAATAATCTCATCTCTGGAGACTAACAAATTACATACAGACTACTCATAAACCCTCTGATGGTAATATTCAATACTATCTTGGATTTCGATATTCAATATTGAATTGAAATCTATATAAAAACTCGTAAACATGAAACTCAAGAAATCCTGCACTAAGAAATGAATTCTAACTGTTTTTAGATGGAAAGAAACTCTAATCACCACAGAGCAATCAGCTGATACTGCATACAAAGACAACACCATATAGATATGCATGTGTATCAGAGGGCATATGTGTATGTGTGCATTCTCTACGGTGCACTTCATATTCATCCACACTTACTCACCATTTTTGGTTAATCAAGTAGATACAGAGAGGGTAAGATGGAATCTCTATGAGGCCAGACAGGGCCAGGTTGGCATAAATACTTCCACCTAGATCACCCGCACTCAGAGTTAGGCCATAATACACCAAGCTGCACACAAACCTGCAATTGGGAGTCAAAGGACCAGGAGGTAAAAGACAAGAAGGACAACAGAAAAGTACATAAGAATTTGCCAGAGGAGATTCAAATATTGGTTCAATATAATTGCTTGATCTGCTGTAAGCAATAAGCTTGTCTCTCCTACTAATTTTTCTATTTTAATCTAAATTTCAACACTAGGAAAAAACAAAAAAATTATGGGGGTTTGGAAATAATTTGAGCTATGTCTATATGTTATATAAATCAAATGGATGGCCAGCCCCTTAAAGAGGAAAGACATTGCATGTGCTTTCAGCAAGCATTTCTGCAATTAATAGAACACAATGACCCTATTCTTTATTTAAGGCAACAATTTATGGAACACTTGTTATAGATAGTTGTAATATTATTGAAATGATTCTAGAAAAGAACTCCCATGGAGAAAGCCAACAGAAGATGGCCTTAAGAACATGAGCTGAGAAGTGACTGGATCTTCAGTGGGTCACCTGCAGGCCCAAAATGACTGGCACTCCAATCCCCAATGATCCAGACACTTCCCATTGCAGGTTTTAACCCCATCCTGCATTCAGCAGGTGCACATGATACAGACTCCCAGAACAGGAAAGAAAAATTAAAGGTCACAGCAAAGGCAGGATCTTCTAGGAGGAACAACCGAGGAAGGGTCACTTAAAAAGCCATTAATTTATTTATGTACACCGTTCCTGAAACAAACAGGGAGCTCCTCTTGGGTGGCAGGCATAGTGCTAGGCACCAAGCCTCTCTCCTACAATCCAAGAACTAAAGAGCTGAGGAAGCCAAGTGCCAACCTAAAGATCCAAATCAGGGCTTCCTCAAACACAGTAATGGTGGTAGTAGGAACTTCTATGCCTAGGAAACTGCATTATTAAAATAAAACAAAACAAAATAGAATAGAATGAACAAAAATAAAACCCTGAAACTGGGCTTTACAAAAATATGAATATGTTTGGTAAACCACAAATTTCTATACAAGCAGTAAAACACCGAAGCTTTGTTAAGTTCATCAGGTTTTATGCTTTTGCAACACAGTTTGATCAGTGTTTATTAAGGGGACATTCTCATTTGCTTCCCTTTAGTTTTCCTTAGAGAAACTCTAATGAGCTGTGGCTATAATGAGATCAGTCAGGAAAGGGAAAGTTTTATTTCCATCTCTGCTTAATCTCAGAAGTGGGCCAAGTACCCCAGGCTGTAGTAATGTAAGAAGAGAGAGAT
Source organism: Homo sapiens (assembly GCF_000001405.40). Classification (NCBI taxonomy): domain Eukaryota; kingdom Metazoa; phylum Chordata; class Mammalia; order Primates; family Hominidae; genus Homo; species Homo sapiens. The sequence goes on along the minus strand of NC_000001.11, from coordinate 116,033,959 downwards.
GTAAAGAGAAGGGACCCTCAAGCTGGAGTGGTTAGTAGTCCAGCCCTCCCTAGCAAATGAGCCAGAAGTATTATGCATGATTTCTTACTGAGATGAAGTGTTATTCATATACCAAGGACAACGGGCAGGATTGTAGCCAGGACATCACATGTAAGGATGCAAGGTGACACTGCATTGTCTGTTCTCACTGTCTCCCAGGTATCTTGCATGAAAGCAGAAGGCAAAATAAATTTAAATCCATGCAGTTTTCTAAAACGTTTTTAAAATCCCTTACACCTGCAGAAACAGCATTTACATAATGCTGTTTCCCAGTTGGTTTTCTGTGTCTGTTCTGCATTTACAATAGAAATTCCAGCCACACACACACACATACACACACACACACACACACACACACACACAGAGACACCCCTATTTAAATCAAGCTGTGACAGTATCAAGTCAGGGCAAGAATAGACAAGCCAGTTCAGGACAATAGTGGAATTTAGTTCCCAGCTGGTGGTGAGAGAGAACGGGGAGAGCATGAAGCATGGAAGGCCCATTGTCCCCAGGGCTGGGCCTCTGCTCTGCAAGTTGCCTTCGTCATAGAGTTGGTCATTGGGATCCATAATTACAGCTATTAAAATCATTTCAATCCTCTTTATGTCCCCCAAACAAAATCTAAAATGCTTGCATAATATTTAACAGTATATTTAGAGCATCAAATAATTATTTAAAAAGGCACTATTGTGGAAAATAACTAAAGGAACAGATGTTTAACACAGAGGTATAATTTGAATCCCCAGTTAAGGCTTTCTTGAATGACAGATCCACAGAGAAGATTTTAGAATTTTATAGCATCTTCAAAAAGAACGGCAATATGTGGAGTGACTGTCTCTATTATCACATGTTTTAACATTCTCAGCCTCAGGGAAGAAGTTTATTTGGCTGTGTAAGAAATAAAATGAACAGGGACAGTTTCCCTGGCCCTAAGTCTAGGGTTTGTTTGTTTGTTTATCCATTGAAGGCCAGAACCCAGAAGTTAATATACATGGGGGAAAAAATAAAAATAGTGAATAATCTGCAACAAGTAGGTGGTTCCTCCAAGGCAGAGGTTGACTGACTGTCTATGTGATACACAAATGTAAAGTTTTATGGAGCCCTAAGTACCTGAACATACTTTGTAAGTATTTGCTTTTGAATGGGTAGAACCTCAAATTAGCAGCTCCTATGTTGTGTTGTCAGGTTTGGCTTTCAACGGTTTTCTTAATCTCCATGCCTCCAAGCCTCAACATTTATTATGCATCTGTGATATTCCTAGTGCTGTGATGGTTCTGTGGGGGAAAGCAGCAGTTGGTTAACATGGCCCCCAACCATACAGGTGGCAGCCACTGCTTGGGTAGAAAAAGAGTATATGATATAGAAAAATATCTTTGCAGCTTCTTATTCTAAAGCTACTATTCTTTGTAGCTTTATACATAAGATCACTTTCATATAAAATCACTTTCCTTTATCCCTGCATGAAATGTAGGGCTCCATGCAGGCTTCATGGCAAATACATATAAGCCACAGCACAACTGTCCTTTAGGCTAGTAGGTATGATTTTGCCCAGATAACACTTATGGCACATTAGCAGTATGTACAATATCAAAACACATGTGCAATCCACAAATTGTATGCACCCATCCATTTCTCCTCTTTCTACAACTTCATTCTTTAAATGAAACCATCTTGAACCGCTGAATGCAACTTACACTCACGCTGAGAGCATTTTGAAAGGTAGGTGGGAATAAGCTAAACAACCAGAAAAATCAGGTTCAGAAAGTGCTCATCAGTTCAATCACTGATTTACATATGTGGCTTAGGGTTCATCACTTCAAACTCCTGGGGTCCCATCTGTACAAGGGATCATATTTAGCCCACCTCAGTGAGTTAGTGAGTGGGAGTGCCACAGAAAATGCAGCATGGAGCACCGCAATCAGAATGTGCTAGCAAACTGCTTGATGCCAGTGCCAAAGGTAAGTATTTTTAAAGTCCTATTTAAAAACTCATCTATTTCTACCATGCTTATTTGCTTTCTTTCCTTTTTTGCAGGGGAAGGGGCAGGAAGGCTTAAATATTTATGATAAATACCTCAAAAGCAAAGATGTGCTTCTGATGTCTACTTACTCAAGCTCAGTGGACCTGCCCATCAGGCACTATCATCTGCTACTTGAGAAAGACGGGGCTGCGCAAGCAGAAAACCAGGCGCTAAGGATCAGGAGACTTGCTGTTGAGAAAACAACCTCAAGCTAACAAAAGAGGTAAAATTCCCTGTACCCTGAAGAAGGAGCAGGATATCAAGAGAAGCTCGAGCAACCTTAGTTAAAGAGCAACAGAACACGCCTTAGTATAATTACCAGATGAACATCAGGATCAAAGTGTGTCCTAACAGGACCCGGTAACGAAAGAGATCCAGGAAACTTCCAGTCTCCCTGCAGCTCCTGTTGGCTGGGTGTGTTAGTGAGAACGTGCACTTGAGTTTGCGGTTCCTCTTGGCAATGAGGTACAGCGCCTCTTCAGCCTCACTCAGTCGACCCTGGGAGTATAACCAACGAGGTGATTCAGGAATGAATCTGAAAGAGATGTCATTAAAGCCTGTATATTCATATAGGTACACGTGCACAGGAAGGAGACAAATCACCTACTCAGTACGTGGATTCCTGCACCACAAATGGGATTCCATGTTAGACTTAAAGTTTGACTCTCCCAATAACATATGAAAGGGCTACTTTCAACAGCATGCTAACATTAAATGGTAGTCTACTTTATCACTGAAAACCAAGAACATGCTTTACAATTGCAGTTTAAAAAGCAAACAGTATGCATTTATTTTTAAATAAATTTTAATATGTGAATTTTAATATGTTAAATATTAACATATTATTCAGTCTATAGGACTGAATAATGAAAATTCTTCATAAAGCACAGGTCAAAGATATGGCTCTAAATCCTAGCCAAGTGTTGTTTGAAAATACTGTAGAGACAATGGGTTTTTTTAAGTTCTAAAAAAGCCTGACAAGATAGAAATCTTTATTATCTCATCAGGAAAAAAAAATTTAAACTGAAATATTTTTAACATAGTGACATGTAGGAGGTAGAGATTATCTTAAGACTACACATAAAGATGAAACCAAGTTTACCAAAGCTACTTTTGAGTGTTTACTGCTTCAAAATACTCAAATCACCTGACACACTGGCTTTAATATGTCCTGAGGATATTTCCTGATCCCCCAAGACCTTAAAGAATAGAAGTTATTTCCTGACCAACTTCTAGTTACAAAACAACAGTTATTTTCTAATGTAACTACAAAGTGTTGGATAATTATATTGCCATTGATATATTCAAAGAGTTTCAAAACTTAAATATTATGTATCTTTTTGCCTCTTCCCCATTTTACCTACACTTTCAGAGGACTTTCCAAAGACAAAACCAAGGCAGGAATATGGAAGCCTTGTTTACAAGACACAAATCAAGGTTGTTTTTTTTTTAAATCTAATTTGACATTATCTGCCTAAAATGAAACTTAGATGAATAAAACTGGCTATTTACGGTGCTTTATAGAATTCACTGTGCCTTCTAATAAGGATAGTGAATTAGGAACAAACACTACAGGATTTGGAAACTTAATGGACAGCCAGTCTGTCAACAGCCATTTATTGAGCATTTCAATTTTGTACAGAGTAATGTAATGGTGCTGAAAGGAAAGATGCTGGAAACCAAAAGGCAGGAGTTTTCCCAGGAGCTTTGCTACTGAGGAAAGGAATATTCACGCACAATATTTGACTGTCAGCAAAAGCAGGAACAAAGGCCATCTATAACATCCTGAAAAATCCTTCCATTTACTTCTTCATTGCCATTTGATTATTATTACGGACAAACAAATAAATAATCAAGTAAAACATTGTTCTGTTGAAGTTAGGTCTGCAGGTTATGAGTAGGATTTATTGGCCCTATCCATAGGGGCATATAGGAGCTATTACGTAAAACCACTTGATTATGTCTAAATGAAAGAGGACTACTGTGATAAATATTGAGAGAAAATATATGATAATAAAAATTATTTTGGGGAGGATTGGGAGGAATAAAAAAGAAACAACAGAAAATACGCCAAAATATTCACAGTCATTATCTTTGGGTTATATGTCATTTTCTCCTACCCTTAGCCTCTCTGTGTTTTCAAAATTGTTTATAAGCAATAAAAATTACTTTTAAAACTTTATAAATCATTTTAAAGCTGGTATTTGAGAGACACGAAGGCTTTAGAAATTCGGCTCTGAGTTAATAAAACTATTTCTACCTGGCAAAGGGTTTATCTTGATCATGAAAACTTACGGTCTTATATTTCTTTGCATTTTGAGAGGCCAATAAGCTTGCTTCTAAAGAGGGTCACCTAGTTGCCAGTGGACAGATTTGGAAACAGAGTTCCAACACACGCAGATTATACGTACAAAACAGTAAGACACGTTTTTAAAAGAAAGAGCAGGCCTTTGAACATGCCGTCCTCTACATAGCAGCAGGGTCATCTGTGCCGTGGGCTCCTTTGAAAGCTAAAATGCTAATTTAACAATGTTGCCCAACTCAAAACCGCTCCATGAATATCATTAAAGGTGGCAAATCTTTGTAAATTAAGGGGACCCTGGTTTTCAGAAAAAAAGTAAATCTACTGAAATTGAAGTATTGTGAAAATAAGGAATTTTTAAGCTAGGTAAAAATGTTTCTGGTAAACAAATAAGGTATATAATGTGGCTTCTTATGTTGCTGATTACAAATTCTAAAGGTGATTCCAAATGTTTTTGTGCCAACATTTGTGCAATGTCCAAGGATCTACTGTGTGGAAACCCCTGGCTTTGGTACTGGGGAAAATGTTATCATGGAGCAAAGAGCCTGCTACTGTTGGAGAGCTCTCAGTTTAGAAAGAGAGAACATGGCTCCATTATGAGGCAGAAACATAAGGGCCACTCAAAGGGTATGGGTGAATGCCGTGGAATTCAAAAAAGAAAGACAATGACTTGTAGCTGAAGCTATGATCAGGAAAAGATGGGGTGGACGGCATTTGAGAAAATCAGGACAGTGGTGTACTTATCAAATAAGAAGATCTGGGCAGAAGATTGTTGAAAAAGCAGACACAGCACTGAGTAGCAGCATGGAGCAGAAAAGCATAAGGAACAAGTAGTGCAGTGTGCCTGAACATAGGATGGGAAATTAGGAAAGATAAATGGAGGCTGACTGTGGGAAGCCTTACATTCCAGGCTTAGTGGAATAAGTAAATATTTAAATCTCATGAGTTCTTTTCTCTCTGCTTTCTATTTTTCACGACCTGAACTCACCTCCCAGTGAGGAGATGTTTCCACCTAGCACTAAACAGTAACTAGTTCAGACTATATATTTTAAAAAAAAAAAAAAAAAAAAAAAAAGCAGAACAGCTCAGATCATCCAGTGAAGTGGTGCTACTATTATACTATTAACGGGGAGATGAAAGCCAGATAAGATGGAGAAGTAGGAAATTTACGAAACATTTTAAAAGAAAATTTATTTATTCATCAATATTTACATAAATGTTTATTAATTCTAAGTACTATAGTAGGCACCCATTTATTACTTTCAAAAATTGACAATATACAAGTTAATAAAATCATATTAGTTTCCTCTTCTAATAAAATTATCTCACTCAAATTCATATAACTAAAAATACATTTAATAAATTTTATTTTTAAAATATAGGCCACTTCTACTCTATTCATTTTTGCACTTAACATTCTCTTGCTTTCAAAAATGTATGAAAAATTTCAGTTTAGTCCCCACCAAATCTCAATTTAGACCCCGGATAAAGAGTAAATAAATTAAAGAGCTGTCAGAATTAAAACACTACTACAGGTCTCCTTCACTTTATGGCATAGATGAAGGCAGGAAATACTGGCTGAAAATTTTGTTTATGTCAAAGATTTTGATGATTACCATCAGAGATCTGATATCTCAGGGAAGAAAAGCCTTTCATATACCACTTAAAAAATTCTGCCAGGCGCGGTGGCTCACGCCTGTAATCCCAGCACTTTGGGAGGCTGAGGTGGGCAGATCACCTGAGGTCAGAAGTTCGAGACCAGCCTGACCAACATGGAGAAACCCTGTCTCTACTAAAAATACAAAATCAGTCGGGCGTGGTGGCGCATGCCTGTGATCCCAGCTACTTGGGAGGCTGAGGCAGGAGAATCACTTGAACCCAGGAGGCAGAGGTTGCGGTGAGCCGAGATCACACCATTGCACTCCAGCCTGGGCAACAAGGGCGAAACTCCGTCTCAAAAAAAAAAAAACTTCTGGGGAAATGGTGGCCTGCCTTGTAACATCTATGTGTCTTAGAGGGCCATGGTATGACACCCTTGGGCAGTCATTTATAGAGTCCTTCCCTGACCAGGGAATCATCCTGCCACTGCTATGAGGCCGTGCACCCTAAGGATTTCTCCTATATCTAAGACTCTTCCAGAGTCAATGTTTAGAGGCCCTGAAATGACACTAATCTGTAGGATGAACAGTTGTCACTACATATCCAATATGAATACACTGTTCTACAAAATCATACCTCAGTCACACACCTAGCACATAATGTGATCCAGTCTGAAGACCTTTAAGGTTGAGGTATTAGGTTAAAAAAGCAATTGGTTGCCTATGCCAACAATGTGAAGGTTACAATGCAGTGTATTGAGAGGTTACTTTAAACAAGGGATACCTGCATTCTGAATTAATTAAGCATCTCTCTTCCCAGGAGCTGCCAAGAATTGGAGCACTTGCAGAATTTAGTTCTTCACCAAAGTCAGTGCAGGCAAGCTCCTGAAAGGGAATAATGCTGCTCATTGACCCACATCCTCTTAAGACATTGCTTTGGCTTTTTAAATTAAAACTCTAAGAGGAAAAACTACTTACAAAGATAAGAGAAAGACCACCGTTCCCTGCAGGTTAACCAGAATGGCTAGGGTCCTCCAGGAGCGGATGAAGTATCCTAACAGGGCATATTGGGCAATGCCAACTGCAAAGAACAGGCCGCCAATCGATCCTAATTCAGGGAAAAGAGAACTGTCACTGGAGAAAGCACCATCTGCAGCACCATTTCCAACCCCAAGTTACAGAGCCAATTTCTTCCTGGTGAGATGTCAGCCCTATGCTGGCAACTATAAGAGGCACACCAGAAAAGAAAAAAAAATCTACACTAAGTTGAACATCAGAGAATGAAAGTATCATAGAGGCCAGAAAATTAGTGGAAATAAAGGGAAGATAGACAAAAAATACAAACTATATGGGGATATATAAATTTTAAGAATTTGTCTAAATGCTTTCTGCATTGCCTGTTGTACTGACATTTGCCTGAACCTCTGGCTGAGGCTTGGAAATATTTTTGCCATATGGGTAATACGCTTTTCAGGTCATGAGGTTATTGCAATACCAGAAACTTAATCTTTATCACACAGGCTGCCCTTGAAGTTTCTTTCTTTTCTTTTCTTTCCTTCCTTCCCTTTTTTTTTTGAGACAGAATCTCGCTCTGTCGCCCAGGCTGGAGTGCAGTGGCAAGATCTTGGCTCATTACAACCTCCACCTCCCAGGCTCCCGGGTTCAAGCAATTCTCTGCCTCAGCCTCCCAAGTAGCTGGGATTACAGGCGCCCGCCACCATGCCTGGCTAATTTTTTTTTTTTGTATTTTTATTAGAGATGGGGTTTCGCCATCTTGGCCAGGCTAGCCTTTAACTCCTGACCTTGTGACCCACCTGCCTCAGCCTCCCAAAGTGCTGGGATTACAGGCGTGAGCCACCTTGCCCAGCCGAAGTTTCTTAAATCACAACTCACTCTCCCAATTCTCCCTACTGCCTTCTCTACTTAATGTATTACTATAGGATACATGACATTTTGTATTTATTTGTTTCCTGTCTTTCCCAAGTAGAAAATAAGCTCCCTTAAGCATGGATTTTTGTCAGCACAATGATGGAAAAATATCAACCATGGAATTGTAAAGAACCTTACGCTTTTTGAAATAAATATTGAGATGGGTATTAAACCCACAGGCTTGCCCAATATTCTTGCAAATTCTATACCTCTGACACACTTTCTATAAGTGCCACTACTGCTATTAGTGGTAGTAATAGCTATTATTTATTAAGCATAATGGTTTCACATACATTGTCCTATGAAGTAAGTACCATTATCAACCATATACTGAAGTGGAAAATAGCTCAGAGCGGTTAAATGAAGCTGCCTAAGGACACAGAGCTGTAAGTAGCAGGGCCAGGACTTGTGCCCAGGTTCTGTACCATTCCTCTCTTCTATCTCCCCTCTATGGAAAGGCAATTTCTGTGGGCATTCCACAGTGACAAAACTTTGTTGATCTTGTTACAAAAATAATAATCTTGTAACACATGTGTTTTCTTTGATTCCTATCCATTGCTTATTACTTTATAACAAATAAGTGATGGCTTGTATACTGTTTGACCTAGTGAGGAAAGGGAGAGCTAGAAAGGAAAGCTGATGTGACAGCATGTTCAGAATATGTGGTCCAATGAGTAGTGGGATGAGGACAGTGTGAGTTTCCTGGAAATTTAAGACAGTCAATAGCTACTACTGGTTCACTGCTGTAGATCAAACAGCACCTGGCTTCCAAGAATAAGACTTCTTGTCTATCATTGCTCAGAATAGTCCTGAGCACTCAGTATCCCTTGACAACAATGTAGGCAAAACCAAGAAAGCCCAGAGGAGGGATGGTTTCAGAGGAACCAAGTTCAGATCCTAGTTCTGTTACATACTACTCTGACCTTAGGCAAATCACTAAATATCCCCGAGCCTCAGTTTTCTTATTGGTGAAACAGAAATAACAGTGCCTACCTCATGTTATACAAATGTTCGATATTGTCCTAATGTAATCTGGATTTAGCCCTTCTATTTATTAACCTCAAAAAAAAAAGCCATCTGAAAGCCTCCTGTTGAATCTATCACAGAATATTTGCTACCTGGTTCTCCTTCCTAATTCCAAGAATGTCCCACCCACTGTTGGAGAACCGACTTCCCTGACTTCATCTCTGTGGTTCAAATGGGGCCTGCCAAGTATAGTTCCTCTAACTGCAGGGTGACCCCAATCAGCTGAGCCGATCAGAGGCCTTACCCAAGACTTTAAATACTAGACTTGGAGCTGCTGGGCCCTGTCTGTGACTATGCAGAGGAAGCTTCTCAGAGAGGATGGGGAGCTGAAATGAGAAGCATCTGACTTCTGGTTCTGGGCATCTTCAACGCCTGGTTCTTCATGGTCTAGTTATCCTAACCAAATGATTTTCCCTTATATATGAGCTCATTAGAATGACAACAGGGAGAAGGCGTAGAGATGAATATAATAAGGCTCTATGTTACTTGGTTTAAAAAATTAATAAAAAATAAACATTTCAAGTCATCTTTTCTGGAGTATCATAGGTGGCTTTATAACCATGTATATGCCTTTAAGTACTATGCCTATTTTAAAATTTATTCTCTGCTTATTTTTAATTAATTTCAACTTCGCTATTCCTGCTCAGTTTGCACTAGTAAAAGCTAAACTTCAGCAGGTTAGAAAAGAGTATATAGTTATGACTTCATTTTTGTAAACGGTACCAGTAATCCATCTTCAAATACAGACCATGAAGTCTCCTTGAGTTATTTTGCTCTCCCCATCTCTACTGGTCCTTTAGCAAGTCACTTTCCCACCAAAATCCAGCTCAGACACATCCTCTTTCTTCTCCACTGCTTCCATCCTGTCTAACCCACCACTGGTTTCATGTGGCCAACTATAGCAGCCTACTAAATGATCCCTCAATTTCTGTACCTACCAGAGTAATCTTTCTGTATATGAGACCCTATCACTCCTGTATTTAATATGCCCCACTGGCTTCCCACTGTACTTCAAGTAAAAAACAAATTCCTCATTTGGCCCATCACAGGCCCTGTATCATCTGGTCCCTCTCAGTTACTTCACTCTTTCCTTAACTCTCTACCCTGTAGTCATGAGAACGTTTTCAAAACTTTTCAAAGAAGTTCCTTCCTGCTTCAAGGCCTGGGTCTTTGCCATTCCATCTAGCTAGAATATACTTCTCCCAGAATTTCACAGGCCTGGGTCTTCCTAATCATTCATGTCTTAGATCAAACACCCACATCGAGGTTTTCTCTAACTATCCTATTTAATATAGTTACTCCCCACAATTACTATCTAGCCCATTACCCTGCTTCATTTTCTTCATTGTACTTCTAATTTTCAGAAATTATCAATTTGTTCCACTTTTCCTAAGTAAAGCATCAGTTCCATGAGAGCAAGAACCTCCCCCAAATCATCCCTGTCTTTTCCACCTTTTTATCTAAAAAAAGCAGTGTCTGGTACATGGCAGAATCCGTTTAATAAATGAATGCTGTGGAATAGACATGCAAAGGAAAAGCTCTGGAAGCATACATAGCAATATGTTAACCATGGTCGTCTCTAGGGGAATAGGACTACATGTATTCTTTAGTTTGATGACGTGTGCATATATTTCTTAATTATTTTCTACAATGAACATGAATTGTTATATGAAGACATTAATATAAGAAAACAAATAATAAATATATTAATATGGAATTTTTCACAGCTTCAGTATTTTTTGTTTTTCACTTCTTAATAATTTTCAGTCAATTAGCCAGAAATCCTTTTTGTTAAGTACTACAATGCAAACTGGTCAAAAATGGATGCTTGCAGTTCGTACTTGTGTTTTTTGGTATATGTTTACATATTGTTTTTTACATATTGCAAATATTATTTTGTAATAAGCATAATTTTTCAAACTAATTTTCATTGCCAAATAATCAGGCTATTTCCAGCAAATCCCCTATTGCTGAACATTTAGGGTTTTCTCTGACTTCTTGCAATTCATAAGCATATTTGAAGCCACAGGTGTAGATAAAATCATTCTGGAAAGAAATCAGCTTGAAAAGAAAGACCAAGGACAAAACCCTGGGGAAGACCTCGGTTCATGAGAGAGGGAAGGAAGCTACTCAAAAAAAGTTCCAGGTGCTATCAGAGCCTTACTTTGTCCTGGGTGCAGGGCTGTGTACTGGTCTTCAGGGAACTCTCATACATGCTCTCAATTTCACATTGAATTTGGCAACCATGTGGTTTCACTGTTACAGTTTTTCTTCCTCTCTCCCTTTTCACTTTGCTACAGAAATTTTGATAGTCTCATCTTAACCCAGCATCAAGGATAAGAATGAGAGGTCAAAACACTCCAAGGGGACTCTTTTCACTGGCTTTAGGCAACTAGCAAGAGAGCAAGAGACCAGGGTTGGTCCTTTCCCCTAACACATGCAATATGACAGGAAAAATACTTAGATAATCTGGCAGGGTGGGAGTGGTATACGTTTTTTATAAAACAGCATCTTCATGCAACGACTAAAATCAAATATAAATACTATAATGGAGAAATGTTAAGAGGTACAAGAAAAATATGTATTCATGGTGCTCTACATGAGCACAATTTTGGACCTCAGGAAAACTGAAATCAAAGGAGAGAGTGCCTTTTTCCCTTCCCTGGATACAGGGAGCAGGCATGATCACCATCATTACCAACTTCTTAGAAAGTCCCAGGAAATTGGCCATACTATTCAGAAAAATGACCCTAAAGTCTCAATGCAAATTGAAGACTCAGAGGAAGCTTTTTCACTCATCCCAGCTTAGGACCAGTTCCAAAAAGGCTTTCGAAGTTGCTACAGACAAGGTGAATCCTAAGGCAACACTGTTTGAGACCAGCAGGAAGCCTGTCTGGAGAGGATGGAGCTGGTGTCTCTTCCTCTCCAGCCTAGTTCTAACTGGTCCAACCCTATGGATCCTTCCACTCGACAGCTGTTTAGTGGAGATGCAAACAGACCACAAGTCTACTTTATTTAGCCTTGTGTCTTCCAGCTCGATACAATAGCCCATACACTTCAAAAACAACACCAGTTAGAAATAACAGGTTGACCAGGCCAGCACTCACATGAGGTGACATGCTGAAGTTCCAAGAGGAGAGTCTTTGGGGAACAGTGGAAGATGACCTGGGTGTCATCAAGACCCAGGTTGCAGTTCTGGCCCTGTCAGTTATCAGCTGCTGAAAACAGGCATGTCACCTCATCTCTCAAAGGCTCAATTTCATCATCCATAAAATGAAGGTAGGAATCCTTAACTTGTAAGCTCCGGGAATATTACAGATGGATGTCAAATGCCTAGCATGGTAGCTGGTACATAAGAGATGGCTGGCACTGTGTATCAGGTTCTAAGAAATGGCCTTCTCATATAGATCCTCCCAAAGACACATTTCCATCAGTCACACGGTCAACCTGTTTCCCATATCCATATAAGAACATCCATGGGAAACATTCAACCATTGTCAAGTGAATGAAAGTAAAAGAAACAAAAAGTTATCATTGCAAACCTAAGTCTATAAAGTCTTAGACACAGTTACTTCTCTTATGACAATATTTGAAATTAAATAACCTTTTAAAATCATTTATTTTACTATCTATGTAGTTCTTGAGAAAATAATGGGATAGTCAAAAATAATTCAGAATACAGTCTCAATTTTGGAAATTAAATATCAATAAAGAAATGCTACAATAGTACTATGTTGACTTGAGAGCAGTAAAAACAAAAAAGGGCTGTGAAACAAAAATTTAATAAACTAGAATAAAAAGGCTGTAAGAAAGGAGTTTCTAATATTTCCTATGTCTGCACTATTTTTCAGTTTAAGTTGTAAAAATTTGCTAGTGTCCTTCCGAGGAAATCAATAGTCTCCACAGTAATCTGTAGGCAGTCCATGAGGCGGATGGCAAGCTCACATGTGAGGCAGGCCCCCAGGAAGACTGTCTACAGAGGAATATTAATAAAATGACTTGTTCAGGGTCATACAGAACCAAATCAGAAAAGCAAATCTAATAGTTGGATAAAGTACCTCAAGTCCAAATGCATTTCCAGACTCTAGGATTAAACTGGGTCCCTATAAAATTTTCTGGAGCTGCTCACCCAGTCCAGAGCTGCATGATTTAAGTAGTACCTGCAAGTGCCCAGTAGGCGGTGCCCACACATTCATTAAGCAAGACAAAGGCCACCAGCGACATCCCTCCATTCATCATGCCCACCAGGAAGCGAGTTACTGCAAAGAACTCATATGAGGGGGAAAATCCATTTGCAATTGCAAATAAGATGTCAAGAGCAAAACCTAGAAAGAGAAAACAATATTCAATAATCCAGAGGCAAAATAGCATTTGATGAAAGTAATAAATTATATTCATTAGCTTATAAAATAAATGTTTGTAAACTTAAATTTTCTGAGCTGTTTTTGTGGGTTTCTTTTTGTTTTTTTTTGTTTTTTTGTTTTTTTTTTGAGATGGAGTCTCGCTCTGTCACCCAGGCTGGAGTGCAGTGGCACAATCTCGGCTCGCTGCAAGCTCCGCCTCCCGGGTTCACACCAATCTCCTGCCTCAGCCTCCCGGGTAGCTGGGACTACAGGCGCCCGCCACCATGCCTGGTTAAATTTTTTTTGTATTTTTTAGTAGAGACGGGGTTTCACCGTGTTAGCCAGGATGGTCTCAATCTCCTGACCTCGTGATCCACCCACCTCGGCCTCCCAAAGTGCTGGGATTACAGGCGTGAGCCACCGCGCCCAGCCAGCTGTGTGTTTTTTTTTTTTTTTAACAGCTTCTCTTGGAAACTATTTTTTTAAAAAACCATAAGGTTTACTTTATTACATGATTTCTGTCAATCACAGACAGTTTTCAATTATTCACAATAATGCTGGAAAATGAAAAACCCTTGCTCATACTCAGCTTGTCAAGAGCACTATGCCAAGTCCTGTAGAGCTCATTTGAAATGAATCAACACAGAGAGATATAAGGAAATGGGCCTAGTACACTGTCACAGTCTTTTACTTCTCTCCTTAGCAACATGGCATAAACTAAAATTTGGGGGTTGCAGAAAGCACCATCACCTATGAACGGTTTAGAACACAAATATCTGACTTTAACTAGGTGGGCTAGTAACTTAAAGGTGCCTGGCCAGAAGCACTCAAGCTGCAGTTTGGCCTCTTGCCAGGATAATAAAGATCAGTTCTGTGTCCATATGCCAATTCCCGGAGAACCTTAAGGAAATAGTCCCCTTATTATTTCCCTAAGAATCTTAGAGAAATAAGCCCTCTCATCCAGTTTATGAATACTCTAATAGATTACCTGTGAGATAGACTTTTTTCCTTCCGAAGCGATCTGAAAGCTGACCAAAAGAGATAACTCCAACAAATACACCACTGAAGAAAAAAGAGCTTGCTGCACTGACTTTGTAGGATCTGTTGGCAATTAAAAACCACTAGAGGAAGATAAAACAAAAGAGAGACATGTAGGATTCAGTTAGCTATTAAAAAACCAAATGTGCAACAAAAACTTGTACACCAGAATTTCTATACTGCATGATCCACTATTAACCAGAATTCAGTAGAATTTGTCTATCTCAGACAACGTCCAATCAGATTTTATCTTCAGAAACACTAGAAATCACTATTATTATGATGCACTCCCACAGTACTCTATACATATCTTATTACAGAATTGAACACAATGTATAATAGCTAATTACTTATGCATCTATTGACTATGTCCCACATCCTAAGGCTCTGTGTTTCTTGAGAGGAGCCTTGTCCCATTTATTTCCATTCTCTGATGCCTAATACACTATATGACATATATGAAGCAATAAATACATGAACTTTTTGTCCAATTGGCTTATGGGTTTAAAATCTCTTGAGTATTTCCCTCAAAAAGATTAAACACAGAATTACCATATGATCTGGCAATTCCATTTCCAGGCATATACCCAAAAGAACTAAAAGCAGGGACACGAAAAGATATTTGTACACCCATGTTCATAGCACCTGTATTTGCAATAGCTAAAGGTGGAAACAACCTGTGTCTATCGATGGATGAAGGAATAAACAAAATGTTGTATGCACATACAGTGGAATATTACTCAGCTTTAAGAAGGAATGAGAGAATAGCCAGAGATTTGTTAAAGGATACAAAATTACAGCTAGATAGGAAGAATAAGTTCTAGTATCCATATCACTGTAGGATGACTATAGCTAACAATAATATACAGCTTCAAATAGCTAGAAGGAGGATATCAAATGTTCCCAATACAAATGATAAATATTTGAGATGACAGAAATGCTAATTACCCTTATTTGATCACTATACATTGTATGTATTAAAACATCACCATGTAGCCCATAAATATAATTATGTCAATAAAATTAAAAAAATAAAAAGGAAGAGGCTGAGGGGGGCAGATCACAAGGTTAGGAGATCAAGACCATCCTGGCTAACATGGTGAAACCCTGTATCTACTGAAAAATACAAAAAATTAGCCGGGCGTGGTGGTGGACGCCTGTAGTCCCAGCTACTTGGGAGGCTGAGGCAGGAGAATGGTGTGAACCCGGGAGGCGGAGCTTGCACTGAGCTGAGATCGCGCCACTGCACTCCAGCCTGGGAGACAGAGCGAGACTCCGTCTCAAAAATAAAAAATAAAATAAAATAAAATAAAAAGGAAAAAAATTCTGATTCATGCTACAACCTAAACTCTGAAGACATTATACTGTATGAAATAAGCCAGACACAGAAACACAAATATAGCATGATTCTATTTATATGAGGTACCTGGAATAGTCAACTTCATAGAGGCAGAAAATAGAATGGGTGGTTACCAGGCGCCAGAAGGAGGGGGGAACAGGGAATTATTGCATAATGGAACAGAGTTTCAGTTTGGAATGTTGAAAGCGTCCTGGAGATGAATAGTGGCAATGGTAACACAGCAATTTGAATGTATGCAATGCATCTGAAACTACACACTTAAATGTGAATAAAATGGTAAATTTTATATCACGTATATTTATGACAAAAGAAACTCCTTTAGTATCTTCTACTTTAGGGAAACTTAGGAACTTAAAGAGAAAGCAACCATTCTCTGGTTAAAACACCACTATCTCAAGTCTTGTCTAGTGATGTGTTAAAGATGATATTTGGTTATAAGAATAAAAGTGAACCCATGTCACAGAATAACCTCAGAGAACCAAGAGACCACTCATCCTTCCTCTTCCTGGTCCCCTTCGCTAGAATCAGTGCTGACAGGTGTGTGAAGGGCTCCTCCTCCTCGAGAACTTGCAATAAAGAATCTTCAGTTGCTCTCTCCACTTTTCAGATCACTCCCTTCTGATGCTTCCACAACCAGTCATCATGGCTCAAAGTACATCTAACTTCTCTCCTTCCCTCCTAGTCTTGTAAGACTGGATTGATAAAGGTCTTGACAAGACAGCTTCTGGACATCTCTATGCAAAACCACCCACCAAAAGGCTCAGGAATTGGGAAAAACAGATGAGAATAATGTCCCCTTACTAATGTATGCTTTACTTCTGAATTCCATTCTTCACATGCAATTCTTAACAAGGTAAATTAGCTGGTTTTCCTAGCCATTCTTGGATTTACTATTTCTTTCTTTCCTTTTTTTTCTTTTCTTTTTTTTTTTTTTTTGGCAGGGTTTCACTCTGTTGCTCAGGCTGGAGTGCTGTGGTGCCATCACAGCTCATTGTAGCCTTGACTCCCCAGCCTCAAACAATCTTCTTGCCTCAGCCTCCCAAGTAGCTGGGACTGGAGGGAGCCACTTTAAATACGTGGTTCAGGGGAGGATTCTGGGCGGAGGTGACATTTGTGACCTGGATGATGACAAGTAACCAACCACAAAAAAACTCTTCGGGGAAAATAATTGCAATGGCCCCAGGTGAAAACACACCAGTGTATCTCTAGTGGAGGTGGTATGAAATTAGGCCAGTGAAGCAGGTGGGCATCAGATCATGCAAGGTTAGGCCACAGTAAGGAGCTGAGAGATTTTATTCTAGTGCAAAGAACGAATATTGAATTACTA
Organism: Homo sapiens; assembly: GCF_000001405.40. NCBI lineage: Eukaryota > Metazoa > Chordata > Mammalia > Primates > Hominidae > Homo > Homo sapiens. The sequence goes on along the minus strand of NC_000001.11, from coordinate 116,016,977 downwards.
GGTTTATGTTTCTAAAGATCACTCTGGCCACTTTATGAGAATGCAATATGATAGCAAAGAGTGGAAGCAGGGGAGTTACAGTAATCATTTAGGAGATAATGATGGCTTGGATGAAGGTGGAAACAGTGGTGATGGAGAGAACTGAATGGACTTGGGATGTATTTTGAAGGCAGGACTGTCAGATGTTGTGATGGAGATGCAGTAGGAGTAGGAACGAATGGAAGAGTCACCTAAATTGTTCATTTTAGCCACTCTCTGGGTGGTTGTGACATTTATCAAGACAGAGAAGGCTGCAAGGGGTGTTAGGTACATGGTGGGAATTCAAGAGTTCTGTGTGAAGAAGCTCAGACAGAGCACGCATATAAAACATCTAAGTAGAGAAGTCAAGCAGGCATTTGGCTGGGAGTCAAGCTCATGGGAGAGGTTATGAAGGTTTATGAAACTACAGATACAGGCTGGGTGCAGTGGCTACGCCTGTATCCCAGCACTTTGGGAAGCTGAGGCCGGTGGATTGCTTGAGCCCAGGAGTTCAAGAGCAGCCTGGGCAACATGGCGAAAACATGTCTATACAAAACACACAAAAATTAGCTGGGTGTGGTGGTGCACACCTGTAGTCCCAGCTACTCTGGAGGCTGAGGTGGCAGAACTGATTGAGCCTGGGAGGTTGGGGCTACAGTGAGCCATTACAGTGAGCCTGGGAGGTTGGGGCTACAGAGTGCCATTGCACTCCAGCCTGGACAACAGAGTGAGACCCTGTCAAAAGAGAGGTGAGAAGAGGGGAGGGGAGGGGAAAGGAGGGGAGGGGAACAGAGAGAAGAGAGGGATAGAAGAGAAGAGGAGAGAAGGAGAGAAGAAAAGAGAGAAAGAAGGAGAGAAAGAGAGAAAGAAAAGAAAAGAAAAAGAAAGAGAAAGAAAGTTTCATATAAAAGAGATTAAAAGAGCTCCAGCATTTGAAGAAAAAATTTTGTTTTGTAAAAAATTAATTTATTTTGAAACATGGATAGTTCTGTGGTAGGATTTTTGACTCATGAGGAATGCTTACGGTAACATTTTACCAGGTCTAAAAATAAATCAATATGAGATATCAGGTTGTCCTAGAAAAGACAGGACTGTATCTGTCACAGGGAGATCCCTTCTTTTACAGTGGCCAATGTACACAGCTTAATTGTACTTGTTCTTAATACCTTGAAATTCAAACACTTGCTTTTTTTAAAATTTATGTTCTTAGTGTTTGTTTTAGTCTCTTCATGCTTTCAAAATCTGGCCTGCAACTTTAGTCTTCATTAACCTGCACCTCAAGTTTTGCTAGTCTGTTTACACGGCCAAGATACTGATCTTGGCCTGTTTTATTGATTAAACACGAAACTGATCTGTTTTGTGCTTAATCATTAAAAAATGGCTAATTTGAAAACTCCATAATCAACTATTCTGTTGCCTCATTTGCTGAACTTCTCAGATCCATGGAAAAGGCTACAATACTATCCTTTTAAGTGGATAGCTGTCAACTTTTGTGGCAATTTTAGGAAGAAGTAGCCCAAGGGATGTTTGAGCAGCAAATTCCAAATTCTGATTCTCAGGTTGCCATTTCCAAGTGTCAAAGTAACTGCTAGTAATTTTTCTTCATGTCAATGCTAGTTGAGCTCATGTGTCTCTCTATTACTCTTGGAATACATGCAGGAACTGACAGAAAAATGGAAAGACAGATTTTTCAAAAGCAAATTAGAGAATGTGAAGCTGGAACCCAGATCTCCCTGACAGATCCTAGTGAACTGGGGATGGTTGACACAGGGATGCCAACTCACAGATTCAGAACAATGGGTTGACAACCAGCCCTCTGCATCCTTCATCTCCCAACATGTGAGATATTGGTTTAAATGTTTTGTTTTGCCCAATTTTAAAAACTTTTCAAGTATTGTTGATATACGTATCACATACCTACTATGTGATCTAAGGAGTTTTATTTTGTCAAAGCCCAGAGAAGATACACTAGGATATTGATCCCTATAGTATTTGAGAAAATGTACTGGCGTAATCTATACTTAAAGTTTTGGAAGGAGCTCACTCAGCAGACTAGACTCAATTGCTAGCTCATTTTCTTCCCCCTTTGGTCAATACTTAGTACTAGGATAAAACCCAAACCAGGATATTACCAGGTCATTTTAAGTTAAACTATAATAAACCTAAATATGATAAGTGTGGCTCTCAAGAAATGTGTTTTTTATGAGTCTTTAGATTTTAAAAATCACTAATTTATAAGTCATTCAAATGCTGTTGAGTAGAGATTATTAAGGTGATGAATTTCGTATTATCTTTTGTTAATAATAGGCCAAATTCTAAAGCCACAGAATGAATGTTCTTTTTATGTTAAGGTACTTCAAATTGAAAAATCATTTGCAAATTGAAAAAGCAGGAAATCTACTTTTCTTTTCCCATATATTAATAGAAAAGGAGGACTATAAAGACAAAATATTTTCAGTCTCTCAGGCTGACTTACATCTGTTTTATAACCAGCATCTGTATTTTTGTTCTTATACACTAAATTGAGTTGAGCATTCAATATACTCTATTTTCAAAAAGGATTTGAGGGGCACAGCACTAAAAGCACTCGTATAATCATTCACTGATCTAAAGAAAGTGGACCTGAGAGAAAATCAGGCACAACTGGGGGCAGAACCAATAGCAGGTGCCTCTAACATAAAAGATGAAAGGAACATAAATATGGCAAATACAGGTGTGAGCACAGAGCCAGGGCTATGCAGTGCCTTCCAGTTCCTAAAGAGGAAAAAAGCTAGGTGAACAGAAGTGAAGGGGGTTGAGACAGAGACACTCTTGGCTGGGTACTAATGAAACATTTGGAGGTTTCTTTTTTTGATATTTATATTCTTACTGCTTAGATGCTGAGAATAAATGGCATGTCCTGATAAGGGATAAAGTACTGGCGTACATCAAGAAAAGCTGCTTTAGCTGCAATACAGAGAACAGAATGGAGGTAGCAAGCATGTGAGCGGGAAGATCCATCAAAGGCCATTACAACCGTGCAGGCCAGAACTGGAGACTTCCAGAAGAGAAAGGATTCATGCTGGATATAGATGCCTGGAGTTCAGAGGTGAGATCTGGGGCGAGTCATCCATGAACAGGTATTATTTGAAGCCACCAGGATGGATTAGGCCAACCACAGACTGAGTGGAGCTTGAAGATAAATTTTAAAGGAAGCAACCAAATGTATCTTTAGCATCTCTCTTAAAATCATAAAACCTTAAGCTTTATGGACATGTCACAAATCAAATAAATCATTTTCCTGAAATACAAATATAATCTGAAAAAACAAAATATTGCTTTAAAATGGACCACATGCTTATGTAATCCCCAAAACAAAATTAACATCTGAGTAATGAAACAATGTATATCAAAGATATGTCAAAGAGGAACGCTGCCATATCTTATAACCAGATAATAACCAACGAACTTTCACGTAATACTCTCCCCTCATCCCCAAGAGCCAGCCTTTGGTATGTAAATTACAATATATTGGCTAAGACTTTCTATTTTTTCACCCTCAGCATGTGTTCCATTCAGGAAGCTATGGAAAAAGTCAACTGAGTACTAGAGGGAATACTAGAAATAAGGGGTCCTTTTGACTTAGACAGGGTAACAGAATCAGATGTCACTAAAAAGGAGCGGGAAGGAAGAAAAGGAAGGTTGCATGTCAAGCATGAAGTGAGGGTTATGGCCTGTGTGCTTGGGGAACAACAGGGAGAAGGCTGGGGATGAGGGAGAAGAGAATATAGATGCCCCTCGACTTACGACTGGGCTGCCCCCAACCCATGGTAAGCTGAAAATATGGTAAGTTGAAAATGCATTTAATGCACCTAACCTACCGAACATCATACCTCATAGCCTACATTAAATGTGCTCCAAACACATTATCCTACAGTTGGACCAAGTCATCTAACACAAAGCTGACTTTATAATAAAGTGCGGACTACCTCATGTAATTTACTGAATACAGGAGAGCACTGTAGAGAATAATATCACTTGTTTGCCCTCAAGGTCACATGGCTGACTGGGAGCTGCTGCTGATGGGGAGCTGCCCAGCATCATGAAAGAGGATCCTTCCACACTTACTACTAGCCCAGGAAATGATCAAAATTCAAAATTGGAAGTACAGTTTCCACTGAATACTTTTCACTTTTGCACCATCATAAAGTCAACAAATCATATGTCAAGCCATCCTAAGTTGAGGACCACCTATAATGTGTTTTAAAATCAACTTCCAAAGTGGTTATTTTCATATTTGGCTGATCTTTTGTTTCAGCGTGTATCTTACTCCACAGTGTGTGTTTTAAATACAAATACCTAATAAATTTCCATTTTTTAATTGACTTGTATCATTTACACTTACTGTCTATCTGACATCCTAGTGTACCCATATGACACAAACAAGCCATCTCCAGGTTTCTTTCTTTTCCTTCCTCCACCGAATAGCCCTGTGCTGTTATTATTATCCTTCCCTACTGTATTAGAGCACAGGGATCAGGAGATATTTCTTTTTTTTCTTTTTAAGGGACAGGGTCTTATTTTGTTGCCCAGGCTAATCCATGAACTAGGAGATATTTCTTAAGTTGATCATGAATATTAGGAAGACCAAAGAGCAAGAAGGACCTCTGTCATACTGACTCCGAGAACTGAGACACATATCCAGCCTCTACTCTGAGCAACTTCTCCTTGGCTCTGCAAATGTGATAAATTTGTCTGCTTCCGTTTTTTCCTGTGACCTAAACAACCCATTGTAGGTTTTTTATTTCTTCTTCTAATTTATAGTGACATTTCATGGAATAATAGTTGAAAAACATGCTATAATCACAAACCACTCTAATGAAGGGAGAAGTGAATGGTAAAGAAAAAAATCATTTACTCCAAGCTTTTACAAGCAGTGGGTCATTTCCCTCCCACAAGTGGGCTTTGCCCTTTCTTGCCCTCCCTGTTTTGGCTCAGGGCAGGTGACTGACTCTGCATCTCCCACAGATGAATAATGTAGGACCACTGTCGTGCAGAAGTCTAGGTAAGGGTATGGTTACCCAAAGAAAGGCAAACAGATTTCTCATTCCACTTTTGCCATGAAGCATGACACCTGCCAAAAAGACCACTCTCAGTATGCACTGTGCCCTCCTCTCCCCACTCCCCACTTGCATCCCCACCTCCTCCCCCGTGAACTATTCATTCTCCATGACACACCTTAAGTCTCGTCTGACTTACCCCAGCAGAGCTTACCACTCTCTCCTTTCTGCCACATCACCCTATTTTTGCTTTACAATGATGCATGGTGAAGTGTGTCCATTTGTCTCTCCCCTATGATGCTGTGAGATTCTTAAGGGCATATTTGTATCCCCCATGCTAAACTTACAGTGTCTGTCAGCACTAATTAATTATTTGCTGAATTATTTATGTAAGAAGAGCAAGTGCCATCGTCTTATAGGCATCTTCACACACAATATCTCCAGGTCATGACTTCAAGCATCAGGTTGTGGGTTTACGGGCATACAGGGAACTACCTAATTGGTCACCATTTCCTTGGAGCCACCGAATGCCATTCTCTTGAAAAGGAGTGTAGACAGATTTAGAATTTGAGGGGGTTTCCTTCTTCCTATAGCCAATCTGACAGCTAGAATACTTGATTTTATCTTTAGCCCCTGAAAGCACTTTAGCTGGTCCACAAATATCCCCACTGAGAGAAGGATATACAATCATGCAGGGATAAGAAATGTGCCATGGATGATTCACAGTATATCAAGGAACCTGCAAGCCAGGCAGGGGCTGTGGCAGTTTAGACAGTAGTACCTAGCCCCTCAGCTGGCTGCTGTATCCCTTCTAAAAGGCAGACTTTTTCAGGGACCCACATAGTTCACTAGTCCCAACACAGCCTTCTCTGAAAGGAGGACGCACCACATGACTGTTCAGGGCATAGCCCACCTAATCATAAAGGAAAGGAAGACAAAGGGCAGGTCACCCTGGTTGTCCAAGCAGGTCAACCAAAATGGGCAAACAAGACTGGGCCCGTGCCTATTGATCGAGCCTCTTGTTGCTGGAGGTCATGCTTTGATGAAAACCAAGTCATATTATAACTGCCACAGCCCTACCCAGACTCCTAGCTTGTCAGTATTTCAAGGCTGCGGGGATGAAGCCAATAGCAGCTTCCTAGGATCCCTGCAGCACATCCATGAGGGCTCTACGCAATCAGAGAGTCGCTATGGTCTCCTGTGAAAAATTCTGAATGGCTCTGATAACAATTCCAACCAAACTTCAGCCCTCCCCTGGCCTGTATTTAAAATAAAAATAATTACAACTTTGTACATGAAAATCTAACTTCAGGAGAAAATCAGGTAATCAGAGGCCTCCTGTGACTAGGGAGTACTTGGACAGGGTATTTCAGGAACAGTTTCATGGTGATTAACTAACTTGCTTCATTTCAATGTAGTTGTCACTCTGAATTACCACTTAATGGGTGAAGTCTGCAGGCTATAACAGTCAGTAGTACAGGCGTAAGGAAGCAAGACATTAAAAAAAATTAGCCCCTAAAGCAATTAATTGCAGTGAATTTTTCAAATAGTTTTAATACTCTGTCTTTTGACCCCAGGGTATGGCTTGGGGAAAATATATTAATCTCAAGATAACAGTCAGTCAATTTCAGCTCTTCAATATCCACAGTGATATTAAGAATTCCAACCTTACACTTTTTGGTTGCAAACATTAATTAAGCATGATAATTGTGTGTCTCCGTGATATTTGGTGCTTTCTGAATGAGTCAGAGCTCAGGGAATAATCTGAATACAGCAGACAGCAATTTGCTACATAAATTCGCTCCAATAGCTATTAGCTCATTTTAGAATAGTCAAGACTCCTAGATTAGAGTTTTGCATTAAATACCAAGTTAATCACATCCACCTAACCTTTTATTTGCCCTTCCCAAAAACTCTTCTAAAGAAACTTCTGCAAGGCCTGACCCAAGTGTAATAAGGTGCAGGGTAGACGTTAAAAATGTGTGTTTTTAACACAGTATCTTTAAACTATAGAGTTTCGTAGAATCTCTCTTAATATTTATCTTCCAAAATTTTATGTGACGGGTCAACAGGGCTTCATATTTGTTTTTTAACTTTGATTTCAAACAAGATTATTTCAATATGAACCAAACATTACCTATATACCACAGATTATATATTAAGGATATTCACCAACTTAGTGACATGTTTAGGTACCAATTTCAATACTCCTTTAGAGATTTGCAGGAGCAAGTGAGAGTCTAGTGAAGTCATTGAAATTGACTTAATGCTAAGAAATTAAGTGGAGGTTTTAGTTTGGCACTGCACTTCATTGTAATAAGGATGAACTCAACACAGTGCAGAGACTAGTGGTTCCTCAAGAACACCGGCTAAAGTGTAACTGATGCCAACATGCTGCCTGGTGCTGCTGGCCTTGGCTGCCCCTTGATCACCATTCACATTATTCTCCATTCTGCTGCTGTCTCTCCTTGATTCTTATCATTTTGTTAGCAGCAGCAGGAAACTTTCAAGCTACCTATACCACACCAGCACTTGGAACAGCACCCAGACAGGCCTCTAAAGCACAAAGCAGAAGTACAGTGCGTGAACTAACATATAATTCACACTCTGAACGGTGGGACGGGAGCACACAGCACAGACACTTCATTGGTACCTCAATATAAAGGACTTCAGGAAAAACAAGAGATTCTGTGTTAAACATGTGAAACAGAGGAGGCCTTTGTTAGGTCTCCCTGAATCTATTCAGAGAGGAGAGACATAGTGAATGTTGTCACTGGGGCAGGTGGTTGCGGGGCTCTGAGAATACAGTGAACTGCTGAGAGTATGAGACTTAACTATTGTTCATTCTATTTAATTCTCCTTTGTTATTTTTTGTTCTGTTAGGAAACATGTACATTTATTTGAGCTTGACCAGCAATAAAGCTTAATGTAATCATTACTACTTCCACCGTACTTGAGTGGGTTTTGTGGGGGTGGAACACTGGCCAGGCTCCTCATGAGTCTGACACACATGCCCCAGGTCACATCACCTTGTAGAAGGCAGACGCTGACACCACTCACAGATGGGCTGCCTGCCTGGCCTCCTTCTTTCTGCTGGGCCCATGCCACAGTGGCCAGGCTTGTTTACTAACTGTGGGGCACTGAGGAGGTCACCCAGCTACTCTGAGCCCATGTCTTCTTCCCTTTTTAATTAGCAGACTAGTATTATTGCTTTCCCTTCTCCCCTAGAATTCACTCTGCCCAAAGCACTCTCAAGCAGGTGACTGCGAGCATCTTATTTAGCTTTCAGCCTAATGTGTTGGGGAAGAAATGAAACTTTTTATATGAGGAATGTGAGCTCTGCCTAAATTATTGGGCCCAGAGAGGCACTGGAATGAAGCAGCAGTCATGTCCCCATCTCCCCTTGAGCCAAGTATCATCTCTTGAAGCTGCTTGCTATGTGGACTCTAGATTGATGCCACTGGTAGCTATACATTAACCTAACAATGCTACACACTGGACACCATAACCCCTACTCTATAGTTCAACAATATAAAGCCAATTACTGATCAATGTTATTTATGTAAACTAATGAAAACTCCTAACAAACAATCTTGTATCCACCCACTCCTTGTTCCTCTTTTTGCCTTTAAAAGATTACTTGCCACAAAGATTGAAAAGAGCGCTTCCTACAGTAACCGGGAAGTGTTTCCTGGGCAGCTGTGCTCACCCTGGCTCAAAGAAACTCTTTAAAATTATATTTTGTGCCTCAGTTTCTTCCTTTAGGTTGATATTTCATGCCCCATACACTATCTCCCCACGGTCACTGTGCTAACTGTTCTCAAATCCGCCAAGGCATACTCCCATTGGCTCTTCCTGTCCCTTCACTGCCAGTGAGCCAAGGGGCCCAGGCAGAGTCGATCTTCACCCTGTTCTCATGGACATGTTTCTGGGGCTGCCACAAATGGCTGGCGGTGGCAGAGGTGCTGAGGCCCTGGACCCTACTCCTCTGCAATGACAACAGCAAAGTATCTAGCTCTTCTAAATACTGAAATGCCAACTAAGATACCATTTAAAACTAAAGGCTTCTATTCTTTTTTGTTTTTTAAAAAAGCTTGAAAATCACTAGTGAAGTGGAAAGAATATGAGCTCATTGAATCCCAGACTAGCAGCTTATTAGGTGTATGATTTAGGGAAAATTCTTTAAATTCTCTTCATCTGTTATTTCACTAATAGAGTGGGGTTGTTGGTAGGACTAAATACATAGCATCTATGGAAGGCCTCTGGCAGAGAGACTCCCATCCCAGAGTGCATTTTTAAAAAGTGGTTAGCTGCCTCTTCCCTCTCTCCTATACCTACCAGACCTTATATAAACTTATCTTCTTACCCACAAACTCAGTGCAAAGTATGGAATGATCTTGTCACAGCTGAGGATCCCATGGAGGTTGTGGAGTTCTGTCCTGTTGTGTGGGTCAGTGATGCCAACTGTACTCCTCCAACAAGTAGGCAGGCCACAGCCACCCTTGCAAAGCATCATGAACCCACTCAGGCTGAAGCAGCCAGTTCAGCATCTGGAATGCTTAAAAGATAATTGATCCCAAATCATGACCCCAGAGTTCCCAAAGAGCCCTGAGGGAGGGTGGAGGTGCCACGGGGTGGCAGTATGAGGATCTCATCTAACTGTGCAGCAGGGACAGTCCATGCCCTGCTCCCCATGTTGTTCTGGATACATCTTGGAGCACCTGCTGGAGACTGAGGGTCACTATTTGCACAGGTAATTTGTACCTTGAAATAAACCTCTGAGGGTGGATAATTTTTTGACACCCTGGTGGGATGAGGAATATAATGTGTACCTCTATATCATGGGAAGAAAGTACCAAGTATTTAGAAACGTATAATTATCAATAACTATAATCAAGGTGGATAATAACATATACATCCCAGTCTACGCATCTCAGTGGCTACACATGATGGGAATGAGAAAGAGGACAGATGAATAACACAGGAAGAGGGAGGGAGACAGGGTGAGGAAGCGAGGGTGAGAAACAGAAACAGAAAGGCACACAGAGGCAGAAATGATAAAGACAGACAGAGGGAAAGGCAAGACAGAGAGTGAATGCAATGGATACAGAAAGAGAAAGAGAAACAGAAACAGAGAGGTAAATACAGACAGACTGAGATGAAGAGACATGGGAACAAGCAGAAACAGACACAAACAAAATGACAGAGACAAGAAAGAGCAATAAGGACAGAAGGTGGGGAGAAGAGAAGGAAAGGAGGGAGGGAGGGGACACAGAGATACAGATTGACAAAGACAGGTGGCAAGGGAGACAGCGATTCTTAGATGCACCCCAGTGGGCTAAGATTTAGGTAACAGGAAGGAAAAGACGTAGCTACTATCACAGGTGGCAAGGTGAAGGCTGTCTCAGCCCTTAATTCTTTTCCTCTCAGAGCTGCTTTAAAGATCTTCAGCACTTGCCAAGGAAGCCATTTCATTCAATTTCTCCTGTTTCTAACACTCTTTATCTTGAGAGTAGTAGTTCCCTGGGTTCCCTTTAACTAATTCACCCTTCCTTCTGTCTTCCACCTTCAGTCGGGCACTGTTTATTGTGAGATCCTAGAAGTCAGCATAGGAGATACAGTGGGGACCAGGGTGCCTCATCCCTGTTGTCCTGGAGTGCAGGATCTAAGAGCTCTCTCTTTATAGCAAGCCTTCTCTAACATAAGGCAGGTAACAATTGCTCAGTGAACACTTGTTAATAATGGTATCCCTCTGGAAATATCTAAAAGGGCTCCTAATTATAGATTAGGATACATACAGTGGGATATTCTACATAAATGTTGCTTAGGTCAAGCTGTCACCCTGGTACCACAAGCATTCTAATCAAGATTGCATTGTCCAGTGGTGGTCAGCTGTCCTTCTCTTCAGAGAGCCCATTCGCCAGCAGGAGCTACTATAAGGGGTTGTCAGAAATGAGTGCTTTGCTTATTCTTGATTAAAATAGCAGCCTATTGACTAGTAATAATGAATACCAAAAGTGGTCTAACACTGTGAAATTGAAGGCATTCAAGATACATGGATTATGTCAATATATTAGGGGTACTCCCCACCCTTGCAGGAATTTGTGAGATAATCCAATGTGTAGGTACTCTACCTACAGGGTTATGCTCTCAGCTAAAACTCCTCCTTGGTCCTGAGCCAACATGGACTCTGGAAGCTTCTTTCTCCCTGATGCTGGCTGAGGAGTGGAGGTTGGGAGTAGGAGTGGTGGTATCAGTACCCTGCCTATGGAAAATTGGAGTTTACCTATAGTGACCTACCATGGAATCAGTGTTCAAAACATCTAGGAGACTAAAGAGCTAGGACTTCTCAAGCCTGCAAGACAGTTTTTTATGTGCTACTTTGATTACAAGAATTTAGTTAATAAATGTATATACTGTATATGTGGCAGAATTTGGTCTGGGATTTGCTTTCATTATAATGTAGTAATAGATTTATTGGAGAGCAGACCTATAGTTCTCACCCATTTCAAAATCCTATGGAGATCAATCCTAAGTAAAACCAGGGCTTTTTGGAGAAATGACTAATTTCATGCTTCAGGGGTGAGAGGTACAAGATGAACTTGGAATATCTTGTTATGCCAAAAATTTCTGATAGGCATATCAGAAATGATAGGCATGTCAAAAGGACACAAGAGGGATCCCACTTCCAAGAAGACTAAGTAGGCATGCTTTTCCTTATTCCTTCCACTAAAGAACAGAAACCAATAAAATTCAAAACAGAAAAACGATAGAGAAAAATCAATCAAACAAAATGCTCATTCTTTAAAAAGATCAGTAATATTGACAAATCTCTATAATGACTGAGAAGTAATTAAATAAGAAAAAAAGACACAAATGCCCAATACCAGGTAATAAAAGAAGGGAAATCATTTCAGACCCTGAAAATATCAAAACAATGATAAGGTAATACTATGAACAATTCTACACACATAGATTTGACAACTTAGATAAAATGGACCAATTCCTGGAAAAGTACAAACAACCACAACTCATCCAATACAAAATAGATCATTTGACAAAATAGCCCCAGAAAATTGAATTCATAATTTTAAAACTCCCCAAAAGGAAATCTACAGGTACAGATAATTTCACTGGAGAATTCTATCAAAGGCTTAAGGAATTAATACCAACTCTACACAATCTCTTCCATAAAATATAAAAGAAGGGAACACTTTCCAATTCATTTTATAAAGCTAGTACTACTTCGATACCAAAACCAAAGATAGTATCAAAAAAGAAAACTACAGAGCAATACTCCTCACAAATATAGAGGCATTAATCCTTATCAAAATGTTAGCAAATAGAAATCAGTAATATATAAAAAGAAGCATGTACCCAAAGATGCAAGGCTGGTTCAATATTTGAAAAACAATCTCTGTAATCCATCATATTACAAGATAAAGAAGAAAAATTACACAGTCATTGCAATTGATGTAGAAAAAGTATTTGACAAAATTCAATATACATTCATAATAAAAATTCTCAAAAATATTGGAATGGGGAGGAGAAAGAGCAAGATGGCCGACTAGAACACTCCAGCAGTCATCCTCCCCACAGGAACACCAAATTGAACAACTATCCACAAAAGAAAGTATTACCAAAACACCAGGGGCTTGCTCTAGGTCCTGCTGCTTGCCACACAGAAAACCAATCACTGAGACAACACGTATTGCCAGGGAAGAAGGCTTTATTGGGTGCTGCAGCCAAAGAGATGGGAGATCAGTCTCAAATCTGTCTCTCTGACCAACTAAAACTGAGGACTTATATAACAAGGAAGTAATAAGCTACATGCAGGAAAACAGGAATTAAGGAGAGGTAAGGAAGCAGTCATGATAAATGAGGGGTCTGGCCTTTCACTGTCTGGATGCAGTGATCTGCTGAGTTTCAGTTCCTTGATAATATCTGGGAGGCCTAAGGTTCAGTTTCCTGAGGAAGGAACTCCAATAAGACAAATATAACTTTCTCTAGTTTTAAGAATAGAAGGGTCAATTTCTATGTTTATTCAAAAGAAACCATAAACATCAGCTCTTTGGGACAATTGGGTGAGTTTCAAAAGGACCTTCTTAAGAACCACAAATCAGGACTGATCACAGTACCTAGTTTTAACATCACATCAAGGAAAGAGGCACCTAAGAGGGTAGGAAAGACAGTCTTGAATTGCTGACACTACCCTTCCCCCAACCCACAGAAATACCACACGGCACAGGAAGAGAGAATCTGTGTGCTTGGGAAGCAGAGAGCACAGTGATAATGGAACTTTGCATTGGAACTCAGTGAGTCCCTTCACACCACAAGCAACACAGGGCAGAATTCAGCTGGTGCCCACAGAAGGAGCATTTAGATGAGCCCTAGCCAGAGAGGAATCGCCCATCCCAGTGGTCAGAACCTGAGTTCTGGCTAGTCCCACCACTGCAAGCTAAAGAGCTCTAGGGTCTTCAATAAACTAGTTCTTGTGGCCTAGACTGCAATTACTGGGCAAGTCCTGGTGCTGGGCTGGGCTCAGAGTCAGTGGACTTGGGATGCACATGATCCAGTGGGACACCAGCTTGGGTAGCCAAGGGAGTGCTTGTACTGCCCCTTCTGCAATCCCAGGCAGCACAGCTCACAGCTCCAGGAAAAGAGGGAAGAGTGAATAAAGAGGGCTTTGTCTTGCAATTTGCATACCAGCTCAGCCACAGTAAAATAAAGCACCAAGCAGAGTCCTAATGCACCCATTCTAGGCCATAACTCCTGGATGACATTTCTAGACCAACCCTGGGCCAGAAGGGAACCTGCTGCCCTGAAAGGAAGGACCCAATCCTGCCAGAATTTACCACCTGCTGGTTAAACAGCCCTTAGACCTTGAATAGAATAAATACCAGTGGTAGCCAGGCAGCAGTCACCATAAGCCTTGGACAAGACCCAGTTTTATGTTGGCTTCAGGTGTGATCCAGCACATTCCCAGCTGTGGTTGCCATGGGGAGAGACTCCTTCGCTAGAAGAAAGGAGAGGGAAGAGTAAAAAGGACTTTATAACTTGGGTACCAGCTCAGCCACAGTAAAATAAAGAACCAAGCCAACTCTTAAAGTCCCTGATTACAGGCCTTGGCTCCTACATGGAATTTCTAAACCCATCCTGGGACAGAAGGGAACCCATTCCCCTGAAAGAAAAGACCCATGCCTGTCAGCTCACCACTTGCTAAGTAAAGAGCTCCTGGGCCTTGAATAAACATCAGTGGTAGCCAGGCAATAGTTACCACAGGCCTGGGGCAGTGTTGGCCATGGGCAAAGGCTCCTTCTGCTTGAGGAAAGGAGAGGGAAAAGTAAAGGGGACTTTGTCTTGCAATCTCGGTACCAGCTCAGCCCCAGTAAAATAAAGCATGAAGCAGATTTTTAAAGCCCCTGATCTCAGGCCCTACTGCCTGGATGGCATTTCCAGACCCACCCTGGTCCAGAAGGGAACCTGCTGCTCTTATGGGAAAAGATCAAGTCCTAGTAGGAGTAATCACCCACTGACTAAAGAGCCTTTGGGCCTTGAATAAACATCAGCAATAGCCAGGAAATAGTTGTCACAGGCCTTGGGCAGGACCTGGTACTATGCCAACTTCATGTGTGACCCAGTACAGTCCCAGTGGTAGTGACCAAAAGAGTGCTTATGTCATCCTTCCCCTAACTCCAGGGAGCTCAGCATGGAGAGAGATGCTGTTTGTTTGGAAAACAGTAAGGGAAGAGAACAAGAGGCTCTGCCTGGTAATCCAGGAAATTCTCCCAGATCTTAACCAAGACCACCATTGTATCTCTACGAGTTTGTAAGAGTCACAGTGCTACTAGGCTTGAGGTGCTATCTCATGCACTTATGGCTGCAGTGACCAAAAACTTAGATCATAACACTCAATTAGTTTTGAATATTTTGAAAGCCTTCTCAAGAAAGACAAGTACAAACAAGCCCAGACTGCAAAGATTAGAATAAGTACCTAACTCTTCAATGTTCAGGCATTGACGAACATCCACAGGCATCGAGACCATTCAGGAAGACATGATCTCATCAAACAAACTAAATAAGGCACCAGTGACCAATTCTGGAGTGACAGAGATATGTGACCTTTCAGAGAGAATTCAAAATAGATGTTTTGAGAAAGCTCAGTGAAATCCAAGATAACTCAGAGAAGGAATTCAGAATCCTGTCAGATAAATTTAACAAGGAGATTGAAATAAAAGGAATCAAGCAGAAATTCTGGAGCTGAAAAATTTGACTGACAAAATGAAGAACGCACCAGAATCTCTCAAGAGCAGAACTGATCAAGCAGAAGAAAGAATTAATGAGCGCTTAAAGACAGGCTATTGAAAATACACAGAGGAATCAAAAGAAAAAAGAATAAAAAATAATAAAGCATGCCTACAGGATCTAGAAAACAGTTTCAAAAGAGCAAATACAGAGTTATTTCCCTTAAAGAGGAAGAAGAGAAAGACATCAGGACAGAAAGTTTATTCAAAGAGATAATAACAGAACTTTCCATACCTAGAGAGAAAGATATCAATAGTAAAGTACAAGAAGGTTATAGAACACCAAGCACATTTAACTCAAATAAGACTACTTCAAGACATTTAATAATCAAACTCTCAAAGGTCAAGGATAAAGAAATGGTTCTAAAAGCAGCAAGAGAAAAGAAAAAAAAATTACATATAAAGGAGCTCCAATATGTCTGATAGCAAATTTCTCAGTGGAAACCTAACAGATCAGGAGAGAAAGATATGATATATTTAAACTACTGAAGGAAAAAGACTTTTATCCTAGACTAGTATATCCAGTAAAAGTATCCTTGAAACATAAAAGAGAAATAAAGACATTCTCAGACAAAAGCTGAGGGATTTTGTCAACACCAGACCTGTCCTACAAGAAATGCTAAAGAGAGTTCTTCAATCTGAAAAAAAAGGACATTAATGAGCAATAAGAAATTACAGGAAGGTCGGCCGGGCATGGTGGCTCACGCCTGTAATCCCAGCACTTTGGGAGGCCAAGGCAGGCAGATCATGAGGTCAGGAGATCAAGACCATCCTGGCTAACACAGTGAAACCCCGTCTCTACTAAAAAAATACAAAAAATTAGCTGGGCATGGTGGCGGGTGCCTGCAGTCCCAGCTACTCGGGAGCCTGAGGCAGGAGAATCGAAGGAACCTGGAAGGCAGAGTTTGCAGTGAGCCGGGATCAAGCCACTGCACTCCAGCCTGGGCGACAGAGTGAGACTCCATCTCAAAAAAAAAAAAAAAAAAAAAAAGGAAAAAAAAGAAATTACATGAAGATACAAAACTCACTAGTTATAGTTAAGTACACAGACAAATACAGAATATTATAACATTGTAATTGTCGTGTATAAACTATGCATATCTTGAATAGGAAGACTAAGAGACGAACCAATCAAAAATAATAATTAGAACAACTTTGTAAGAAATAGACAGTATAAGAAGTTATAAATAGAAACAACAAAAAGTTAAAAAGCAAGGGGATGAAGCTAAAGTGTAGACTTTTTATTAGTTTTCTCTTTGTTTGCTTGTTTTTGCAGAGTTAAATTGTCATCAGTTTAGAATAATGGGTTATAAGATGTCATTTGTAAGCTTCATGGTAACATAAAATAACAAAACCTACAACAGATACACGAAAAATTTCAGCAAGAAATTAAAATATACCACCAGAGAAAATCATTTTCACAAAAAAGAAAAAAGGAAGAGAAAACCACAAAACAACCAGAAAACAAATAACAAAAGGGCAGTAGTAAGTCCTTAATTATCAACAATAACATTGAATGTAAATGGACTAAACTCCAATCGAAAGATACAGAATGGCTGAATGGATAAAAAAACCAAGACCCAATGATCTGTTGCCTATAAGAAACACACTTCACCTATAAAGATACACATAGACTGAAAATAAAGGGATGGAAAAAGATATTCCATGCCAACGGAAACCAAAAAAGGGCAGGAATAGCTATATGTATATCAGACAAAATAGATTTCAAGACAAAAATTTTAAAAAGAGACAAGATAATTATATAATAATAAAGGGGTCAATTCAGCAAGTGGATATAAGAATTAAGAATATAGGCCAGATGTGATGGTACATGCCTGTAATCCTAGCACTTTGCGGGGTGGAGGCAGGCAGACTGCCTGAGCTCAAGAGTTCAAGACCAGCCTGGGCAACCCCATGAAACACCATCACTACTAAAATACAGAAAATTAGCTGGGCATGGTAGCACACACCTTTAGTCCCAGCTACTCGGGAGGCTGAGGCATGAGAATGAATTGAACCCAGGAGGTGGAGGTTGCAGTAAGCTGAGATCATGCCACTGCACTCCAGCCTGGGTGACAGAGCAAGACTCTGTCTCCAGAAAAAAAAAAAAAAAAGAACAAAAATATATATGCACCCAACACTGGAGCACCCAAATATATGAAGTAAATATTATTAGGACTAAAAAGAGAGATAAACCCCAATACAATAGTTGCTGGAGACTTCAGCACATCACTTTCAGCACTAGATAGGTCATCCAGGGAGAAAAATCAACAAACATTAGACTTAATCTTCACTATAGACCAAATGGACCTGCATTATAGATCAAATAAATATTTACAAAACATTTCATCCAATAGCTGCAGAATATGCATTCTTCCATTCTTCTCCTCAGCAAATGGATCATGCTGAAAGATAGACCACATGTTAGCCACAAAACAAGTCTTAAAAATTTCAAAAATATTAAAATCATTTCAAATATCTTCTCCAATCACAATGGAACAAAACTAGAAATCAGTAACTAGTGGAACTTTGAAAACGATACAAACACAAGGAAATGAAACAATATGCTTCTGAATGACCAGTGGGTCAAAGAAGAAATTAAGAAGAAAATTTAAAAATTCCTTGAAACAAATGAAAATAGAAATACAATATACCAAAATCCATGGAATACAGCAGTAATAAGAGGAGAGTTTACTGCAATAAGCATCTACATCAAAACAGTAGAAAAACTTCAAATAAATAACCTAATGATGCAGATTAAAGAATTAGAAAGCAAGAGCAAACCAAACCCAAAATTAGTAGAAGAAAAGAAATAATAAAGATGAGAGAAGAAATAAATGAAATTGAAATTTTAAAAAAGTACACAAGATCAACAAAATGAAAAGTTGTTTTTTTGAAAAGATAAAACCAATAAACCTTTAGCTAAACTAAGAAAAAAAGAGAGAAGACCCAAATAAATAAAATCAGAGATGAAAAAGGGGACATTAAAACTGACACAACAGAAATTCAAAGGATCATTACAGGCTACTATGAGCAACTATATGCCAATAAGTTGGAAAACCTAGAAGAAATGCATAAATTCCTAGACACATACAACTTTCCAAGATTGAGCCATGAAGAACTCCAAAGCCTAAATAGATCAATAACAAGTAACCAGATCAAAGACATAATAAAAAGTCTCCCAGAAAAGAAATGCCAGAGACCCATTGGCTTTACTGCTGAATTCTACCAAACATTTAAAGAAGAACTAATACCAATCCTACTCAAAGTACTCCAAAAAATAGAGGAAGAGAGCTGATTCTACTTCCAAAATGATCCTTCGAGGCCAGTATTACCCTGACACCAAAACCAGACAAAGACACACCAAAAAAAAGAAAACCTAGAGGCCAATACATCTGATGAATATTGATGCAAAAATTCTCAACAAAATACTAGCAAACCAAATTCAACAATACATTAAAAGGTCATCCATCATGAGCAAGTGGGATTCATCCCAGGAATGCAAGGATGGTTCAACATATGTAAATTGATGTGATACATCATATCAACAGAATGAAGAACAAAAACCATACAATCATTTCAATTCATGCTGAAAAAGCATTTGATAAAATTCAACATCCTTCATAAAAATCTGCAAAAAAACTGGGTATAGAAGGAACATGCCTCAACATAATAAAAGCCATATATGACAGACTCACAGCTAGTATCACACTGGACACAGAAAACAAAGTCTTTCCTCTAAGATCTAGAACAAGACAAGGATGTCTATTTTCACCCCATTTTTCAACTTAGTACTGTTAGTCCTAGCTACAGCAATCAGACAAGAGAAAGAAATAAAGAGTATCCAAATTGGAAAGGAAGAAGTCAAATTACCCTTGTTTGCAGATGATATGATCTGAAAAAAAACTAAAGACTCCATCAAAAAATTATTAGAATAGAAACAAATTCAGTAAACTTGCAGGATACAAAATGAACATATAAAATCAGGGGCATTTCTATATGCTAATAGTGAACAATCTGAAAGAGAAATCAAGAAAGTAATCCCATTTACAAAAGCTACAAATAAAATAAAATACTAAAAAATAAACCTCGCTAAAGAAGTGAAAGATCTCCAAAGTGAAAGCTATAAAATATTGATGCAAGAAATTGAAAAGGACACAAAAAAATGGCAAGATATTTCATGTTAATGGATTGGAAGAATCAATATTGTTAAAATGTCCATTCTACCCAAAGCAATCTACAGATTCAATGCTATCTCTATCAAAATACTGATGACACCTTCACAGAAACAGAAAAAAATCATTCTAAAATTTATATGGAACCACCAAAGACCCAGAATAGCCAAAGCCATCCTGAGCAACAACAACAACAACAACAACAAAACTGGAGCAATCACATTATTTGACTTCAAATTATGCTACAGAGCTATAGTAACCAAAGCAGCATGGTATTGGCATAAAAAATGTTGGAATTATGGGAGGCTTCCTCGATTTGATAAAGAGTATCTATAAAAACCTATAGCTAAAACTGCACTTAATGGTGAAAGACGGAGTGTATCCCTTCTAAGATCAGAATCAAGGCAAGGATGTCCACTCTTACCATTTTATTCAGCACAGTGCTAGACATGCTAGCCAGAGGAATAAGGTAAAACAAAAGGCATACAGATTGGAAATGGAAAAAAAAAAACTGTCCTTACTTTTTATATGACTGTCAAGAAAATCCCAAAGAATCGTCAAAAAGCACCTAGAATTAATAAGCGACAACTTAGATGAAATGGACTAACTCCTTGAAAAGCACAAGCTACACAACTCATACAATACAAAATATATCATTTGAATCACGCTATAACTATTAAAGAAATTAAATTCATAATTTTAAAATTTCCCAAAAGAAATAATACAAGATTAAGATCAAAGGATACAAGATTAACATATAAAAATGAATTGTACAATATTTATCTATACTAGCAATAAACATGTAGAAACAGAAATTTAAAATACAGTACCATTTATAATCCCTCAAAAAAAAAAAAGAAAAAGAAATATTTAGATGTGAATCTAATGAATGAATCTAAAACCTAATGAATCTAAAAACATGTTCAGGGTTTGCATAGTAAAGATATGAAACATTGATGAAAGAAATCAAAGACACTCAAAATAACACATAGTGTTGATGTATTGGAAGACTCAGCATAGTAAAGACGTTGATTCTCCCCAAATTGATATGCAGGTTTAACACAACTTCTATCAAAATCTCATAAATATTTTTCGGTAGATATATACAAAATTATTCTAAAACTTATATGGAAAGGCAAAGGAACTGAAATAGCTAAAATACTTTTGAAAAAGAATAAAGCGGCAATCTATCCCATTCCAAATCTGCTTATATAACTACAGTAATAAAACTAAGCCTAGATGAATCTGCAGATAATTATGCTGAATAAAAAAAGCCAATCTCAAAAGGCTTCTACAATATGATTCCATTTTTACAACATCCTTAAAATGAAAGACTCATAGTATAAGAAGGCAGATCAGTGGTTACTAGCGATTAAGAAAAGGGTAAGGGATGGGAGGAAAGTGGGTGTGGCTCTAAAAGGCCAACATGAAGGATCCTTGTGGTGATGGAAATGTTTTGTGTCTTAGCAGTGTCAGTGTTAATATCTCAGTTATGATATTATACTATGGTTTTCCCCATTGGAAGAAACTAGGTAAAGAGTACACAAAATTTCTCTGTATTATTTCTTGCAACTGCATGCAAATCCACAATTATTTCAAAATAAAAATTTTAATTAAAAATAAAAGGACACAAGAGGCAGCTTGAAGAGGTTCCCACTGGTAAATTAGGAAAAATTTGAGTTCCAAAATAATTCAGAGCTGTAATAAATTACAAATCATTGAAAAGAATAGGAATCCAAGATTATGTACATATGGTTGATAAATATATAGGCAAATAGGCAGACAGAGACAGACAGACAGACAAGGGAGAGAAAGGGCTCTTGTTTACAGTAGAAAGTATGCAAGCTAGTAAATGTGATGGAAGTGCTGGAGTTAAGAAATAACCATTTTGGGCTGGGCACAGTAGCTCACACCTATAATCCCAGCACTTTGGGAGGCTAAGGAGGGGAGATCACCTGCGGTCAGGAGTTCGAGACCAGCCTGGCCAACATGGTGAAACCCTGTCTCTATTAAAATACAAAAATTAGTGGGCATTGGTTGCAGGTGCCTGTAATCCCAGCTACTTGGGAGGGTGAGGCAGAAGAATTGCTTGAACATAGGAGGCAAAGGTTGCAGTGATAAGAAATAGCAAATTTATATAACCTGAAAGGGATTCCCCATAGTTTTCTATTCCTCGAAATGAAAGAAAGATAGTAACTGACAGGGACAGGGGAGAATATCAGACAATACCTGGAATGGCTAATCAAAATTAACATCACCACTAAGGGCAGATGGATATAGTGTGTCTTTTGATATGATACCCTGAGAGGGATACATTATTTATGTACTATTCTGACTTGGGATGCAAAACCAAACCGAATGAGGAATCATCAGACAGATCCAAAATGAAGAACATTCTTATTTTGAAAAAGAGAAAAGGTATAGATGCTTAAAAATATCAATGTTATAAAAGAAAAAAAAAGGCTGAAGGTCAAAAGATACTAAAGAACTATGACAACTAAATGTCATGTGTGATCCTGAATTGGATTCAATACATGAGAGGAAAATACAATGCTATCAAGGATGTTATTGGGTTAAGTGACAAAATTAGGTATGGATGGCATACAACTAGGTATAGTTTAAATAAAACTATAGTATCAATGTTGAATTTCTTGACATTGATAACTGTGGTGTGGTTATGAAGAGAACATCCTTGTTTTTAGTAAATACACGCTGAAGTATCTGGGCATAAAAGAGCACTAATATATGCAACTTTCAAATGGCTTAGGAAAAAACAGAGAGACAATAATAATGCTAATGAGGCAAACTAGTAACAATAGATGAAACTAAAAGAGATAAGGGGATTCTTTGTACTATTCTCGCAATTTCTTTCATTTGAAATTATTTCCAAATAAAAAAGGTTTTAAAAAGTATTTGGCTATAATTACTCACCAAAAAGAACCTAAGAGATATATATGCCAATTTGGATTGGATATATTCCTAAAAAGCACAATAATTAAGAGCACAGGCTTCTGAGTTAAGACAAATTTAGCTTCAAATCTCAGCTCTGCCATTATTAGCTAACACTGACCTCAAGGGGTCTCCATTTTTTAAATCTGTAAAATGGGGGAAATGATTCCTACCTCATAGAATTACTTTGATAATTAAATTTTACATATATCACAATCCCTGGCATATCATAATCATTAAACAAAGCTGTTTGTTATTTTCATAGGTTAGGAGTGGTAGCAATGGTGGTGGTAGTGGTGGTGGTGGTGGTGGTGGGGCTGGTGGTTGCTATAGGCCACGGAAATACAAAGATGACCAAAACATGGTTTCTGACCTCAAAGAACTTTTAGAGCTGAACCACAAACAACAGTCTGTAACATACGTGCAAATAAATTAGTACTGGAACAGGAACAAAAGCGTATTTTCTCCTGGGGAGTTGGCTGGGAAGACTCACGGGGAAGGTGACACTGAAAGTGAGCCTTAGAGGGTAGATAAGGATTTCACCAGGTGGAAGCCAGGGCAAGCGGTGAGGGCTTTCCTGACAATAATAGGTTATGCTGAGAGCTTGGGTCATGTGTGGGAAATAGTAAATATTTCCATAGGGGTGAGAGCAGGGTAAAGTGCAGAGTGGGGCTGGAAAAGTACACCTGGACCAAGCTACGAAGTGTGAGAGGTCCTGAATGTAACTCATAGGGTCTCTACTGTGTTCTGTGTGCTGTGGGAGAATCATTGGAGGTTTCTAAGTGAAGAGTAACGTCAGGAATTGCAATCAGAAATGCTGCTTTGGTGGTCCCTCAAAAAGTTAGTATAGTAACTTTTAGGAGTGGGGCACTCCACGGAGGACTCCTAAGAAAAGGCCAAGAAAACATCATCCTTGGCATGTCTCCCCTTTTTTTAGTATGCCTCATCCAAAGCAGGATTATCAAAATAGTCAGCAACAGGTAAGGCTGGCTAGGCCATGGTGCAGACATATATACAGACAGACAGACAGACAGACACACACACACACACACACACACACACACTCTCACACACTCACACACACAGGAGAGTGGCTTCCAGGAAGGAGTGGTTAAGGAATTTTGGGAGAGCTAACTAGCATGGCAACCAGAAGTGAGAGCTGGCAAGGGTCCCAGAGGCCCCCTGTTGTACCACCCATTTACCCCATTAACTGGATCACAGGGTCCAAGGATGGGGCCAGGGTGTCAACAGTGTCAACAGACACATGGGTAGCTTCAGAGGAGCAGGCAAAGGAAAGGAGAGTATTTCTACATTTTAACAACCAACACCAGTGCCTTCCAGCTGACCATGAGATCTGCCCCCATCCAGGGTTTCTCTTCACCAGACCATCTACCCTCAGATTCTTTACCTCTGGCTGGCTCAGAAGGACCAGAAACTTCTCTCTGGCCAGCAAAGCCCCCTTGAAAGTAAGGCTTCCTGACCATACTAAGTGGTACTGTCTTTTACATTGTATAGTCAAGGTGCCCCATATGGTCTACACACAGGACTTGACTTAAAAATGAACTATAGGCCAGGCGCGGTGGCTCATGCCTGTAATCCCAGCACTTTGGGAGGCCGAGGTGGGTGGATCACCTGAGTCAGGAGTCCAAGAGCAGCCTGGTCAACATGGTGAAATCCCGTCTCTATTAAAACTACAAAAAAAAATTAGCCAGGCATGGTGGTGGGTGCCTGTAATCTCAGCTACTCGGGAGGCTGAGGCAGGAAAATTGCTTGAACCCGGGAGGCAGAGGTTGCAGTGAGCCGAGATTGCGCCACTGCACTCCAGCTTGGGCAACAAAGCAAGACTCCGTCTCAAAAAAAAAAAAAAAGAAAAGAAAAAAAGAACTATGGGTGTTATATATGAATCGTTACATTTCCCTGTGTTAATTTTTGCATATTTAATAAAGAGAGATTAAAGTTTTAATTCACTTTTTAAAAGGACATCATAATCAACATACTGTTCTTTTGGAGTTTGTATCTTTTCATCTAACTAGTTTGGAAAGATTCAAGCTTCTCCCACGTGTAGTAAGAGGAAAAGGAATGTGTTCTCATAGAATGTTCTCCTTTGATACATTAAAACCTTTAACTTTTAAATTTACTAGAAAGTTATTTGAAAATGTGGCTGATATTTAAATCAGCAAGACAAAAAGAGTAGCTCTATGTGGACAAAGAGAGACATTTATTTAGTGATTGAAACAGCCTGTTGTTACCTCCGAGGCGATGGAGGTGAAGCTGCTGCTGAAATGCACGTGCTTATGGATCTCACTGCCGTTGGCTGTCAGGAGCCAGTCCCCAAAGGCCTGGTCTTCACCAGCTGACTGGTTACCGTGGCTCTGATTTGGCAGGAGCTCTGCCAGGTCCCAGTGGTAGGATGGCGTGGCCCCAACCAGTGCAATGAGGATGGCCTCCGTGGCCACGTAGAGCTGAAAGAGCAAACACACAGAACCAAACACTGCAGATATTTGCCATCAATGTTGAAGACACTTAGCAGGCTTGCAAACCTTGAAAGATCAGTGTCTTGCTTTTGTATTTTTATGAGCTACAGATATAAGCCACATCAGAAACAAAGGAAAAAAACATGAAAAAGAACCTTTGTGATCTACCACGAACAGAATCATTGGCAATCCCACTTGTAAAACACTTTATACTTTTTCAGAGGTTTTTCTTTCTTTGAGATATTTCTGATGCTAAAGACACTGCTTATATGCTTATATGCTTATATGGTTCAAAAGTAGAAGGGCAGGGAAAACATTATTTGCTCTGATTTAAAAGAGTAACATTCCAGCTATTATCTCTTCAACACTATATCTTCAGGTCAGATAAGCATTCACTAGGGGGCTAGGAGCATCTTGACCTTGGATTCATGATCTAAACAAGAGACTTTCTGTAGTATAATTGTCTCAGAAAACAATATATATTGTATTGTTTTACTAAAGCAGGTAAGCATAATATGTACTAGAGTAGGCACTATTTTAAAATATGATATACAGTTCATAATAAGATTTTAAGAAATTCAAAGTCCCAGCTATAGATATTCATTTTGTAACCCTGAGTTGTACCTAGTCTTGGTTTGATCTAACCATAGTTGTCCCCCTGCAAAGAAAATATACTTCACGCATTCATTCAAGAAATATACTTCACACATTCATTCAAGAAATATTTATTAAACATATATGCCATTTGTCACTGATTGTTCTGGGCTTTACAGCTACTTGAAATTGGGTTTATAAGTCAAGCCCTATTGCAATCTTTTTGTGCTATGGATTTTTAGTATTAACTCCCATTGTTGGACGATTATTTCAAGTTTAACATTTATTAAGAAAACACATAATTAGTCTGCTCCAGAGTAAGACAATCTAAATAAACTATCCCTATTAACTTAGAACTTGATGTCTTAAAATACCTTTAATCATCGCTCCTGCAGTCCCAGCACTTTGGGAGGCCGAGGCAGGTGGATCACTTGAGGTCAGGAGTTTGAGACCAGCCTGGCCAACATGGTGAAACCCCATCTCTACCAAAAATACACAAATTTTCCGGGTGTGGTGGTGGGCACCTGTAATTCCAGCTACTCGGGAGGCTCAGACAGGAGAATCGCTTGAACCCAGCAGGTGGAAGTTGCGGTGAGCTGAGATCACGCCACTGCACTCCAGCCTGGGTGACAGAGCAAGACTCCGTATCAAAAAACAAAAAACAAAAAAACAGATGTGATGTTTCCATTCTGGGTAAGGCTGAGAGGATCTAAGGCATTCTCAATCTACTTTGAGTCCATCAATGGTGGGCCTCTCTGGAGAGGTACAAAGCTGCCATGGGTCAGGATGCTGGGTGATTTATTATACAGGGCAAGGGAAAGTAAGCTCCTAGACTTATATGTTTCCTGGCTCCTATTTGCATACTGTTACAGAAGTTTTCGAATAGGAGGTAATCAGCTTATAAAAATAAAAACCTTACTAATTATAAGAACAGATAGATTACACATTTAGCAGCAGCTATAATTACAAAGCCACTTACACCCATTTAGTAACTGCCCCTGATTATTATACTCTGCTGAAATTTAATTGATGGGTATAAAGCAATGAAAAACATGGGGCAAGGGAACTCGGGAGGAGAGGACTCGAAACACACGTTCTAGTGAATGCACAGCCTTCAATTAGGCAAAGCAAACTCGTCATGTTTTCTAAATGTACCCTTTCCTACCTTTATTCATACCAT
This sequence comes from Homo sapiens, assembly GCF_000001405.40. Taxonomy (NCBI): domain Eukaryota; kingdom Metazoa; phylum Chordata; class Mammalia; order Primates; family Hominidae; genus Homo; species Homo sapiens. Next base: position 115,990,244 of record NC_000001.11, on the reverse strand, counting down.
TCGCTTCGCCTGGAAGGCACTTTCTCCTGCTGCAAATGTTTGAGCTTTCCCCATCCTCCAAGACGCAACACAGATATCACCTCCTCCATGAAGACTTCCTTACTGTCTTGCTTGTGTCTCCAAGCCCTCCAGAAGTCCTCTCCTGTTTCTTGCTGCTCACTCCTAAAGCTCCATCTAGACTTTTGAGAGCATGAACCATTTCCTTCACTGTATTATATTTATGTATTTGCTTATTTTATTTTGTTCTATTGAAATATACTCTCCTTAAAGGCAGGATCTAAGTCTGATTCACCTTTGAGCTTCCAAAGCAAATAACCCAGGGCCTACACACTCAACATGTGAATGAATAAATGACCAGGATGGAATACCAATAATAGCACATGCCTTTATAATGCTAACTATGTGCGAGGCACTATTCAAAGTTTCTTTTGAATATATGTTAACATATCATTTTTTTTTTTTTGAGACTGAGTTTCACTCTTGTCACCCAGGCTGGAGTACAATGGTGCGATCTTGGCTCACTGCAACCTCTGCCTCCCGGATTCAAGCAATTCTCATGCCTCGGCCTCCCGAGTAGCTGGGATTACAGGTACCTGCCAATGCATCCAGCTAATTTTTGTATTTTTAGTAGAGACGAGGTTTCACCATGTTGGCCAGGCTGGTCTTGAACTCCTGATCTCCAGTGATCCACCTGCCTCGGCCTCCCAAAATGCTGGGATTACAGGCATGAGCCACTGTGCCTGGCCAACATATCATATTTTTATCTGGATTGTTCTAGGATAAGCAACCTTACAGATAAAAGAAGAAATGCTCCAAAGGGTCCTCTAATCTGAGGCATGGTCCATTATGAAGGACACCATTCTCAATAAAGCCAGTTTGGAGAAAACAACTCAAAAATAAAGTGATGTTGCTATATACCCTTATTCATAATGTAGGGAATAGTGAAATCTACCTAATCAGTATTATCTGTATTAATCAGTATTAACCAGTTTTCTTTCTAGCAACCTGCAGGCAGAATAAGCACTTTCCACTTTTCTCATCTTCTCTGTTCTCCTCCCACTCTTCACAATGTCTTCCTCACCCACCTCCTGCACATGCACACACACCCACACAAACACACACACACACACACATCCAAGGCCCTCACAGAACACACAGGTCCACAGCTTTATGCCACCAGAAGAGTCAGAAACTTGCAACTCTTCTATGCAGTGCCAGCCTCAATAAAACGGTGTTAGCCTTTTTGTCTCCTCCAATACCCATAGTCATGCTTACTTTTGCTAACCATAAGGGAGCCAGAAGAGGCAAGCAGTAATGATACTGTTTCATAAATGCTATGAAAGGGGTACTATGAGAAATTAGCTCAGAGAGGCAATGCTTAAACACTGCATTCAGATTAATACTAGGTCCTCAGCCCGGTGCAGTGGCTCACACCTGTAATCCCAGGACTTTGGGAGGCCAAGGTGGGTGGATCATTTGAGGTCAGGAGTTCAAGACCAGCCTGACCAACATGGTGAAACCCTGTCTCTACTAAAAATACAAAAAAAAAAAAAAAAATTAGCTGGGCATGGTGGCACATGCCTGTAATCCCAGCTACTTGGGAGGCTGAGGCAGAAGAACTGCTTGAACCCAGGAGACGGAGGTTGCAACGAGCTGAGATTGCACCACTGCACTCCAGCCTGGGTGACAGAGAGAGTCCCCCCCCAAAAAATAGATCCTCTATTCTGCAGTCACTTACACAAGGGTCATATGGTCATAGAAAGTCAAAGATGGCTTAGCATTAACTAGCCATGGGGAAGAATCACCTACACATAGAATATGGGGGTGGTTCTCTTTGGTTTGCTATCTTTGGCTGTGACAAATTCACACAGCTCACATAGTATTCCTTTCCCCCCCAAAAAACAAAAATATTCGCTCGTTCTTCTCTCCACTGTTATCTACAACTACCATGCACACATTCACCCACATATTTTTGCCTAATAAAATTGCACCCATCAGCAGATGGGCCTTAAAGCCACAAACAGCAACCACTATCCATTGTCTACCAGAGTGGGAATAACAACATCTCAAATAAATCATTATCTTCTCTAGCTCTACCTCTAGGGAAGGAGAACAAGTGCCACAGATGGCTGGATTTTTTTCCCCCTTTCAATGTAATTATAATTAGAAAAATGACTAAAATGCACTAGGGGATTGAAATTTTTAAAGTTTCAAGAAGTGAAGGTTTTTAAAGTAATTTCATATTAACACCATTAAGAGCTCTTATAATACTTCTCAGGAAACCAAAAAAGTCTCCTATAAATTATCTCATCACAATACCTTGTGCTGTGAAGTCATGGTTCAGTACAATGTTTATTTTTTTAAGTAGGAAAAATGAGATACAGAACGATTAAGTAAATTGTTCAATGTTATATAAAACACTAATTGCAAAACCAGGATGAGAACGAGAACCACTTAACTTTGGGGCCAGAGCTTTTTTCGGAGAAAATAAAGGGAGGGGAGGAATCAAAGATTATTTTATTGTTGCCATTACCTTTAGTTTTTTTATGCATTTAGTACTCAGTTACCTAATTGACTCAATCAAAAGCATTACATAAGCAAGACCATAATCATGAAGACAGGATTATATGCCCAGTGTCCAGCACAAAGTGGGTATTCAATAAATATTTGTTGGTTGACTTACTAATACTAGCTATTTTTTTTTGTGTAAAATTTGAGACACACTAACACACCCGGAGTAACTGGTGCCTCTAAATACTGTTTCTTCCTCATTTTAATCTATCTACATTGGCTGGACTCATGCCAGTAATCCCAGCACTTTGGGAGGCCGAGGCAGGCAGATCACAAGGTCAGGAGATCGAGACCATCCTGGCTAACACAGAGAAACCCCATCTCTAATAAAAATACAAAAATTAGCTGGGCGTGGTGGCAGGCGCCTGTAGTCCCAGCTGCTGGGGAGGCTGAGGCAGGAGAATGGCGTGAACCCGGGAGGCGGAGCTTGCAGTGAGCCGAGATTGCGCCACTGCACTCCAGCCTGGGTGACAGAGCAAGACTCCGTCTCAAAAAAAAAAAAAAAAAAATCTATCTACATTATGACACCAGATCAATCTCCCTGAAACTCCTCATGAAACTCTTCCAGTCAAAACGTATTAATGGATAAATGATAAGTTTTCTAGCATTCCAGATCCTCCACCACATGGTCCAGGTGCTAACTAATCTGCATTCAAGCTTCCTCTACCAGCCTATTCAATTCCCCTAACATGACTTATTCACTGTGTGGTGTGAAAGCAGTGGAATCTGTTATCCAAGTCTGAACCTCAGCTCTAATTAAACCTTGAGCAAATCCAAACCTCTCTGTTTCGTTTTCTTCCAGTTAAGACCAGACGCTAATGGTACATCTTTATCCAAGTCATTAATATCATATTAACCCATCTTCAGTGTCAAGTGGGATTCCTCCATAGTCAACAGTGAATTGCATAGCACTGTACAAATAGCATATATTAGTGCTTCCCAAATTTAATGTGACTCCCTAAGTCTGGGGTGGGGGTAAGAGTCTGCATTTCCAATAAGCTGCAACAACCAACAACCATACTCTGTGTAGCAAGGGCATAAGTTATTCCCTCTTCCACACTTATTCCAGTTTTATGTTTTTCTACCTGAAATGACCTTCCCATTTCTCCCTAAATCCAAGCTTCAAAGTTCAGCTCAAGCTCAGATATCTCTCTGACGGCTTCAACAAATCACTCTAGACCACACCGTCTCCCTTCTTAATTTCCAAAGCATTAGTTGGCTGTATTATTTACGGGGGAAATATTGCTTTGTATCATTATATAATGTGTAGATAATAGTTCAACTCTAATTTTCAATGATTTGTCACCTCCTGAAGGAAAGAAACCCTAATTTATACTGCTATTTCCCTCTAAAGAACCCAACACACTGCTATATACATAAAAGTCTATCTCATATATATATCAAATATGTATAGTCTATCAAATACATTTTTTAACTAACTCCTTGCATAATGGTATAACCAAAAAAAAAGATGAAAAAAAAACTAGTAACTCTGTTAGCTAATTTTTGCTCCAATCACTAATTAAGACTAGGCCAGGTGTGGTGGCTCATGCCTATAATCCCAGCATTTTAGGGAGCCAAGGCAGGAGGATCACTTGAGTCCAGGAGTTCAAGACCAGCCTGGGCAACATAGTGAGACTCCACCTCGATTTAAAAATAAATTTAAAAAAAATTCTGAACAAAGTATTTAATCGCATCTGTTTCTCTCTCTTTTTTTTTTTTTTTTTTGAGATGGAGTCTCGCTCTGTCACGCAGGCTGGAGTACAGTGGCGCGATCTCAGCTCACTGTAACCTCTGCCTCCCGGGTTCAAGCAATTCTCTGCCTCAGCCTCCCGAGTAGCTGGGATTACAGGCACCCGCCACCACACCCAGCTAATTTTTGTATTTTTAGTAGAGACAGGGTTTCACCATCTTGGCCAGGCTGGTCTTGAACTCCTGACATTGTGATCCACCTGTCTCGGCCTGCCAAAGTGCTGGGATTACAGGCATGAGCCACCGCGCCCGGCCTTCTCTCTCTTTTTCAAGTAAAATGGTAACACCACCAGCTGACCATCCCTTCTTCTTCAATGGTTTAATTTTAAAAAAAAAACAAAATTGTAACAAGCACCAAAACTTTGCAACACATTATATTATGCACCTCAGATGATAAAATGGATAAAAAGTAGTCTTTTCCTTCAAGGCACATGCATTCAAATGAGGACAACAAACAGTCATATGTCATGCATCACTCAACAACTGGGAAACGTTCTGAGAAATGTGTCCTTAGGCGAGTCCATCATTGTGCAAACGTCAGAGTGCACTTACACAAACCTAGATCTATAACCTCCCATACACCTAGGCTATATGGCATAGCCTATTCCTCCTAGGCTACAAATCTGTAAGGCATGTTACTATACTGAATATTGTTGGTAACTACAACACAATGGTGAGTATCTGTATTTCTAAACATACCTAACATAGAAAATATACAATAAAAGATTTTTTAAATGGTACACCTGTAAAGGACACTTACCATGAACGGAGCCTGCGGGACTGGAAGTTGCCCTGCGTGAGTCACTGAATGAGGAGTGAATGGATGTGAAGGCCTAGGACACTACAGTAGACTTTGTAAACAATGTACAGTTAGGCTAAATTTATTTTTTTAATTATTTCTCCAATAATAATTAAACTTACTGTAGCTTTTCTACTTTTTAAACTTAAAATGTTTTAACTCTTTGACTCTTTTGTAGTAACAGAGCTAAAAACACAAACACATTATATAGCTGTACAAAAATATTTTCTTTCTTTATATCCTTATTCTATAAGCTTTTTTCTATTTTTAAAAATTTTTTGAACTTATTTGTTAAAACCTAAGACACACACACATTAGCCTAGACCTACACAGAGTCAGGATCAATACCACTGTCTCTGCCTCCACATCTTGTCCCAATGGAAGGTCTTCAGGAAAACAACATCCTGAAGACATGGAACCCTCATCTCCTATCACACCATGCCTTCTTCTGGACTGTCTCCCGAAGAATCTGCCTGAGGCTGGTTTACAGTTAACTTTTTTTTGCAAGTAGAAGGAGTACACTCTAAAATAACAATTAAAAATATAGCACAGGAAATACTAGGCAATAGGAATTTTTCAGCTCCATTATGATCTTATGGGCCCAGTGTCGCATATGTGATTATTGACAGAAACATTGTTATGTGGGGCATGACTGTATATCCAAAGCTGTAAATACAAGGTGGATTGTGATGAATGCTATATTAGCCATACTGGGAATGAAGTTCATGAGAGCACAAAGAATGGAGATGTGAATTCCACCTAGGAGAATCAGGAAAAGGTTGTTAATATGATACTTGAGCAGGTAGTAAAGGCTGCTAAGGAGTTAATGAAAACAAAACTCAGGAAAAGAAATTATTTGGTAAAGCAATAGCCCAATCAGAGTCAGGAAAGTAAAGAATATATCTTTACATAACTGGGAAGAATTATATGGCTAGCTCAGCTTTTCCCTAACTTCAGTCATCTGAGTACCCCTTGCTAGTTTTCACATGCCCATTTTCTGTCTGCTAGTATTTACTCAATAGTCTTCTTTAAAATCAATTCAAATGTTTTAATTTTAGTAAATTAACATAAAATAGAATTTTATATCAATTCAGACATCACTTGGCAGGTGGAACTACAAAAATATGCACAATGTTAGAATGCCAAGTGTTAGCTAGTATGTTTTTATTTAAGGTGGGCCACAGGAGACATTTTCAGGCTAGATTTGGGAGAGGGGTGAAAGTGAAAGAGCAGCTGTTTTTGCATTTTATGCCCAGGTTGGGGCAGGTGCCTTAGTGCCTCACATAGCTTACCACTTATGTGCTGGTCCACCTCATTGGCGTGGCACAGTCACGAGGCTGCAACCACTCCACCTTCCCATGGATCCTCCTTCAGCTGCTCTGACTCCTTGCCCAGGTACATGTTTAATTCTATGATGAAAGGCAGCCACTTCATCAAGGTTGGAGGCAGGGAGAATGACACAGATTCCAGTCACTTCTGATGGGCTCCAGATCATATCTTCCCTTCTCGACTGCCTGTCCTGCAGACTTCAAGCTCCAACATCACACACGAAGACAACAGCCTTACAGGGCCTGCTGAACGAGCTCCCGCAACAGTATACAGTCAAATCTCCATAATGAATGATGCATCGATTATACATATATAATCTTACATAAACACACATACACACACATGTGCGCGTGCACACACACACACACATCTCCATCCTAGGGGTCCTGCTTCTCCAGTAGAACTATGACTGACACAACATTAAACAAATAAGGCAAAATATCTGCATTTATTAAATCTGGAAGCAAGTACATGTGCGTTTGTCATATTACTCTCTGTATTTTTCCATCAGAAATGTCTCATAATTTTAAAAGAAGTTTTAAAAGAAAATGAATAAATACAATAAAACAGAATAATATTAAGTTCCAACTAGATAATGTTTTCTACTGAAGCTCCTCTAATTCTTTCATGCTAGCTCATTCCCTTTGTTAAAACAGAAATATTTGGAAATGTTTTTAGAAGTGCTAACACCAAATGAGACTTTCTCCTTAGATAAACACAACTAAAGAAGGCTCCAGAAGGGCATAACTCTATCACTTATTAAGAGTTAATGCTATTTAATACAATTTCCATATATCTACCATGCAGGCTATTCTGCAGAGAATGCAGAAAGAGATAGGATTAGAAATAACTGATGGATTACATAGAATCAAAAACAAAAGTGAAAAGATATCCCTAGCAAGAGGGCAGAAACATGTCTTCCTCTTGGACATGTTCCCTAACAGAGAAGGTATTTAAGATAGGTGAGGATGAAAAAAACTTTTGAAGTAAAAGGAAACGATGTTTAGAAAATTTACACCAGCTAACCTCTATTTTATCCATGAAGTTGGGACAAAAAGCATCTAGGTAGAACTATATGAATGGAATCAGGAGAAGTCTGGGCTTGAGAAGACTGATAAACAATCAACTGGCAAGAAGTAAAGGTCAGAACAGAAGAAAGAACCAATACCATGGGCTGCGTGGGTTTGTGAACTTGAAAAAGAGGAAGCATAACATATGCAACACAAGAGAACTGAATAGCAAATTATACTATGGCCATATATTGAAATACCATGCTACAGCCACTAAAAAATATGTAGTTGTTCCTTTACATGCATAGCAACGCATTCACAACATTGCTGAGAGACAAAATGCAGTTATGATACACATTTCTGCAAAAAAGATGGATATACAATATTTATATAATAAAGAGTCTGGAAGGCTATACACCAAAATGTGAGCATGCTTTACTTTAGGGTGGTAGAATCACTAGTGATTTGTATTAATTTCTATATTTTCTCTTTTTTCTACAATCACCATATGCCATTTGTTGAGTACTATATGATGTCCCATGAAGGCAGATATCAATTTGCATGAGTGTTTGGTCAAAGAAGTCAGAGAGGAGAGTCCCGAGCTGTGTGCATCTTTGGATTTGAGAGTCTTTTTCTTCTAAGGCAACCTCTAATTGTGGTTATGAACCAAGCTGGTATTCTGAAACCTAGGGTCAACACTGCCCCAAGGCCAATTAATTGTTGGGCATTGGGAAACTCTGAGAAATCCTAAACTTGCAAAACAAATTAAACTTTCGTGATCCAGCCATTTCCAAGTGCACAGTAGAGACTGATGGGTCATTTGCCTAATAACAATTGCCTAATAATGCCATCTTGCAGCAGAGTAGCACAACATTCAAGCCTAGTGTTCTTTCTGCCATATTCACATTGCCTGTCCTCGTGACTTTAATGACTATTTTTGTGCTATCTTGGAAGATAATACCTTCACTGTCAAGGCACAAGTCAAACAGCCAGGGATGGCCTTGGAAGGCATTCGGCTGGGGGTTTGGGTGCTGCAGAGGTATCAGTCTAGTTGCTTTCCATGGAATGTCCTAATTCTTGAGACATCCAGGCTCAAAGGAGCTCCTTAACCCTTCTGGAGGCCTCCTGTATCTCTACAGCCTCCCTGGAGGAAAATCTGTCTAATAGATCAACAACTTTATCTGCTTTACACTAGGGGGCAGTGTCTGTCTATGGACAACAACAGTTTTCCTGAGGGTGTGGGGGCCAGTGTGGGTTTGGTTTCTTTGACCAAACCACTGTGTTTGTCTCTTTGCCCCACCCACCTAAACTGGTGAAAGGCAAAAGTTCCCAGATCACCATAAACCCTCAGGAGACCCAACCTCCAGGCCACTGTGTGAGGGCTAATTGAAATAAAATTTGACAGTAGGAGCTGCATAAAACTTGCTCAAACTGACAGAGAGCCCTGGTAAATGGCCACATGTTTTGGACTCATGAAAGGGTCTTAGTAAGACCATAGGTTCTCATCATGGCTGAAGCCTCAGTGATGGTGAGAACATCCTGGGGATGACAGTTAGTCTTTTATAACTGAACAAGAGCTTCACTAATGCTTATGGTGTGAACTTCATCACTTGCTTATGCCAGGGAGGTTAGAAGAACCAGCTATGATCTCAGCCATATCTCATCAGACCTAAGAATTTCCTGTGGAGGGACATGGTGCCACGTATAAGCAGATAGGGAAGGTAAGCTGTGATAGCATTCTACATGAAGTTTAACAAAACAGGCTGAATAAAACTCACTCTACCCCACCCTCCTGTGTTTAAAGGACCACAATTCACAGCCATAATTGATCAAAGGAATATTGATTTTTAAAAAAGAATGAACCATTATTCTCATACAGCAAACTATAGTATTCTCTCTTAGATATGCATATCTTCTTCCCTTTACCATCTTTTCACTTAAAAATATTTAATATGGAAAAGCAAAAAATAAGATTCATGAAACTACTATCACAATTAACAAATGATAACAGATGCAATCTCCTTTGTACCCTCCCCTAAGCCCACCCCTTCCCTTCCTTCCCAAGAGGCAACCAATCTCATGAATTGGGTGTGGATCTTTCTACTCCATGTTCTTATATTTCTATACTGTTTATATATATTTATGAAACAAATATAGCATTGGTTTGTGTGTTTTTAAAATTTGTATTAAGAATATGTGTCACATAGTATACACTGTTCTGCTTTTTTTTCACTTAACATTGTGTTTTAGAAATTCCTCCATATAGTCATATATAGATCTAGTTCATTTATTTCAGACGTTGTATTCTATTAAATTTATACCACATCTTATCCAGTCTTGTTTTGAAAGTCAGGTGGTTCTAACTTTTGTTATAATAGACAGTGTTGCAGTAAACATCTTACACATATCTCCCTATGCACGTGCTCAAGGGACAATGTGGGATGTGTACCTAGGAGTTCAATGCTAGGTTTTAATTCTACTAGATGGTGCCAAATTGTTCTCTAAATGGGGTATAGTTTCTATTTATCATTTCATCACACTTGTACTGTTAGATTGTTTAATGTTTGCTAATATAGCAAGTGTGAAATGGTATTTCATATCCATTTTAATATGCCTGTCCCAGATGACCACTGAAGTTAAAACATCTTTTCGTGTGTTGACTATTACAGTTTCCTCTTCTGCAATCATTCTACTTTCTAAAATGCTGAGAAAAGCTATTTATTGCATGGATAATATTAATGCACTGGTCATTCCAGGATCTAAAAAATAAGGTTATTAAGTATATATATATACTTAATATATATATAAAAATAATGCATTCCTGAACACCAGAATCTAAGATGAGATTCATAGCACAGCATCACAATTTTGCTGGTGAATGCTTGTTATAGATTACATGTTCCTGATAGTAAATGGGGGCTTTAAATTCTGTGCAAATTATAATATAATGTACGATTCATGATTTTGAGGAAAATGACAAAGCAGGAGCCTCTGGCTTAGAACAAAGAAGTAACGTCCATTTTCATTGCATGTCTAAAGGAATCAAGAAACAATGAATTGTATTCCAACCCTCCTCCTCCAGAGAGCCTAGACAACAAGCAAACACATACACAAACACAAAATAGTGACGATGGCAGCAACTCGGAATCACCATCAGAAGAGAAACAGTAATATGCTAAATAGAATTATTCCTATTTAAATATCGCAGATAGCTCTGATCCTAGGGAGAGCAAGTACATTTTGATGGTAAGAATGTTTCTAACTGTAAAGCTTATTGTTTATTCATAAGTCAACCATTTTTACATAGGCAATCTTTTTCCCTTCACTTTTTGTTTATGTACATTAATACCACATATCACCATTTTCAGGGCATTTGCATCTTACGCTGAGGAAAAATCTGCAAAATCTGCATCTGTTCTTTAGTTATCTCAAAGTTGAATGCTATTGAGATTCCAAAAATTGTGTTTGCAAGGAGTATGAGGGCAAGTCTCCTAGCCAAAGGAAACTGGATAGTGAAGTAACTTTTGATGATCTACATGATGGTACCAATAATTCAAGAAAACAGTTAACCAAAAACCCTTTAGAATTGGCTTTGCTATGTGGTTTTGTCCTCTTAGTTTGAACATAGATGTGTTTGGGGTAAAGGGAAAATCATTTTTAAAAATAATAATAATGGTCCCAGAAGAAGGAAAATGTTAAAAGGCCTGTAAAATTTCCACCTCTGTCCTTCTGGTTTTGTGCCTCTCAGCTGGGGTTAATCATTATCAAATCGCAGATGGGGAGAAGGCTCCCACTGAAGCAGAGGCTCCCTCTCTCTGGCCTTGTTGCTGTGTTGTTGGTCTGCCCCTTCCTTGGGCAATGGTACGAAAACTCCTTTGATTTTAAAAGCAGAAAAACCCCCTTTCATTTAAGGCAACTGTGTAAAAAGGGCTTCTTACTCTGCTGGGGGAAGCAAAACCTCATCCCCAAGAATGATGAAATCACCTGTGATACAACTGAGCAATGGGACTCCACAGTACTCCCACTCCACAGACCAGCTGCCGTAATACAAAACATCTCCAACAACAGACTTGGTAGAGAGGTCTTTGGGGATATCCACTCTCATACCCAGGGTAGCTCTGGGTGGCTCTACAACCCCCTGGATCATGTATCTCAATGGGGTAACTGAGTCCTTAAAAACACGTAGCATGTGAAGGATTCACTTTTGCCTAGGCTGGCATCTCCTCCACTGGTATAAGCACAGCTACAGGGCATCTTCCCACCCACATCTATAAGATAAACAATCAGTCACTCATCCCCAACACTCTAAGACCTGGTCCTTGTACCGCAAATACTGACCATAAATCATCCAAGGTTTAGTGAACGGTCATAGGCATGGGCTTGGAACTTTTTGATAGCAAACTCTAACTAACTGGGTCAACCATAAATAAAAGTAAGTTAGAGAAACTTAACAGGTCCTAAACCGAGAACACTGGCCTTTTTAGAACCTCACTCTACTGAAGACAAACTTACTCCAAGTTAGTGGATACTTGGCTAGGCAAATAAGAAAATGATAACAGGAAGTGAAGGGTAGGGATAGAGGGATGGGGAGCTGGGATTGTTCAAGAAAGGATGTATGTTCCTGGAATTCATGGCTGGAACAGAAAAAAAGGGTTTTCTCAAAGAAACTGTTATAAATAAAGATCAGGCATCATGGTTGCAATTCTTCTTTCTCGGTATTAAATACTCTTATCATTTAGCTTGAACGTTTTTTCTCCCTGGGGAAAGCTTGTTTAAAGCTAAAACAACGAGCTTAAAAGAACTTCAGAATACCACATATTCGTGAGCTGAGAACTGTTCGGCTAGAAAAAGAACTGACTCCATCATTTGAACCGTTTCTGGCTGATGATGAAATCAACTGAACTTCCAAACATTTTAATCAATAAGTCAACCCCTACCTTCCCCCATCTTCCTGTTGAGCCACTGTCTTATGCAAGCTTTAAGCAACTTGTGGACTGGTGGCTATATCCATGACCACTCTGTACTTCCTGCAGAATAACTATCATCACATGCTAACTAAATTACTTAACTGTCTGCCTGCCCCACCCGCAGCCACTGGAATGCAAGCTCCTGAGGGCAGTCAATGATTTGTCCACCATGGCATCCCTATGTTCAGCACATCCTAGCCCGTATTAAACCTGATGACTGAAGGAAAGAGTAAAATGGCTGGCTCACAGCAAATACTAAGAAAGGATTTGTGAATGAAATGCCTCTGGCATATTGAGAGAAGCGACTAATGTCAAATGAGCCATTTAAGTTGGTGAAGGACTAATCCTTGCCTGGCGCAGTTAATCTGTAGTGACCTTTCGCATATGGAATCGATATTTTGAGGCTGGGGTGTACAAGTAGGTTCTGAGAATTCTTTATAATGAAGAAGTGATTCCATTTGATAACCACACATGGTAGATGGCACTATTCGGCTCACGGGAGTCTCAGCCCAAGGCTGGCGCAGGGCCGAATGAGCCAGCAGAACTTAAACCAGAGGGAAATAAATCCTATGCTTTGAAAGCCCCTAGAAGAGTAAGCCCCCTCAAGCCCAGGAAAAGAGGCAGAGGACACCCGGCGCAGAGGGAGGCGATCCTAGACACAACCTTTTGTCTGCAGATTATCAAGACTGTGTCCTAGATTCCAAGGTGACAGTGCCACAGGTAGGGTAACAATTCCCTTCATATTTGCAGCGTGTTATAGGCAACAGCGTAGGGCAGGTAACACAATTTTGCATCCCTCCTTAACCAGCATAGCGGCTGAGAAACCTCCCCCAACACGCTCCTTCCACCACTCAAGGTGGCGGGGTGGAGGGCCCAGCAGAACCCAAGAGGCTCTGAGGCCGGCCGGCGACCTTGACGCTGCCGGCCGGGCCCAGGCCACCGCGCGGCGCCTCGCCCCTGCCCCACCCCGACGCTCGCCACACCTCGGTGTTTGCAGAGCCTCGGCCTCGGCCCCGGCCCCGGCGGTCTGGGAGCGGACGCCTAGCCCTGCGCCGGGCGGCCCTGAAGAGGGAAATGCGGCTGCGGGGCCGCGGGGACTTACCTGCAGCAGCACGGCCAGCAGGAAGCACAAGTACATCTGGTAGATGCCCATCTCCCCCACCGCCTGGAACGCCTCCTCCACCTCCATGGCGGGCCGCGCGCAGGAACCCCGCCACCCCACCGCCCTCTCAGGCGCTGCCCTCCCGCCCAGCGCGGCAACCCCTGGGCGCCCGGCACCGGCTTGGACCCGCCGGGGCGGGGATGGAAGCGCTGGCGGCGGGGCCGGGGCGGGCCGGGCCGGGGCGGGGCGCCTGCGCGGGCGGCGGGGCTGTCAGGCTCGAGAGGTGGACGCCGGGCGGGGAGCGGGGAGCGCAGCCGGGCTACGCGGGGCGAGGGGCGAGGAGGGCGTTCGAGATCCGGGGCTGGATGCCCTGGACCCGGGCCTCTGGACTTCCTGTTTAAAAAAAAAATGGTGTTTTGGTGTACGTTTTGTTTTGAGAGGGACCGCTGTCTGCGCCTTAAAGTGAGGAAAGAGGAAGTGGGCCGGGCTGAGGGCCTGAGAAGAAACATCGGGACCGCGTCCGCGTGTGACCCAGGGCTCTGCCTACAGGGGACCCGCAGCTGGCGGGCGGCCTGGCGGCTCTCAGCAATGCCTGTCGTTTTGCCCAAACCAGTTTAATGCGGGGGCTTGGGGAGCCCTAGAGCCTTCAGAGAAAAGTGCTGTCTGTGCAGCATTTCTTTCCAGTCCTATTCTGTGCTAGCCATGGGTTAAGTACACTGGTAGGCAAGCAAATTCTTGTAAAACCGTCGGATACATTTGCTTATAGAAGTATGCACGAGGTACAAAGGAAGTGCAAAAGACGAAGGGGCAGGATGTGATGGCTGCCAAGGTATTTAAAGGATAAACGGCAGTTTGTCAGGTGGAAATTAAAAAAAAAAAGCGTGGCAGGGCCAAGGGACGCTGGACACCTGCGTTAGTCCCCTCATGCCTCCACCTCCTAACCTCATTTGCCTTTTTGTTTATTATGTGTTGTCTTTTTAACAGCTGCATAGTATTCCATTGTCTAGACCATGACTTCTAGTTTAACATTGAATAGAAATGGCGACCAGCTAGTGTCCTTGACCTGCCAGTATCCTTCTTATGCTTCCAAAATTTTCCGTTAATTGTGATGTCTGTTGCAGCGTATTGGTAGCTAGGCTTTACTGGTCAGCTGCTTTCTTTTTTTAGCAATTAAATGAATGCTCACTGTAATTGAATTTATCAGTGGGTTGGAAACTGTAAACTCTATAAACTCTTAAGATTTTTTTCTCTCTCTTACTTAAGGAAACGTTTTCTGTATAAGTACTATTAATAGTTTAAAAAGTTTCCTTCTTTGGCTGTTTCCTACGAATCCTCATTATTAATAAATGCTGAAGTTTAATAAGTGCTTTTTGCATTTATTGACATGATCCTATTGTTTTTCTTCTTGAATCTGATAATCGGGTACATTATGGTAATAGTTTTTTTGATATTGAACTTTACTGGAATAAATCCTATTAATACTTGCTCACGATATTGCTATTTATTGCCAAATTTAATTTGCTAGTGTTTTGTCTAGGGACTTTACATCTGTGACTAGCGAACTAGGCCTATAATTTTCTTTTCTTCCTGATGCTTATGTCTAGATTTGGCAGTAAGATTTTATAGTGCTTTCATAACATGAGTGTGAGTGTTTGGTAAAACTCTCCTGCAACCATCTAGACTTAGCTTGTTTTGCAGGGGGAGCCTCTTTATTACAGATTTATAGATAATGGGTAAAGATAAATAGGTGTGTATAACTAGATATATTCGTATGTCTTTGCATTTCTTCTTGAACCACTTTTTTTCTAGAAATGTTTCTATTTTATCTAGTTTAGAAATTGTTTTTGGAATAAACTAGTTCATATTGTTTTCTTGGGATTTTTAAAAATAAGGGTCTAACTGTTTATGTCCCATTTTTCATTCTGAATAGTGTTCATCTTTATTGTTCCAATCTTATCAGTCTTGCCAGAGGTTTGTCTACTTTATTATTTTTTAAAAAGTTTTGTGAATTTTTTTATTTCATTGATTATATGAATTCTTTCCTTTTTTTTTTTTTACTTTTGTTACTTTGTAATTCTTTTACTAGCCACATGACTTGAAGTTTAGCTTCTTTGCTTTTAATATTTCTTTTTGAAGAATAATTATGTGTGGCTGGGCTCAGTGGCTCACGCCTGTAATCCCAGCACTTTGGGAGGCCAAAGCTGGTGGATCACCTGAGGTTAGGAGTTCAAGTCCAGCCTGGCAAACATGGTGAAACTCCGTCTCTACTAAAAATACAAAAATTAGCCGGACGTGGTGGCACAGGCCTATAGTCCCAGCTACTCAGGAGGCTGAGGCAGGAGAATCACTTGAACCTGGGAGAAGGAGGTTGCAGTGAGCTGAGATTGTGCCATTACACTCCAACCTGGGCAACAGAGCAAGACTCTGTCTCAGAAATAAATAAATAAATAAAATAATTATATTTAAGGTTGTACTTACCTTTCTATAGGACTTTGCTCCATCCGACAAGTTTTGTCATGTGGTACTTTTGTTGTCTTTACTTTTAAATATTTCATGACATTGTCATTTCTTCTTTAACCAATGAGCTATTTTTAGTGCATTTTTTGTTTCCAATTAAAGGTTGCTATTTTTTTTACCATCTTTTTAGTGTTGTTTATAATTTATATGCTTTGTAGACAGAGATTATATTAAATCTTGGAAATTGTTTTAATTTTTTGTGACCTAATATGTGATTTTTCTCTTTTTATTCTTTTTTTTTTTTTTTTGACAGTATCTTTCTCTGTCACCCAGGCTGCAGTGCAGTGGCTTGATCACATCTCACTGCAGCCTTAATCTCCCCAGCTCAGGTGATCCTTCCACCTCAGCCTCCCAGGTAGGTAGAACTATAGGCAGACACCACCATGGCTCATTTTTATTTTTTGTAGAAATGGGGTTTTGCCATGTTGCACAAGTTGATCTCAAACTCCTGACCTCAAGTGATCCACCCGCCTCAGCCTCTCAGAGTGCTGGGATTACAGGTGTAAGTCACCATGCCCAGCCCGTAGCCTTTTTTTTTTTTCAATGTTCCACGTGTATTGAAATAACATATATTCTCCACTTGTTGTGTGCAAGATTCTCTAACTATTAATCAAACTTGTTGATCTAATTTTATTTAAGTAGTCTATATTATTACTTAATTTTTCTGTGCTGAATGTATCAGTTTTTAATATATCAAAATTTTCCAAAATTAATATCATTTTTGAGTTTATCAAGTTCTCTTTTTGTCTCTGTGTGCTCATAAAGGTACTAGTTGAATCTTTTTTATCGTGATGAAATAGCTCTTTTTAGTGCTTTTGGTCTTTTTTACTTTGTCTCATATCAATATTGTTGCATCACCTTTTCTGTTGTTTGTATTTTCCTTGTAATCTTTTTATTCTTATATAGTCTTTTTATGTTCATCCTGTAAGTTTCTTTCTGCTTAAGGCATATGTCTTAGTCTATTTTGGCTCCTATAACAAAATACCTTAGACTGGGTAATTCATAAACAACAGAAATTTATTGCTCACAGTTCTGGAGGCTGGGCAGTCTAAAATCAAGGCACCGGTAGATTTGGTGTCTGATGAAGGACTGCTTTCTGCTTCAAAGATGTCACCTTCTTGTCGCATCTTTACAGTAGGAGGACAAGAGAGCTCTCCAGAGTCTTTTATGGGAGCATTAATCCCATTCATGAGGATGGAGCCCTCATGATTTAATCACTTCTCAAGGGCCCTACTTTTTAATACTATCACATTTGGTATTAGGTTCCAACACTAATTTAGGGGGACACTGCTGTCATTTGAATGTTTCCCCTCCAAAATTCAGATGTTCTCAATGCAAGAGTATTGGGAGGTGTGCAGTGACCCTAGCCAGTGAGAAGTGAAGTGGGGACTGCTGCTAGCAAAGCAACCAGACAGGGTTTCCCTGTTGGGTTTTAGACTTACTTAGGACCTGTTACCCCTTTCTTCTTTCCTATTTCTCCCTTTTGGAATAGCAGTGTCTATCCTATGCCTGTACACTATTGTTTTGATAGCACATAACTTGTTTGATTTCACAAGTTTACAGCTGGGGAGGAATTTGCCTCAGGATGAACCATGCATTGGTTCCCATATCTCTGGACTTTAGACTTTATAAAGTTGATGCTGGAATGAGCTAAGATTTTAGGGGCTATTGACATGAAATAAATGTATTTTTGTGTGAGAAGGACATGAATTTGGGTGAGGGGGCAGGGGCAGAATGCTATGGTTTGAATATGTTTCCCTCCAGAATTCAGACATTTCCAATGCAACAGTATTGGGAAGTGTGGCCTTTGGGAAGTAAATTACTCATGAGGGTTCTGCCCTCATAAATGGGATTAGGTGCCCTTATAAAATGGCATGACAAGGGAATTTGTCCCGTTTGCCCTTCCACCTTCTGCCATGTGAGGATATAATGTTCCTCCTCTTTGGACAGTGCAGCCCTCACCAGACAACAAACCTGCTAGCACCTTAATCTTAGGCTTCCCAGCCTCTAGAACTGTAATAAACAAATTTATTTTCTTTATAAATGACCAAGTCAGTGATATTCGGTCAGAGTAGCACAGATAGACTAAGACAGACACTAACATTCAGACCATAGCAGCATGTTTATGAAAGGAGGACTTCTTTTTTCCATCCAGGTTGATAGTGTCTATCTTTTATTTATTTTATTTATTTATTTTTATTTTATTTATTTATTTATTTAATTTATTTATTTATTTATTTATTTATTTATTTATTTTTTGAGACCGAGTCTCACTCTGTCACCAGGCTGGAGTGCAGTGGCACGATCTCGGCTTACTGCAACCTCCAACTCCCTGGTTCAAGTGATTCTCCTGCCTCAGCCTCCTGAGTAGCTGGAATTACTGGCACACGCCACCACGCTCAGCTAACGTTTGTATTTTTAATAGAGACGGGGTTTCACCATGTTGGCCAGGATGGTCTCAATCTCCTGACCTCATGATCCACCTGCCTTGGCCTCCCAAAGTGCTAGGATTAGAGGCGTGAGCCACCACGCCCGGCCATCTTTGTCTTGTAATAGATGAGTTAAATCCGTTTGTATTTATTGGGAGCGGTATATCAGAAATTATTTCTACCAACTTATTTTGTTTTCTGTTTATCATCTTCTTTTTCCTTTATGGCCAACTGTTAGATTGTTAAAGCTATTTTTATACCGCCTTTCTCTCTTTTGCTTTTTTGAAGAGCTACAGATTATTATTATTTTGATAGCTATTCCTACATTTTTAACATCCACAGAACTATGCACTTTTCCACAGTGTTTATATTATATAAGATATATATCTCCTTTTCAAAGTGGATAAAAACGTACACAAGATCCCAAGGGTACTGTATCTGAGAAAACTTAGAAGGACCTAAAGATGTTGTGTTCTGGAAAACTTTGTTAGTTGACCCAAGAAGAGACGATCATGATGCCAAAAACACTGATGTAGAAGATTCATGTGAAGTTTTACTTTCATTGTTAAGCAAAATTATCCTAAACTTGGAAATAATAAGACAGCAAGAAGAGGTGGGTGTGGTTTTTTGTTTGTTTGTTTGTTTGTTTTCTTGAGATGGAGTCTCGGTCTGTCACCCAGGCTGGAGTGCAGTGGTGCCATCTTGGCTCACTGCAACCTCCGCCTCCCAGGTTCAAGCGATTCTCATGCCTCAACCTCCCAAGTAGCTGGGATTACAGGCACATGCCACCATGCCTGGCTAATTTTTTATTTTTAGTAGAGACCATGTTGACCAGGCTGGTCTCAAACTCCTGACCTCAGGTGATGCGCCTGCCTCGGCCTCCCAAAGTGCTGGGATTACAGGCGTGAGCCACTGTGCCCAGCCGTGGGTGTGTTTTTTAATGCAGTAATGGAGCATTGTTTAACAGATCTGCCCCCAGGATTATTTAATGCTGTAGGAGAATGCTCCTGCATTTGACTTTACTATTTACTCTATTAATAAGAGCTCAGGCACTGTGCAGTGAGTTGTCAACTTACAGATTTTTTTAGTATGTGGTAGAGATGTAAGTGATTATCTTCAGTTAGAAGGATAATCTATGATTTCATTACCCTGTGGGACATTAACGGGTTTTGTATCTAATCTAACAATCCTGTTCTAGCATTCTTTTTTGTGTGTAAATAATAATTTCTTCAAATGCTCTTAGAACCAGTTTATCATCCTGCTGGTTCCCTCATCAATTATTGAAGGCAATAAAAGCTTTGACATAGATTAATTCTATATTGGTAAGAGAGTCATGTTTTTAACTTTTGAGGATTTTTCTTTGACATCATGATGCATTTGAGTGAAAAAATATATAAATTAATATTTTATATGACATACAATTAACAAATTAAGTGTTAATTAGATATTAGATTAGTTCGTCTTACTCCCTAAAAATATATGTTTTTAAGTGGGTCAAAAACTCTTCTACATATTCAGTGTTTATTTACCTTGTATTGGGATCTATATGCCAGAAGTAATTGATGATTGTGAGAACAGAAAATGCAATCTGAAATGACGTCTGATGAATTGACAGAGACCAGGAAGGGGCTGGAACTTTTTCCTACAGGTGATGGGAACCACTGAAGTGTTTTAAGTCGGAGTGATGTGAGTTTTAAAAGATGATTTGGCAGCAGCGGAAAATGCATATAACACCAGTTAGACATTATTGTAATGGCCCAAACAGGACCCAATGAGGGCTTAAAACAGAACAATGATAACAGGAATGGAAAAATGAAGTCAAATTTAAGGTAAAAATCAGCAAAATTGACATTTTGCAGGTGCAAAAAAGGGAGAAATCATGAACAACTCCCATGTTTAGTCATTGTAGCCAGACTTGGGGAGTGGAGGTGCTATTAACTGAGACAGGGAACACAGAAGTTGAATTAGGTTTGTGGTGGCAGGTTGAGGAGCCTACAACAAGAACGGTGGGGCTGACAGGCATTGCTCCTTTAAATGGTCATTGCCCCTTTAAGATTCTGCCCTTCCCCCTTAACCCACCCAGGCCCCTGCTGGATTTCCTTGCCCTAATTTACAGTCAGCACCAAAGCTTCTGAGCATGCGCTCAAGGAAGAGCTGGACTAATTAAAGCTCTCCTGAGGTTCAAGGTATTGCATCTGTGGCTCTTAGCAAAGAGTTCCATTTTTGAGAGCATATTTTCTCCAGCTTACCATTTTTTCTCATTTTTCTTTTTAAATCTTTTTCCTCCATAACTTTATATTATCTGTATCTTTTTAATCACTGAAGAATAATTAACATCTAGGTTTTTTCTTTTAATAATAAAAAATTAAAATAATGTTTTCAATACAGCGTCTATCAAAGATACTGTTTGATCCATGAAAGAAAAAAAAATTATTTGGTCAGTTACATAAATCTTGGGAGCAAATATAATCAATCATGATCATGTTCCTTTTTTTTAATTACAAAACCTGTGCACCTTACTACTGTGTCGTGTCTTTTGTTTCATTGGTAATTTGGCGTCCCAGATGGCTACTGAAATTTGGTGTGTAAGATAATAGACTTTCTGGATGTCACATATTGTTAGAAATCCTTGGAAATCAGTGTTCTATCCCAGCCTAAATGCACTGCCTTTTAAAGAAAAATCTGAAGAACATTTCTCCCTCTTCATAAGCCTTCATTCATGCTGAGATAACACTTTATAGTTAGAATGTCACAGCACCATACCTTAATAAAGATATCTAAAGTACATATACCTCTGTCAACATTAAGTTGATATAAACATAGCAAATATGACGGGAAGAAACAAATAACAAGGGAGTCAGGAGATTTTGTGGGTAGATGCCTGGGAAGAAGGAGCAAAAGACAAAGGGAAGAGAAGTAAAAAGAAAATGGAGTTAGCAGTGAGGTGGACATCATCTGGTCTTCCAAACCAACAACGGTCATTCAAAAAGATTGTTAAGTGGGTGAAAAACATATTTAAAAAGATCTACATTTAATATGGAGAAATTGGCCATTTCCATGTCTCAAACCTTAGCAATAAAACAAAAGAGTATAAATAGAGTTAGGTGTAAAATTCAGGAAGTTAAGGTAGAGAGATATGAAATATGAGGAAAACTAACCGTTAATTATATTTGAATTTAGATAGTAGAGTGTATTGCTTGCTAAGAGTCCAATTTTACATGTTGTCCAAGAGGCACTAAGCTTAGATAATAGTGCATTCATTTAATTCAACAGGTTCATTCCTGAGTGCTCATATTTAATGAAAATGTCAGTGATGTTACTGTTTTTGTTGCTGTTGCTGATGCTATTTCTTACATGGAAGAGTTATATAACTAGGGAATACTGAGTGACATGATGAATTTGCTGTATTCATGGAGTCAATAAATAGAGTGATTCAGTAGAATGGATGAAAAACTTGGCCTATGCAGGCACAAATGCCTCACAGTTTCTCAGGATTAAAATATAGATGCTTATTGGAACTTCCAGAACCACTTCTATTGGTTGAGTATTGCATAAGGATGACAATGACGTATATCAAGAGTCTCAAAGCCAACTGGGCTTTTTAAATTAAAACCAGCAATTTGCATTGCTTTTATTTTTTTCCATTTTTATTTATTTTTATTTCTGTTTTTTATTTTTCCATAAGGTATTGGGGTACAAGTGATATTTGGTTACGTGAGTAAGTTCTTCAGTGGTGATTTGTGAGATTTTGGTTCACCCATCACCCAGGCAGTATACACTGCACCCCATTTGTAGTCTTCTATCCCTCGACCCCCTCCCACTCTTTCACCCCAAGTCCCTAAAGTCCATTGTATCATTCTTATGCCTTTGCATCCTCATAGCTTAGCTCCCACATGTCAGTGAAAACATATGATGTTTGGTTTTCCATTTCTGAGTTGCTTCACTTAGAATAGTAGTCTCCAATCTCATCCAGGTCACTACAAATGCCGTTAATTCATTTCTTTTTATGGCTGAGTAGTATTACATCAAATATATACACCACAATTTCTTTATTCACTCATTGATTGATGGGCATTTGCATTGGTTCCACGATTTTGCAATTGTGAATTGTGCTGCTATAAACCTGCCTGTGCAAGTATCTTTGTCGTATAATGACTCCGTTTCCACTGGGTAGATACCCAGTAGTGGGATTGCTGGATCAAATGGTAGTTCTACTTTTAGTTCTTTAAGGAATCTCCACACTGTTTTCCACATGTAGGTGGGGATGTACTAGTTTACATCCCCACTAGCAGTGTAGAAGTGTTCCCTGATCACTGCACCCACGCCAACATCTACTGTTTTTTGATTTTTTTATTATGGCCATTCTTGCAGGAGTAAGGTGGTATCACATTGCGGTTTTGATTTGCATTTCCCTGATCATTAGTGATATTGAGCATTTATTTTTTATTTTTTTTTTATTTTTTTTGAGACGGGGTCTTGATCTGCTGCTCTGTTGCCCAGGCTGGAGTGCAGTGGCGCGATCTCCGCTCACTGCAAGCTCCGCCTCCCAGGTTCACGCCATTCTCCTGCCTCAGCCTCCCGAGTAGCTGGAACTACAGGTGCCCACCACGACGCCCAGCTAATTTTTTTGCATTTTTAGTAGAGACGGGGTTTCACCATGTTAGCCAGGATGGTCTCGATCTCCTGACCTCATGATCCGCCCACCTTGGCCTCCCAAAGTGCTGGGGAGCATTTTTTCTTGTTTGTTGGGCCATTTGTTTGTCCTTATTTTGAGAATTGTCTATTCATGTCCTTAGCCCACTTTTTGATGCGATTGTGTTTTCTTACTGATTTGTTTGAGTTCATTGTAGATTCTGGATATTAGTCCTTTGTCAGATGTACAGATTGTGAAGATTTTGTCCCACTCTGTGGATTGTCTGTCTACTCTGCTGACTGTTCCTTTTGCTGTGCAAAAGCTCTTTAGTTTAATTAAGTCTCAACTATTTATCTTTGTTTTTATTGCATTTGCTTTTGGATTCTTGGTCATGAAATCCTTGCCTAAGAATGTCTAGAATGGTTTTTCCAATGTTGTCTTCTAGAATTTTTATAGTTTCAGGCATTAGATTTAAGTCCTTAATCCATCTTGAGTTGATTTTTATGTAAGGTGAGAGATGAGGATCCAGTTTCATTCCCCTACATGTGGCTAGCCAATTATCCCAGCACCATTTGTTGAAAAGGGTGTCCTTTCCCCACTTTATGATTTTGTTTGCTTTCTTGAAGACCAGTTTGCTGTAAGTATTTGGGTTTATTTCTGGGTTCTCTATCCTGTTCCATTGATCTATGTACCATTTTTATACCAGTACCATGCTGGCTTGTTGACTATGGCCCTACAGTATAGTTTGTAATCAGGTGGTGTGATGCCTCCAGATTTGTTCTTTTTGCTTAGACTTGCTTTGGGTATGTGGGCTCTTGTTTGGCTCCATATGAATTTTAGAATTGTTTTTTCTAATTTTGTGAAGAATGATGGTGGTATTTTGATGGGGATTGCAATGAATTTGTAGATTGCTTTTGGCAGTGTGGTCATTTTCACAATATTGATTCTACCTATCCATGAGCATGGGATGTGTTTACATTTGTTTGTATCATCTATGATCTCTTTCAGCAGTGTTTTGTAGTTTTCCTTGTAGAGGTTTTTTGACTCCTTGGTTAGGTATATTCCTAGGTATTTTATTTTTTTGGCAGCCCTTGAAAAAGGGGCTGAGTTCTTGATTTGATTCTCTGCTTGGTCGCTGTTGTATAGAAGAGCTACTGATTTGTGTACATTAATCTTGTATCCGGAAACATTGCTGAGTTATTTTACTAGTTCTAGGAGCTTTCTGGAGGAACCTTTAGGGTTTTCGAGGTAAATGAGCATATGGTCAGCAAACAGTGACAGTCTGACTTCCTCTTTACTGATTTGGATGCCCCTTATTTCTTTCTCTTGTCTGACTGCTCTGGCTAGGACTTCCAGTACTATGTTGTAGAGGAGTGGTGAGAGTGGGCATTGTTACCTTGTTCCAGTTCTCAGAGAAAATGCTTTCAACTTTTCCTCATTTGGTATTATGTTGGCTGTGGGCTTGTCGTAGATGGCTTTTATTACATTGAGGTATGTACCTCATATGCCAGTTTTGCCGAGAGTTTTAATCATAAAGGGATGCTGGATTTTGTCAAATGCTTTTTCTGCATCTATTGAGATGATAGTGTGATTTTTGTTTTAATTCTGTTTATGTGGTGTACCACATTTACTGACTTGCATCACTGCATCCCTGGTATGAAACCCACTCAATCGTGGTGGATTATCTTTTTGATATGTTGCTGGATTTGGTTAGCTAGTATTTTGTTAAGGATTTTAGCATCTATGTTCATCAAGGATATTGGTCTGTAGTTTTCTTTTTTGGTTTTGTCCTTTCTGGTTTTGGTATTAGGGTAACGCTAGCTTCATAGAATGAATTAGGGAGGGTTCCTTCTTTCTCTATCTTGTGGAATAGTGTCAAAAGGATTGGTACCGATTCTTCCTTGAATGTCTGGTAGAATTCTGCTGTGAATCCATCTGGTCCCAGGCACTTTTTGTTGGTAAATTTTTTTTTTTTTTTTGAGACAGAGTTTCGCTCTTGTTGCCCAGGCTAGAGTGCAATGGTACGAACTCAGCTCACTGCAACCTCCATCTCCTGGGTTCAAGCGATTCTCCTGCCTCAGCCTCCCAAGTAGCTGGGATTACAGGCATGCACCACCACACCCAGCTAAATTTGTATTTTTAGTAGAGATGGGGTTTCACCATGTTGGTCAGGGTAGTCACGAACAGTAATTTTTTAATTACCATATCAGTCTCACTGCTTGTTATTGGTCTGTTCAGAGCATCTAATTTTTCCTGATTTAAGCTAGGAGGGTTGTATTTTTCCAGGAATTTATCCATCTCTTCTAGGTTTTTTAGTTTATGTACGTAAAGGTGTTCATAGTAGCCTTGAATGATCTTTTGTATTTCAGTGGTATCAGTTATAATATCTCCTGTATCGTTTCTTAATGAGGTTGTTTGGATTTTCTTTCTTCTTTTCTTGGTTAATCTTGCTAATGGTCTATTAATTTTATTTATCTTTTCAAAGAACCAGCTTTTTGTTTCATTTACCTTTTGTATTTTTTTGTGTGTTTCAGTTTCATTTAGTTCTGCTCTGATCTTGGTTATTTTTGTTTTCTTCTGCTGGGTTTGGGTATGGTTTGTTCTTGTTTCTTTAGTTCCTTGAGGTGTGACCTTAGAATGTCAGTTAGTCTCTTTCAGTCTTTTTGATACAGGCATTTGGTGTTATGATCTTCCCTCTTAGCACCACCTTTGCTATATCCCAGAGGTTTTGATAGGTTGTGTCATTACTGTCGTTCAGTTTGAATAATTTTTTAATTTCCATCTTGATTTTGTTTTTGACCCAATGCTCATTCAGAAACAGGTTATTTAATTTCCATGTATTTGTATGGTTTCGAAGGTTCCTTTTGGAGTTGATTTCCAGTTTTATTCCACTGTGGTCTGAGAGAGTGTTTGATATAATTTCAATTTTCTTAAATGTATTGAGACTCTTATGGCCTATCATATGGTCTATCTTGGAGAAAGTTCCATGAGTTATTGAATAGAATGTGTATTCTGTGGTTGTTGGATGAAATGTTCTGTATATATCTATTAAGTCCATTTGTTCCAAGGTATCGTTTAAATCCATTGTTTCTTTGTTGACTGTCTTTCTTGATGACCTGTCAAGTGCTGTCAGTGGAGTATTGAAGTCCCCCACTATTATTTTGTTGCTGTCTATCTCATTTCTTAGGTCTATTAGTAATTGTTTTATAAATTTGGGAGCTCCAGTGATAGGCACATATATGTTTTGGATTGTGATATTTTCCTCTTGCACAAGGCCTTTTACTGTTATATAATGTCCCTCTTTGTCTCTTTTAACTGCTGTTGCTTTAAAGTTTGTTTTGTCAGATATAAGAATAGCTACCCTGCTCACATTTGGTGTCTATTTGCATGAAATGCCTTTCCCCCTGCTCTTTACTTTAAGCTAATATGAGTCCTTATGTGTTAGGTTAGTCTCCTGAAGGCAGCAGGTAGTTGGCTGGTGAGTTCTTATCCGTTCTGAGGTTCTGTATCTTTTACGTGGAGCATTTAGGCCATTTACATTCAATGTTAGTATTGAGATGTGAGGTACTGTTGCATTCATTGTGCTATTTTTTTGCCTGTGCACCTTGGATTTTTTGTTTTATGTTTTTGCCTTTTAACTTGTTTTTTGGTTTTATAGGTCCTGTGTGATTTATGCTTTAAAGAGTTTCTGTTTTGATGTGTTTCCAGGATTTGTTTCAAGATTTAGAGCTTCTTTTAGCAGTTCTTGTAGTGGTGGCTTGGTATATCGACGTCTCTCACCAATTGTTTGTCTGAGAAAGACTGTATCTTTCCTTCATATATGATGCTTAGTTTCGCTGGATACAAAATTCTTGGCTGATAATTGTTTTGTTTGAGGAGGCTGAAGATAGGTCCCCAGTCCCTTCTATCTTATAGGGTTTCTGCTGAGAAATCTGCTGTTAATCTGATAGATTTTCCTTTGTAAGTTACCTGGTGCTTCTCTTTCACCGCTCTTAAGATTCTTTACTTTGTCTTAACTTTAGATAACCTGATGACAATGTGCTTAGGCAATGAGCTGTTTGTGACGAATTTCCCAGATGTTCTTTGTGCTTCTTGTATTTGGATGTCTAGGTCTCTAGCAAGGTGAGGGAAGTTTTCCTCGATTATTCCCCCAAAATGTTTTCCAAGCTTCTAGAATTCTCTTCTTCCTCAGGAACACCAATTATTCTTAGGTTTGGTTATTTAACATAATCCCAGACTTCTTGGAAGCTTTGTTCATATTTTCTTAGTCTTTTTTATTTCTCTTTGTTGGGTTAGGTTAATTCGAAGACCTTGTCTTCGAGTTCTGAATTTCCTTCTTCTACTTGTTAATTCTATTGCTGAGACTTTCCAGAGCATTTTGCATTTCTATAAGTGTCTCCAATGTTTCCTGAATTTCTTATTGTTTTTTCTTTAAGCTATTTCTTTCCTTGAATATTTTTCCCTTCACTTCTTGTATCATTTTTCGGATTTCCTTGCATTGGGCTTTGTCTTTCCCTGGTGCCTCCCTAATTAGCTTAATAACTAACCTCCTGAATTCTTTTTCAGGTAAATCAAGGATTTCTTCTTGGTTTCGATTCATTGCTGGTGAACTAGTATGATTTTTGGGGGGTGTTAAAGAGCCTTGTAACCAGAGGTGGTTTTCTGGTTCCTTCTCATTTGGGTAGGCTCTGTCAGAGGGAAGGTCTAGGGCTGAAGGCTGTTGTTCAGATTCTTTTGTCCCACAATATGTTCCCTTGATGTAGTACTCTCCCCTTTTTCCTGTGGATGTAGCTTCCTGTGAGCCAAACTGCAGTGATAGTTGTCTCTCTTCTGGGTCTAGCCACTCAGCGAGTCCACCTGGCTCCGGGCTGGTACTGGGGGTTGTCTGCACAGAGTCCTGTGATGTAAACTGTCTCTGCGTCTCTCAGCCGTGGATACCAGCACCTGTTCCAGTGGAGGTGGCAGGGGAGTGCAATGGACTCCGTGAGGGTTCTTAGCTTTGCTGGTTTAATGCTCTATTTTTGTGCTGGTTGGCCTCCTGCCAAGAGATGGTGCTTTCCAGAGAGCATCAGCTATGGTAGTACGGAGAGGAACCGATGGTGGGTGGGGCCCTAGATCTCCCAAGATTATATGCCCTTTGTCTTCAGCTACCAGGGTGGGTAGGGGAGGACCATCAGGTTGGGTCAGGGCTAGGCCTGTCTGAGTTCAGACTCTCCTTGAGGGGGTCTTGCTGTGGCTGAGTATTTGGGGTGTCTCCTGGGTCCTACAGGAGCAGTCAGATTCCTTCAGAGGGTCTGTGGGTCCTCTTGGGATTGCTGGCTTGTTCTTGCAGTCAATCTGGAGCTAAAATTCACAATGCAAGCCTCCGCACACTGTCTGTCCATCTGAATCATCTAGTTCTGCCTCCCGTCTGGTCTGCCATAATGATCTCTCTCCCTCTCCATTGCTTTTAGAAAATAGGAAACCAAAGTAGATTACAGGGAATCAAATTTGATACACTTAATCTACTCAGGCTCAGAAAGGAGAGGTCACAAATCCTAAACCATTCTGAAAATCATCAGTATTAGAATGCATTCAACACATGGTTGCTGAGGACCTGCTTTGTACTGAGCACTGTTGTAGAGATAATACAGTGTTTAAACCAGACAAAAATTCTAGCTTGTGGAGCTTGCATTCCAGTGAAGACTTTTCCTTCTTGGCAGCAGTTCCAGATGGGATGGGTGGGGTGATGGCAAGGAGAAAGAGAATGAAGTTGTAGATTGTGGAAATTGCACCCTTGCTCTATTTTGTGATCATGAAATAAAAACATAAGCAATGTGATGTCCAGGCCTTATGACTCATGCCTGTAATCTCAACACTTTGGGAGGCCAAGATGGAAGGATTATTTGAGTCCAGGCATTCAAGACTAGCCTGGGCAACATAATGAGACCTCATCTGTACAAAATATTTTTAAAAATTAGCTGGCACGGTGGCATGCACCTGTAATCCCAGCTACTTGGGAGGCTGAGGTGGGAGGATCTCTAGAGCCAGGGAGGTCAACATTGCAGTGAGCCCTGACCACACCACTGCACTCCAGCCTGAGCCACAAAGCAAAAATAATAAATAATAATGAACAAAATAATAAAATAATAAACAAAATAATGAAATAATAAACAAAAAAAATCCATAGCAATGTGAACCAAATAGATTATAAAGGAGGATGATATCCATTAAGTCTTCTTCATTCTCATGGCTCTTGTCCCTGTGTTTATTTGCCTTAAGAATGTAGCCAAATCTTATCTCCGTCTAGTGAAAATCACTTGATAGAAAGTTACATTAATGCACAAATTCACAAAGAGAATTTGCATGATTTTCAGAACCAAATTAATCCCTAATTACTGGCATACAGCTATTTGAGCCAAAAGATCATATTGCATTTTAAACAATATAAACTCATCCTTTATCAGTCTTCATTTGCATAAGAAGCATCTTATTCTCAGTCAAACAGAGCAAATCAAATCCTGAAAGTTATTTGTTCCAGCACAAGACTTTGAATATTCTGTTTCCTTTTCTACTCCTACAGTTAATCTGCCAGAGCCAAGATTATTCCTTCACCCTTTTTTAGTCCCTGAACCTTTTGCAAAGCTAATGAAAGTTATAGGATTTCTCAGAAATATGAGGGTACAGGAAAATGTGCACTCATACACAAACATATTTTGAATGCCGCTTTTTAAAAAATCAAGTCCAACCCCTATGTGATCAAAATGATAAATTAAGGCTATGGGAAGTTAAAAAGTATGCTAAAGATGGTTAAGAGACATACTGAAAGTCAAACAGTCAACAGAGAAGTACATGAAACCAAGTTCTCAAAAGTTTGTTTTGTTCTGCCAGTACCTGAGACCACTCTCAGATATATAGGTCCCCAGCTCTGAAACACTTTGTCAATATTAATATAGAACAACATTATCTTTGTAACACATTTGCACTCCGATTCCTTTGTGAACAGAGTTAATGTGTCCTCTGACCCACAGTGATTTTAGGGTTGCCACTTGAGCTGAACAGGGCCTTCCCTCCCATCTTCCAATGCAGAAACTCTGGTTGGGCATCCAGAGTAACTCAGCAACATAACTGCCATCACAAACATGTGCAGAAAGAGTTCTGACCTGTTGTGTTGGAAGCCAGAGAATGGAATAGTTTTGTAGCTCTCCTTTGTGGCTTATTCCTTACTCAACAGCCATTCTGCTTTTGACCTGAAAAACTGGGCCAGGGAGATTCTGTACCATCAGGCATATTTCTTATTGGGCTGTGTAAGTCTAGCATATGGCTAATTACAATTTACACCTCCTTAAGTGCTCTAACAATCCACTAAAGACTGTTTTGTCTCTTTGGTTTACTGTTTGTAGCACTTTTTGCAGGCAAAGCAGTAAACAATTCCTTTGGAGGTACTTTTTAATTTCAAATGATGATGGAAGATGATGGTCTTCTGTCTGGGTTGTTAATGATATATTCTCAGCCTGATCTGTTAAATGATTGTGTTCCTAATGATATGTCATTTGCTTTCTACAGTGTCCTGGTGACCAGTTTTCTATTTCTTCATCTTCCATGGTGGAGACATGCCCATTGAGGATAAAATAAAGAACTAAGGTAGGTGAAGGAAAAATAAAGAAGATGAGATTTTAGGAACAAAATATCTATGGCATAAAATGCACTAATAGAAGTAATAACTAATAAAGATATTTGAAGTGAGTTGTTTCATTTTTGTATTCTTATTTTTGTCGCTGACCTTTTTAGCTGTGTGTTTGAGAGACAAAATTGTGCTCTGTTGCAAGAAGATGGGTGTCTCTTAAAATAACATAGAATGGAAAAATATTGCCTCAAAGTTAACGTAGTTTTTAATTTGTTAGATATTAAAATGCAAGCTGATAACTAGACATCACTTAAACAGAGAGGTTTTCTATTTAATGAAGTGGTTTGCATGGGGAATAGACATTCTGACAGAGATGGTCTACTGATGTTGGATGTAGAAGGCAGGATGAATTTAGTCCCATGGCTCTCTACTGGCACTGCCAACAGGTGACCAGCTGGCACCAAATATGAGCATGACAGCTTGGTGCGCTCAACTGAGACACACGTTTCTATTTTCCTTCATCCAGGGAGTAGCTAAAAACATGATCTCTAATTCCCTTACTGGCATGGAACAGGGAAGAAATAAATGAATTTCCAGTTAATGATTCTAAGTAAAAATGTGTCCAATAATTTATAATTTTAAAGTTTAAGCTTAGTAGTGTTTACAAAGTGATCCATGGACTTAAGTAATGTGAGCCTCATGAGTTCTCTACCATATGAACATATTTAGAAAAGCTGATAATATGAGAGATTTCAAATTTGCAAATTCATCTTTGAGATCAATGTTAATGGGATGAATATCTTTAGGTAAAACTTATACCTCCTTGATGGGGATACACAGCAAGGAGAGAAGACTCAGCCCTTCTCCTTTAATCTTAAATTGTTTGATTTGACTTAAGCCCAACTTATCTGTGACAAAGATTTTCACAAATATTTCATATGAGTTCTTGAACTTTAATGTTTTCCTTTTCATTAACATTTCTCCTTTAATTTTAAGGATACCTTAAAAGGTGCCCTTAAAGCTCCCAAGGAAGGGTTTAAAAGAGGAAAAAAAGAGTTATGAGAACCTGCTTCAGTGAGACTCAGGATTATTACACCTCAGGGTCAGATGCGCCAATCAGACAGATGGACCTGAAACACCAAGGTGTATCCTTTGAGCCCTAGCCAGCTGCTCTGTGGGAGACCAGGAAGTCTCAAACTTCCTACAAACAATGGCTGTTTAGGGCAGAGGGGTATCTAGAGTTCTATCACAATCATACCCACCTCCCTACTTCTCTGGCACCTTTCAAGAGAATATATATTCTTTCTTTAGGAATATGTATGATATGTTCCCCAAGAAAATTTTAAAATACATGCATACAGAGAACCAAAAGTACAAAGTTACATGAAACAAAATACTTTACAGATAAGAAGCTATGGGGCTGGTTATTGCATTGGTTGGAGGGGAGTCTTATGAAAAAAGAACTTTGATATGATTGCTTGTAGTATTTTTTAAATATCTTCCGCTGCTCATTATATTCATTTTCCTTTAAATACATGAACATATTTACAATAACTAACTTTAAGTCCTTGTCCCCTAATCTGCTGTTCTATCATCTCTTCATTTCTGGGTTTGTTTCTATTGACTCATTTTTCTCCTGGTTATAGGTCTCAATTTCCTACTTCTTCTCATATATAGTAATTTTTTATTGGATACTATAAGTTTCTTACAAGATACTGAAAATTTTCTATTGAGCATTGGAATTTGTTTTCTTAAGGGGTGGTAGACTTTGTTCTAGCAGGCAGCTAATTTACTTGTGCATTAGCTTGAGTCTTTTGAAACTTGTTCTTAAGCTTTGTTGGAGTGAATTTAGAGTAACCTTTACTACAGGGCCAGTTTACTTCTCCTAGAAAGGCTTGATTTCTGAAGTTTCTGTGAATGCCCCACATGCTCAAAGTAGACTCTTTAACCTGGCTTTTGCCTCTTTCATACCTTGGAACTGCTTTTTTTGAGATAACCAATAACTTCTAAATCCAAAGGATACTTTTCAGTTTTCATCTTACTTGACCTCTTGGCGGTGGCATTTAACATTGTTAACCACTCCTATGCTCTGGAAGCACTCGCTTCTGTAGCTTTTGTTTCATGACATTCTCCTTGTTTTCCTCTTACCTCCATGATTATTTTGCAGGTTTTCCATCTCCTAGCCAATCCTTAAACATTACTCAGCTATTTCCTCAATCCCTTTTCTCATTTTGTTCTATATTCCCTTTCTCCAGGGAATCCCACGATGTCTGTCCCATGGCTTCCATTACCCCCTATTTTACACTGAAAAAAAAAAAAAAAAACAAACAACCCTGTGTATTCTCAATCCCAGACCTCTCATCTAAGCTTCAGATCCCTGCCTTCAATCCCAACTGCTTCCTCAGTCTCTCTTTTTGGATATCTCACACATACTATGTTCAAAAGTGACCTCATGATTCCAGCCCATGCACTACATCTGCTCCTCTTCCAAGGTTCCTGTCTCATTAAAAGGCATCATCCTGTTCCCCATAAAAAAAAAAGGTGGGGTGGGGGGGGACTCATTCCTGAAACTTCATCTCTGATATATATGAATCATCAAAGATAATCATTTTTCCTTCTAAATATCTCTTGAATCTGTTCCCGAGATCCAGTAAGAAACTATTGGTCCTGCACACCAGCTGGGTTCTAGAGAAGAAGAGGTATACTTGGCATGTTGATGTAGCAGGGCTGAGACAGCCTCAGATGTTATCCACAGCCAGATTGTTTTAGAAGAAGTAGGACATTTTCTAAGCAGTTAGAGAATAGTTTAGACATGGTGTAGGGATCAGTGGGCCTGAGAAAGTATCAAGATGGGACAAAAAGGGTACAGCAGAAGTCTGGGTAAGCCATAGGCTCCATGGGACCAAGGGTGTGTCAGTGGATTCCAGAGTAGATGCATGAGCAAGGAGACCAGAGTATCCACCCCCACCCACCTTGTACAAGAACCAAACAGACCTCCCTCTTCAAATTAAGCTGTAATACTGAGGAAGGAATGGAGAGACCTCAAATTGACTAAAATCAAATGTTCAGCTTCCAGAAGAATGGGGGCTTGAAGTTGAAATTAGCTTCACTTATATAAAAAATAAAATACTGCTTCTTGAAAAGGAATAAAAATCACACCCAATATATGAACAATACCAAATACCATTGTTAAAGACTTTATATTTAACCTGAATTGTGAATAAGCATAGATGCAAAGATCAAGTAGGTTCTGCAATTAGTAATCTCCACTGCCATCATTCTCTTCTAAGCCACCATCATCTCCTGCCTAGATGCCAGTAATCATCTCCTGAATGTTCTCTCGAGTTCACTCTTCTTTACCTCCAGTCCCCTTCTCCACACCAACATGTAATGATTTTTTTTTTTTTTTTTTTTTTTTTTTGAGATGGAGACTCACTCTGTCGCCCAGTCTGGAGTGCAGTGGCATGGTCTCGGCTCACTGCAACCTCCACATCCCAGGTTCAAGCAATTCTCCTGTTTCAGCCTCCCAAGTAGCTGGGACTACAGGCACATGCCACCACACCTGGCTAATTTTTTGTATTTTTAGTGGAGATGGAGTTTCACCGTGTTAGCCAGGATGGTCTCGATCTCCTGACCGCATGATCCGCCCGCCTCGGCCTCCCAAAGTGCTGGGATTACAGGCATGAGCCACCGCGCCCGGCCTATGATTTTTTTTTTTAACGCGAACTTGATCCTATCACTCCTTTGCTTATAACCTGTTAACACTTTCTCTGTTCCTAGAGTCCAAATGCATTTACCAGCACCTCCAAAACCCTGCACTCCACTGCAGTTACCTCTCTGATTCCCTTTCCTCCATTCTCTCCTTCACTCTCCCCACTCCAGGGGTAGTGCACTGGACTTCTTGAAGCTTCTCTGGTATGCTGAACCTATAGGACCCTTTCTTCCTGGAATACCCCTCTTCCCTCTCCCTCTATACCCACACCAACCTGTTAATCAACCTGGCATCATTTGCTTCCCTGCTTAAGTGCTACTTCTGGCTTGAAGCCTTCTTCCTTTGCTCAGGTCAGGCCAGAACCTGTGACACACTCTCATTGGCTCCCTGTCATTTTACCTCATAGCACTTTACCATACCTGGGCTCCATGAGAGGAGAGATGGGGCGTGCCAATCCTCAACACCCAGAACACATACAGCACCCCAAACAGGGTTGTCTGGCACAAATTGGGCATGCAATAAATGTTGAATGAATAAAAGGAGTCCAGAAAACTAATTCTCACCAAAATGTTAAATGATAGTGGTTTAAAGTACTTCTTAGAGGGTAGAGGATATCCAGATAAACTTTGCAAACTTTAAGGAGTGCATCTCTACTGGCAAAGATTCAATTATTAGCATATTTCTTGCTAGAGGCTTCCTAGTTACTGACATTTCAGTCTGTTCACTAGGAAGGAAGGGAACAGAGATGTACCTTAAATCCCTATGTCATCTGTCCCCTGCCTGCCTCTCTCACTTCATCTTGTCCCACTGCTCTTCCCCTCTCCTGTGCTCTGCCCAGATGGGATTTGTTTCAGTTCCTTGACTGGTAAGTTCTTTCCCTACCGGTCCCTCTGTGTGGGATGCTCTCTCCACCCCCATCTTGCTCTTTACAAGGTGAGCATCTTTACAACACAAATGCCACCGCCCAAGAGAGGCCAGCTCTGTTGTTCCCTGTTGTTGCACTCTCTTTGTGCCTGTCAGAGCATTTAACCACAGTTGGTAATTTCATGAATTTATTTGTAAATAAAGGCAGGGACAACATCTACTTTGTTCACTGTTGTTTGCCCAGAATCTAGCACAGGGCCTAGGACATAGTTGGTAAATACTAACTATATATTGAATAAATGAATATTTACAATAAAGCAGAGCTGATAAATTTATTGACTGTCACACCATACGTATCTTGAAGGGAAACTGGAATGTTTTTGTTAACATTATGGAGGTTTGGCAAGCCAGACATAAAAGTAAATCTAAAGTTGCATCTGAAAGGTTACTTAGCTGAAGGTGGAGGGTGTTGGGAAAGGGAAGGAAAGAGGAAAGAAAGGAATGGGAAGTTTAGAGAATGGGATAAAAGATAAGGAAAAGTAAGGGAGCAAATACAGATTCGAACATTTACTCTGATGTGTTCTCCCAAGAACTTTGTCTTAGAGATTTCTTTCTTCTATGCTTTAAGCCTATATGAATTAATGTGAAGGAAAAAAATATTCAGCCTATAGATTAATTTTGCCAAGTAAGTCACTGGGGTCCTGTATTCATTTCCTATTGCTGCTATATGTAACAAGTCACCACAAATGTTGTGGCTAAAAACAATGGAAATTTACTCTTCCTACAGTTCTAGAAGTCAGAAGTTCAAAATTAGTCTTACAGGGCAAAAATCAAGGGGTCTGCAGGGCTGGTTCCTCCTGGAAGCTCCAGGGGAGAATTCTTCCCGGCCTCTTCCAGCTTCTGGGGCTGCCAGCATTTCTTGGCTTATGTTACTTCACTCCACTCGCTGCTTCTGCAGTCCCATTACCTTCTCTGTGTGTGCCTTCTCCACTTGTGTGGTCAAATCTCTTTCTGCTTCCTTTGATTACACAGTTACATTTAGGGCCCACCTGGATAAGCCATGCTCATCTCCTTCTATCAGGATCCTTAATTTAACACATCTGCAAGGCCCCTTTTGTGGCTGTGTACTCATAGGTTCCAGGGATTAGGATATGTATAGCTTCAAGGCCCATTACTGAGCCTACTGCAGGTCTATTTCAAATGTGAATTTCTATCTCACTGCCTCCTCAAACCAACATGTGCTTTGTTTGTTTGGGGTATTGGCTTTGTTTGTTTGTTTGTTTTTTAGAATTCTAACAACTTCTTTATTTTTTTTTCCTTCAGAGCTCTAGCAATTTTCCATGCTAATCAAACTTCAACTCTAGGTTTAATGCCTCATATTTCTCCTAGACCCAAAACTTGGTTTTTAGAAGGGAGAGAAAGTATACTGTAAGCCAACAAAACAACTTCAACTTTGTTTCCTCTCAGGCACCTGTAAAGAACTACCTGAGACTGGGTAATTTATAAAGAAAACAGGTTTAATTGACTCACAGTTCTGCAGGCTTAACAGGAAATATAACTAGGAGGCCTCAGGAAACGAACAATTGTGGTGGAAGGCAGAGGGGAATGAGGCACATTTTCCCATGGTGGAGCAGGAGAGAGAGAAAGAGCAAATGGGGAGGGGCCACACACTTTTAAATGCCACCAGATCTCATGAGAATTCTATCCTGAGACAGCACTAGGGGTATGGTACTGAACTGTTAAAAACCACCCCCATGATCCAGTCACCTCCCACTAGGCCCCACCTTCAACATGTAGAGATCACAATTCAACATGAGATTTGAGCGGGGACACAGAACAAACCGTATCAGCATCTCTTTCAAAAGGGGGCTCCAGTGAAACTAAAAGTAAATAAGTCTTTACCTGATTAAAGATCTGTTTTAGAGATGTCAGAACATAAAACTTCCAGAGATTTCTATTTGGCAAAGTTCTGAGCAACACCCTTTAATTTGTTTGGGGTCTTATCAGATCTAGTCCTATTTATCTGGAGGCAGTAGAAATTCACTGCAGGGACTGTTGTGTTTTTCTGCTTCCACTCCACAGAACTGGAACTTGAAAATCAATTTGAATGGTGTTTGTTCATTAAGCTGTTATTTAATAACCCTGAAAGCCAGCCAAGGTACATAACCCCAGGTAAAAGTCAAGTTACACTTAAGGAAAGAACTGTAATGACCACTCCCTGAAGATACATAAGCGTCTGGCCTTCATTGAAAGCCTGAGTGCAGAGTCTGGAGCTGCTCTTTGAAGAAGACCTTAGTCTGTGGCCATGCAGGTAGGAAGCTATTTCTGTAATGAGTCCTGGCCTTCTCAGCTCAGTTGTTATGGACATGTATTAGTTACTCTCAGACCAGTGCTGTCCAATAAAAATACAATGTGAACATTATATTTAAGCATGTAATTGAAATTTTTTCTAGTAAAAGCAAAAAAGCAAGTGAAATTAATTTTAGTAATATGGCTTATTTAATTCAATATGTTCAAAATACTGTCATTTCAACATGAATCAATAAAATGAATAACTATTGAGGCTGGGTGCAGTGGCTCACGCCTATAATGCTAGCACTTTGAGGCTGAGGTGGGTGGATCACCTGAGGTCAGGAGTTTGAGACCAGCCTGGCCAGCATGGTGAAACCCCATATCTACTAAAAATACAAAAAATTAGCCGGGCGTGGTGGCAGGTGCCTGTAATCCCAGCTATTCAAGAGCTGAGGCAGGAGAATCACTTGAACCCAGGAGGCGGAGGTTGCAGAGCGCCGAGTTGGTGTCCTTGCACTTGAGCCTGGGCAACAAGAGCAAGACTCCGTCTCAAAAAACAAACAAAAAAGAATAATTATTGAGAGAGTTTATATTATTTTATTTTTTCATATTAAGTCATAATTCTGGTGTGTATTTTATACTTCTAGTACCTCTCGATTTGGACCAGCCATCTTTCATGTGTGCAGTAGCCCCAAGTGGATAGTGGCTACCATATCAGACAGTACAGTTATAGCCTTTATGGTTGATTAATAAAACTAGATTTGGTCATTAGTTATTCTTCTGCCATCATAAACTCTTTTACTCCTTTATGTACTTTCTGGTTTTGTTGTATTTTTTGCTTATTAGGTTTCTTTTTAGCTGTTTTTATTTTCCTCATTGGGAAACAGGAAGTTGAAACAGGAAGTTCCACCCCTTAAGAGAAGAGAACACCCCTTTCTGTTAAGGGGTGGAAGTTGGAGGGTAATCCATGTACTAAAAATGAGATAAAATGATTTTTATTCCCCTAGTTAGCTTCACAGATGCCCTCTGAGCCCTTCAAAAAGATATCCTCCAAGTTCCAGAATGTGGCCTTGGCCTGAAAAACAGCACATGGGAACAGGTGATGAAACTATACTTCAACTGCTCTAGCAAAACCCAAATGCCTCCCAAGATAGGAACAACACCTGTCAACATGAGATCGGGAGAGCTCAATCTCTGTATGAAGAAATAGTCTTGAACTGGGATGGGATTCTGGAAATCTGGCTTTACTAGCTAGTTGGGAGACCTTGGGTAATTTATTTATTTAAATTATTTGAACCTCAGAGCACTCTTTACTAAAATGATGAAGTTAAAATAGATCAGTAGTTTTCTAACATTAAGCTGTGAACTCATTTTTCAAACAAAACTACAGAGAATCCCAATACTTCGAATAGATCCAAGTAGAGCGGCTCTGATACCAGTAATGACAGGAAGTTATATAGGTTGGACCAGCGATCTACTGCCTCTGTCTTCCTTTTGCATCTGAGGCACAGTTTGAAAATGTGGATAGATGCTCTCCACTGTAGCTTTCAGCATTAAGCATTCTTATTCTCTGCCATTCTCCATTGGGCTGTATCAGCCAATACTCCCGATTAGCTCAAGTTGTAGACTAAGAACAAAGTAGATAGGAGATCATTTCCCCAGGTGACTTGCATAGGTTCTAAGCACATTTTCTTTGGAGTCCCACTACCCTACCCCACAGCATATTAAATACATTATTTTCTTTTGTTGTTTTAGAGACTTTTTTTTTTAGGTCTCAAGTATTTGTATAAGTCCTTAAAAAACCCATGGGCTAATGTGCAAAATCCTCAGTTTCCTTTCTGTCACTTTTTTTTGAGACAGGGTCTCACTCTATCACCCAGAATACAGTGCAGTGGCTCCATCATGGCTCATTGCAGCCTCGACTCCTGGGCTCAAGCAATCCTCCTGCCTCATCCTCCCTAGAAGCTGGAACTACCAGCACTTGCCACCATCTCCAGCTAATTTTTAAATTTTTTGTAGAGACGAGGTATCCCTATGTTGCCCAGACTGGTCTCCAACTCCTGGCTTAAGCGATCCTCCTGCCTCAGCCTCCCAAGGTGCTGGGATTACAGGTATGAGCCACTGTTCTCAGCTACTTTTTGCAACTCTTCTTTAAGTAATTCCTATCTTACAGCTAGAATATAAAGATAACTAACCTACGATATCAAAACCATGAGTGAATGAGCAAAGGGATATATGTGTTGTATAAAAATTGCAGTGGAACCAAAGCTTAGTAAACACAAAAATATCTGATCTGAACCTGGATGTTTTAGGATATGTGGCTGTTGACATAATAAATAATATACGACTTTGATACTACTAAGAAAAAATATGTCTAATTGTAGGACAAATAACAATCATTAGAAGATAAACTTTTCTTGTTTTTTTTTTCCCTAATCTGCTGCCTGATAATATTATTATAAATTTAGGCAATATTTCACTTTCTAGCACTAACAGAGAATGAAGTATTCTACTTGAACAAAAACCCAAATAATCCTTTTCCTAAAACCATGTAGATTCTCCATTTAATTAAGCCTTGTGGTAATTTCCTGAGGTTTTCACTGAAGACTGTTTTCTTCAAAGCATTCCTTACCCGAAGATTACAGGTGAGACATGGGAGGCAAATTTTCCTATATCTGATGAGGTGGTAAACTTTGTTTCTTCCCCTCAATCTCAGCCCCGGAGATGCCAAAAAGGGAAAGAGAGTGATGAATTGCCCAAACTATCAAACCAAACAGGCAACAACAACAAAAATCAAGACAGAAAAAAACAAACATAAGCAAAGGTCTTAAGGATTTGGGAAAATAACCAGAAGAATGAAAATAGAGTGTGTAACTTTTTTGTTTGTTTGTTTTGAGATGGAGCCTCATTCTTGTTGCCCAGGCTGGATTGCAACAACGCAATCTCAGCTCACTACAACCTCTGCCTCCCAGGTTCAAGCGACTCTCCTGCCTCAGCCTCCTGAGTAGCTGGGATTACAGACGTGTGCCACCACGCCGGGCTAATTTTTTGTATTTTTAGTAGAGACGGGTTTTCACCATGTTGGCCAGGCTGGTCTTGAACTCCTGACCTCAGGTGATCCACCCACCTCAGCCTCCCACAGTGCTGGGATTACAGGTGTGAGCCCCTATGTCAGGCCAATTTTTGACTCTTAATTATGGTTTCCATCTCTCTGCTGAAATCGCTCAATGCCTCTTGCTCTCCTTCCAAGCAGATCTTTTAGCATGCTACTCATAGTTATTTAAAGTTCCTGCCTGATAGTTTAAACGGCTGAGTCATATCTGAATCAGATCTTTGATTGTTTTATGTCTTCCCCTTGATTTTTCTGTCTTATGATTTTTGAAAGAATGCTAGATGTTGTATGTAGAAGAGCAGTGGAGACTGAGATAAATAACATTTATGTCCAAAAATAGGTATGCTTCTTTTTATCATTAAGGACAGTTAAGTCAATCTGATCAGGTGTTTAGCTGAGTTTGGTACCTTCAGTGCACCACGGGATTTCTGTTCAATAAAGAAAATCTGAACATTGGTAATAAAAAGTGATAAAGTGGGCTGGACATGGTGGCTCATGCCTGTACCCAGTGCTTTGGGAGGCCAAGGTGGGAGGATTGCTTGAGGCCAGGAGTTTGAGACGAGCCTGGGCAATATGGCAAGACTCTATCTCTACCAAAAAACAAAACAAAACAGAAAGGCTCTTGTGGCATCTCCAAAGTCACAAACAGAAAATAAATTAATTAAAATAAAATTAAAAGGTGGTAAATTGGGAGAAGATACTCCCAATATCCCAATATCTAACACTAGCAAGTGCTACATATCTAAGATATATACAAAACAACTTTAAATCAACAAAACGAAGTCAGGAAATTCCATAGAAAAATAACATATAGGCAATAAAATAGACATATTGGCAATTCCTAGATGAGGATATTGGAATAACTAATGATATGAAGACATACTCAATCTTTCAATAGACTTGAGAATAAGATACCACTTTTCACAAATCAGATTTGCAATTTTTTTTTTTTTTTTTTTTGAGATAGAGTCTTGCTCTGTCACCCAGGCTGGAGTACGGTGGTGCAATCTTGGCTCCCTGCAATCTCCACCTCCCGGGCTCAAGCGATTCTTGTGCCTCAGCCTTCTACACCACCACGCCCAGCTAATTTTTGTATTTTTAGTAGAGATGGTGTTTCTCCATGTTGGTGAGGCTGGTCTCAAACTCCTGAAATCAAATCTTCCTCAGCCTTCCAAAGTGCTAGGATTATAGGCATGAGCTACCATGCCCAGCCTAGATTGGCAAAAATTTTATGTCTGATAACACTGAGTGTTGTTAAACATTTGGGGAAACAAGAGCTGCTAGCACACATGTAAATTTGTGAGCAGATAGCCAGCCTATGGTGAGTAAGTAACCCGTTCCTGGGCATAAGCCTTGGGTAAACTCTTGCACAGGACTGAAAGAAACATTGCCCAGCAAATATTAAGCACTGAATGAAATGCTTTTTTTTTTGTTGAGACAGAGTCTCACTCTGTTGCTCAGGCTGGAGTGCAATGGCGCCATCTCAGCTCACTGCAACCTCTGCCTCCCAGGTTCAAGCAATTCTTCTGCCTCAGCCTCCCAAGTAGCTGGGATTACAGGCACCCACCACCATACCCAGCTAATTTTTGTCTTTTTAGTAGAGGCAGGGTTTCACCATGTTGGCCAGGCTAGTCTCAAACTCCTGACCTCAAGTAATCCACCCTCCTCAGCCTCCCAAAGTGCTGGGATTACAGGTGTGAGCTACTGTGCCCAGCCTGTATAAAATGCATATTAAACAAATGCATGAAAATATTAATCACAGCATTGTTTGTAGTGAGTGGACTTGAGGCAACCCAATCGTCTATTACTAGAAGCACAAGAAGATAAAACAGATGTGAGGAATGTATTTGACAATAGCTAACATTGGTGGAAATACTGCAGTTTGCCAGGCAGTCTTCTAAGTGCCTCACGTGTATTAACACAATTATGCTCACACCAATGCTATAAGGTGTTTCTTTTAGACAGAAGAGATTAAGTTAGATTAAGCTGGGGGTCATGCAAACAGTAAGAGTCAGAGTTGAGTTTGAACCCAGGCACTTGGCTTCCACAGGCAAGCTCTGAATCCTCCATGCTGAATGGCTGCCTACCTTCTGTACTGCATGTCCCTGCAAGAAGGTGGTCTGATCTGTTCAGGAGTTGAGCTGAGTTTAGTACCTTCAGTGCACCACAGTGCATCTGTTCAACAAATAAAATCTAAACATTATTAATAAAAATGTTTCTACCTAGCCCTTTCTATTACTTACCTTCTTTTCCTCTTCAAAGGGAAACAGTTTCAATTTTTCCTCCAGTAGCTAGAAGCACACCTGAACTAGGTTCCAAATGTTTCTTCCTCTGTATAGTCAGTATAAGGTTATCCTTCCAGGCCCTTCAAATCTCTGAAGATCTTGTAAGAAGCTGGGACCTCAAGCAGCCTCTCTTTCTCTCCTAGTCTTCCTGAAGTTCATTTCCAAATAACCTGAGATAATCTGGTGCTTTCCTCCTCCAAGTCCCTTTCTCCTGGGGTGCAGGCACATTCCACCCTACCAGGATCTTTCAGACTTGAGTCTGAATGATCTCTTGGTGCCCAACAGGCTTGGGATCATGTGAATGCCAATCATTGCACTGGGCTGTGATGTAGTAATCCTTCAGAGGAGAGCATGGTCTACACTAAAAGACCCCAAACTATTAAACTTTGGATTTGTTTTTTTTTTTTGAGATGGAGTTTCGCTCTTGTTGCCCAGGCTGGAGTGCAATGGCATGATCTCGGCTCACCGCAACCTCCACCTCCCAGGTTCAAGCAATTCTCCTGCCTCAGCCTCCCGAGTAGCTGGGATTACAGGCATGCACCACCACGCCTGGCTAATTTTGTATTTTTAATAGAGACAGGGTTTCTCCATGTTGAGGCTGGTCTCGAACTACTGACCTCAGGTGATCTGCCTGCCTCAGCCTCCCAAAGTGCTGGGATTACAGGCATGAGCCACTGTGCCCAGCCTGTTTTGTCTTATTTTTACAAAATGTTCTACCTTTTCTTTCTTTACGTAATTATTGTCTCTTTTAGTCCTGTCCCCTTTATCACTTGCTAGTCAGTGTGTTTTTCCTTGCAGTGTTCTTGAACTGCCCATCATCTCAGCCAGTTGTGGGAAACCAGATGACCCAGCTTGGTAGAAGAAGTGTGCCTTAAGAGGTTGTTGGGTCCTCAGCCAAACTCTGAAGGACTCTGTGTATGAGCTTGCTGGAAACTGTTTTCAAATGTAAATTCTAACACTTGTTGAGTCATTAAGTGCATAGCGTGTAGCCTCCACTGTGCCACATTATCTTA
The DNA here is from genome assembly GCF_000001405.40 of Homo sapiens. Taxonomy (NCBI): domain Eukaryota; kingdom Metazoa; phylum Chordata; class Mammalia; order Primates; family Hominidae; genus Homo; species Homo sapiens. The sequence continues at coordinate 115,946,251 of NC_000001.11, read as the reverse complement.
CTTCATCCTCAGGACCTCCTTGGGAGACAGGTACAAGTGTCCCCATTTTGCAGATACTGAAGCTGGCGGGGCGGGGTAAGGGCCTTGCCAGAAGTAAAATAGTTAAAAGGCTGCAGAGCTGGAATTCAGCCCAGGTCTTTTGGCACAACTACCTCAAACTCTTTCATTCTTTTTTAATTTTTGCTGATTTCCATGCCCAAAATTGGCAGTAAATTAAACTATATTTAAACAGTACATTTCTGTTTTTAATGTTTCTTTTTTCCAAAAGCACATTACCTATTATTTGAAATACCCTCTTACTTTAGAATATTCAGTGGCATAGTAGAGATTAATTATGAAATGGAAATTTCCTGCAAAGAAAACAAATCACTATAGCAAGAAGCACAGTTCATTTCTTTTCAAAGAAAGCTCTATTTCCACCAGCCTGTCTTTCTTTTGTGGAGGAGTCTCCTTTCCTTGGAGCAAGTTCGTTGATTTAGCAAGCACTTATTATGGTGCACTATGTGCTAGACATTATCCTGGACCCCTACAAATAGTACCTTTTAGTCCTACAGGTAGAAAGTAATAATATCATCTGCGTTTTTACAGATGAGGAAACTGAAGCTCAGAGAGATCAATCTATTTGTAAGTGGCACAGGCAAGGTTTGAACACTAGAGGTTTGTCTCTAGAGCCCAGAGGCTTAAGCTTTGCACCACAGTTTCTTCATTGCTAACCTATATTCTGTGCAATGCTGAGCAAGGAAAAACAATAGCAAATAGGAGGAGATAAAAACAGAGGAGCCCAGGAGACCCTTCTCTGCAGGTTGGTGGAAGGAGCTTTGAAAGCCAAATGGCCTGAGATGAAACTATTCTCAGAGCCTCCATCAACTCTTCAGCTGCTATAGGGGATTATTATCATTGGGTCACAAAGGAAGAGAGGCCCTCCCTTTCTTTGCTTTGGTGTGAAGTAGATTCATGTGGATGAGGGGTGTTAGTCTTTTAGCTAACCTATAGCAAAAATGACTGCCCCCTCTGGCTTTTCCCACTCAAACCATCTGCCTGGCATTTTGGAGGTAAGATCCAGGTATGTGTTTAGAACACCTTAGACTTAAGTGGGGGAGGTTGTTGAATCAGGAAAAAAAAACACATTTTTTATAAGGAAGTACACTGATGTTTTCATTTCATAGTCATGAAAAAAAAGTCATAGAAAAGAATTTCATTTTGCTTCTGCTTTTGGATTTTATAGAATGAAAAATCCTCTCATTTCTGCCTTTATCCACAGAGGGGAGCAGAGGGGTTATAAAAGCCTAGGGTTTAGCACAAAATATCAAGTTCTACCCTTCAGTGTCTGATTTTTATGTTTGTGGATTATCCAGGCTTGCTTTCTATTTCACTTTTCTCTTGGTTCTAGCTATTGGATTAGTTAGGCCACAGGAGGAAGAATGGGGGAAAACTAAAAAGATGAAAGACAAATTAGTTCACAAGTTTCCTTTTTAAAGGTTGATGAGAAAGAGAGTTTCAAAAAGTATAGTGAGTTTAAGGAACAGGGATCCACGAAAGTTTCCTGGAAAATTCAGAAAATCCAGGAAGCCCCAGGCCCTTCTCTCCCTCCTCTTCCTGTTTTTCCTTCCTCTCTCAGAATATCACTATTTATCTCTGCTCATTTTTTGCACCCTCTTCTCTCCACCAAATGGCTTCCTCATCTTCTGTTTCAGAGAGCATAAACTTTACCTCCTCCTAACATTAGCTTTCATGTAACTTTTGAATCAATTTTACATCAAAACATGCTTTTACCTTCACCTCTGCTGCAAACACCCTCTCTTTCTCAGTTTCCCAATTCCTAACTTAGATAAGACCTATCTGAATGACCCATCTTTCTAAAACAGGCTGCATAAGCCACAGGCCAGTCTATAAATTGATGACCTTCAGGCAAGTAGTTCCTTGCTCATTAATTATGGAAATTACTATAAAACATGCCTGCTTCAGCTACAGGGACTGGATGGAGGTGTGAAGTTTCTCTTAGAGGAGTATATGGGTGATCCAGCATGATAAACAAGTCCAGTGCAAGGCAGGTCCAGCTTAGGTAACGCCAAGCCACACTTTAAAGGTAACCTCAGGGTTTGTGCCACTGACCTTACTGTACATTAAAAAGCTATCAATGTCTTTATGGTCCTTTGGCTAGACAAAATCCTGCGGATAGATTCCAAAATAGATGCCTTTGATATCAACTTCAACTTCAGTTGGCTGAGCAGTATTATGGAGACTTTGGAAGGGCACAATCTATTGCTTTAATTTCTGACAACATAAGTAAAAGAAAATAATGATCTAGTACACTGGAAATATCCCAGGCCTTTGCAGTTGGGTAGCACGGGGTCATTTGCTATTGTACCCTGTGTGACTGATCTACATACCGACTTCCTTATCTGTAAAACGTAGATAACACAATGAGAATTAAATCCATATTAAATTACTTTTTGTATACCTAGCTCATAGTAAGTCCTCAATAAATGGTATTTGTGAACAGCTATGCCTCTTTCCCAGAATATTTTTCAGGACTTGTGTGGCCTGAATTTCACTGACAGGAAGCCGTTAAAATAAACTAGAGACTTGGTAAAGCCTACATTCTAGTAAAGGTGTATTTGCCCTCTGGCAATATTTGAAACCCACTGAAAACACCAAAAAGAGGCAGAGTAAGGTGGTTCATGCCTGTAATCCCAGCATTTTGGGAGGCCAAAGTGGGAGGATCACTTGAGGCCAGGAGTTCAAGACCAACCTGGCCAACATAGCAAGACCCCCATCTATTAAACAAAATACATGAATAAATAATTTTAAAAAATTTTTAAAACACGAAAAAGAAAGAAAACTTCACTTTCAACAAATCAATTAAACAGCCATGTTATCAATCAGATTTCTTAGCTACAACATCAGAAATTGATTCTTGCTGATATAAACAGGGAAAAGAGAACCAAAGAGATATCAGGTAGCTCACTGACTCACTGGGAGGGCTTAGAGAATCAGGGTCAGAAAATGACTAGGAACAAATGGAGGCAAGGAAGTGAGAGCCACAACCATAATCACACCAATGGGACTACCTGGTGAGAAGACTGCTGCACAGCTGAGTCGTGGATATCCTGGCGGCACCACCACCAGCACTGGATGGTTGATGCTGCCACAGGGAACTGTTGGCCTGGAAACTGCAGGAGCCAGTCACAGAAATAGATTCCCCACTGTCCCTAGTCCTTTGCTTCACTCACACACTCACTCATTTCAGGTTCTGTTGCAGCCATCTCGGCACTGTTAGGGGTGGCACCACAAAGCAGCCAAGGGAGGAGGGTGCTGGGAAGAACCTGGTTCTTGGATGATTTTTTTTTTTTTTGAGATGGAGTCTCACTCTGTCACTGAGGCTGGAGTACAGTAGCGCGATCTCAGCTCACCACAACCTCCGCCTCCCGGGTTCAAGCGATTCTCCTGCCTCAGCCTCCCAAGTAGCTAAGACTACAGGTGCATGCCACCATGCCTGGCTAATTTTTGTATTCTTTAGTAGAGATGGGGTTTCACCATATTGGCCAGGCTTGTCTTGAACTCCTGACCTTGTGATCCACCTGCCTCGGCCTCCTAAAGTACTGGGACTACACGCATAAGCCACTGCACCCAGCCTGGATGATATCTTTGAGCCATGAATCCACCTGTGGACTGCCTTCCTCCAGACCTCTATGATTTAGGTTGGTATGATTGGGTTATTTTTAAATGTATTGCTGTCATTGTTACTCAAAGCCGGTTGCAACCTAACTGATATATTCCCTTGAAATAGTTGAGCTCAAGCAGCCTGATCTATTCCAGAGCTCCCCTTTTTCACCACTGTCATGAGAAGCCTAAAATAGGCCAATAATTCAGCTGCTAATTCAGTGGAGCCATTACCTTATTCCCCTTGATGATTCCTCCTTTGATTCTAAATCCTCTATATCAGTGGAGCCCTGAGTTATGGAGAACGTAAGCAAAATTTCCCACGTGGAAGTGGGCATAACTCCAGCTTCCATCCTCTTGATTCACATATGAGTATATTCTTGCTGTGGCAGAAATGGCACCAGAGATTGACCACTTGTTCAAAAAATAAACTTCACCCCCACACTGTAAACTCACCTGCCTTTCTTTCTAATAAGACACCATAATGGGGCCTTTGAAGGGCAGTTCCATTCCTCTGTTGTAGGCAGTGTGGTTATGGGTAGTAGCGGTTATGAGTAGCAGCAGTTACAAGCACAAGCTCTGGAGCTGGACTGTCTGGGTTCAAGTCTCAGACCCCACTTACTGAGTGACAAGAGTCAGTCTATTAACCATACTTGCTTTAGTGTCCTCTTCTTAGAAATTAATATAATTATGGTAATTATCTCAAAAGGCTGTTTTAAGGGTTAAATAAGTTGTCATATGGGAGGTTCTTAGAGGAGTGCCTAGCATGTAAATGTGAGTTGTCATTACTGTTCTGTAAGGCCAGTGGCTTCAAGTGAGGAGGAACAAGTCCTGTAAATTCCATTTATTGCCTTACTTCTTTCAGAGAGCAGTCAGTTCTTTGGTCAGAACCAGGCTGGTGGGACGCCTGTTGGTGTCCTCGGCATGCATTGCTTCTACAGATCATGAGGGCAGAACCATGAAGCATGGTGGGCAGGGACAGCAACTCTGAGCCCAGGGCATAGATTTGTTCCAGAGAGGATGGACTGCTGCCTTCCCACTTGCAGTAGGAGTCCAGTGTTACTGAGGACTAGCTGGGTGCCTAAGGAATATGGTTGCATATTCAAACACCAGGATTAGTTAACAATGAGAACAAGTTGGTCGCTCAGAAGTGGTGATAGCCAGTGACAATAGCACCTCTTTCCCAAGGACAGAAGCAAAATCCATGATGGTAAGCCTATGAATATACTTGCTGTATCACTGGGGCCCGTGATGGTTATTCATGAGCCTATTGAACAAGCCTTGGGAGAGAGAAACATTTACTCAGATGACTGAGTAAAGAAGATCTGTCCTCGCCAATATGAGTAGGCATCACCCAATTCACTGAGGGCCCAAATACCACAAAAAGGTGGAGGAAGGATTGATTCTCTCTCTTTCTAAACTGGTACATCTATCTTCTGCCCTTGGACATCTGCACTCTTGGTTCTTGGGCCTTCAGCCCTGGACTAAATTATACTACCAGCTTATAAATGGCAGATCAGGGGACTTCTTGGCCTCCATAATAGCATGAACCAGTTCCCATAATCTCTGTCTCTCCTCGTGTGTGTGTGTGTATTATATAATATATATATTATATATATATTTATATATATATATATATGTATGTATTTATCCTATACTAGGATATATAGAGATATACCTTGATATAGTTTGGGCATTTGTCCCCACTCAAATCTCATGTTGAACTGTGATTCCCCAGTGCTGGAGGTGGGGCCTGGTGGGAGGTGTTTGGGTCATCAGGGTGGATCCCTCGTAGTTTGGTGCTGCCTTCGAGATAGTGAGTTCTCACAAGACCTGGTCATTTAAAAATGTGTGGCACCTCCTCCCACCCTCTCACTTGCTCCTGCCTTTGCCATGTGGTGTGCCTGTTCCCCCTTCGCCTTCTTCCATGATTGAAAGCTCCCTGAGGCTTCACAAGAAGCTGAGCAGACATCAGCACCATGCTTCCTGTAAAGCCTGCAGAACTGTGACCCAATTAAACCTATTTTCTTTATAAATTACCCAGCCTTAGGTATTTTTTGTAGCAATGCAAGAACAGCCTAACCTATATCTCCTGCTGGTTCTATTTCTCTGGAAAACCTTGACTTACACACTTGTGTAGAGCAGGGGTTGACAAATATTTTCTGTAAAGGGCCAGACTGAAAATATTTTATGGGCCATACTCAACTTTAACATGGTAGTGTTAAGACATAAGATAAGCTATAGATAATAGGTAAACAAGTGAACATTTATACTCATTCATTTGGACACTGAAATTTGAATTTCATACAATTTTCACATCATAATATATGCTTCTTCTCAACCATTTAAAAATGTAAAAACTATTCTTAGCTTGTGGACCATACAGAAACATTCAGTGAGATAGATTTGACCTGTGGGCCAGAGTTTGCCAACTGCTGGTGTAAAAAATTATAATTTTATTCCTGAAAGGTTTTCTCATGCCCAAATGTTCCTCACTTGTTTCTGAGATTAACCTTCTGAGGCAGGTAGGGCAGAAATTATTAGCCCCATTATTAGCCCCATTTTGCAGAGAAGCAAAAAGTCTCAGTAAACTATAACAACACTCTAAAGATCATAGTTAATAAGAAATGGAGATGAGCTCTAACCATTGTCTCCAGGATTTTGGTACTCTTATACCATGCTTGCAGGGAGATACTCACCTTTATGACAAATTTCTAAAAAGCTATCAGCTCTTGACTATGTAAACCCAAGGAAAGAACTGCTCCCACACATAAAGCAAGAGCTCTCATAACTAGGGACTTAATTAGCACTCTGTCTATCCAATGCTTAGGGTTGATTTGTATTTACTATGAGAGAGATATCCAGCTCTGAAGTTGCCAGCAAGGCCCTGTCCCCAGATACAGTCCCCGAGGGCTTTGAATCTCCACTGAAAGCCCTAACGGCTCCCCCGTATTGCATCCAGCACACCCCAGGTCGTGGCCACTAGCCTCGATTAGTTTTCTATCATTATGTGTCCCAAGGGAGAAATAAAGAGAGAGACAAATGAAAGTGAACTATGAAGTATGGGTTTGTGCCTCGCCTATACTCAAGAGACCTAAATTCCTCCCTTGATATGCTGCTTACAGGTTGAATATTATAGCACCACATTAACTGAGGGGCCCTAGGTATGGTCGCATGATTTGAATACCAACTTCTTCTTGGATGTAGTCTTCTGAGTCATAGGAAATAGTACAATTTTCATTCAATTGGGAAGTTATTTTACATTCAAAAGTAACTTATTTTTAGAAATTAAAATGACTAATATTTGTATGTACATATATTTACAATGTATAATCTATGTACAGTTCTATAATTATATGTGTACCCAAGTAGCACAAACTTTAAAGATATATGAGGACTTAGGTATAGGTGTGATCTCAGCCTGTGTGGGCTGCCATAACAAAATACCACAGACTGAGTGGTTTAAACAACAGAAATTAATTTTTTTTTCTTTTGAGATGGAGTCTCACTCTTGTTGCCCAGGCTGGAGTGCAGTGGTGCAATCTCAGCTCACTGCAACCTCCACCTCCCAGGTTCAAGCAATTCTCCTGCATCAGCCCCCTGAGTAGCTGGGATTACAGGTGCCCACCACCATGGTGGGCTAATTTTTGTACTTTTAGTGGAGATGGGGTTTTGCCATGTTGGCCAGGCTGAGAAATTAATTTCTAACAGTTCTGGAGTCTGGGAAGTACAAGATCAAGGTGCTGGCCCATTCAGTTCCTGGCATGGGCATTCCATCTGACTTGCTGTGTCCTCACATGGCTCTTCCTCAATTTGTATGTGTAGAGTAAGAGACAGAACAAACACTCTTGTGTCTCTTCTAATAATGGCCCTATTCCATCGGAGCAGGGCCTCACCCTCATAACCTCATCTAATCCTACATACCTTCCACAGGCCCCATCTTCAAAGACCATCACACTGAGGGCTAGGGATTCAACATCTGAGTTTTGGGGTAACATAAACATTTAGTCTATAACAGGTACTATGTTCAATAATATTTACAAATATCAAACTTCCTCTTTTCTCAAACTTAGGGGAAAAATCCATCCATCCATTCATCAATTAGCTGGTTATTTTAATGATGTTTGAGCACCTACTGTGTGCTACACCTGTGACCTTTCAGAGATTAAAAACCTCAAGGCTCACAGAGTTCCTGAAACCCAGATTAAACATCCCCTTACCACTTTTCTTACTGGCTTTCATTATTACCCATTTTTTTTTTCATGCTTGGTTATTAAATAAATTTCCCAAGGTGTTTTAAATACTTTTTCCTTAGATCTCTACCTTTCCTTTTAATGTGGCTCAGAAAATGGAAAATGACAACTGCTACGGGCACTCCATGCCTCCCAGTGTGACTTCTCAGCATCTCTGCTTTTGCAATTAGTTTTCATCTCCTCAAAGGAGAGGGCCTCTCTGCCCACAGGTGCTGCATTTGGCTGTTAGGTGCTTAATAATTAATTGCTTAGATTTATAATTTTTTTCTTATTAAATCCAATAGGCATTCTAGCTCACTTATAAGATTGACTCAGATTTTAAAAGGGCTATACTTTTTTTTCCAAAAAAATCCATAAATTATAAACTAATGTCTATATAACATCGAAAGTTATGTTTAAAAGGGAAATATAAAGTGGTTTCCCATAATCACTGCCAGCCTAATAGAAATAGGATCAGAAATTCTGTGGCTTTGGCAGGAAAATAATAAAGGTTGTTATGTTATTCAGAAGTAGCTTAAAAATAAACAAATTAATTAAAAGGTTGTTACGGTCTTCACACACACACACAAAAAAAAAATGAGAAAAAGGGGAGTGTGTGTCCATACCAAAGCTTTTCTTTTTTTCTTTTTCTTTTTGAGACAGAGTTTCGCTCTGTCCCCCAGGCTGGAGTGCAGTGGCACGATCTTGGCTCACTACAACCTCCACTTCCTGGGCTTAAGTGATTCTCATACCTCAACCTTCAGAATAGCTGGGACTATAGGTGCACGCCACCACACCTGGTTTTATTTTTAGTAGAGAAGGGGTTTCACCATGTTGGCTGGGCTGGTCTCGAACTCCTGGCCTCAAGTGATTTGCCCACCTCAGCCTCCCAAAGTGCTGGGATTACAGGTGTGAGCCACCATAACCAGCTTCATACCATAGCTTTTCTTACCTACACATTCTTTCCCTCTATTTGTACTCGTTAGTCTCTGTGTGAGTGGTTCTCAGGAGTGGTGTGGTGGCACACTGATGGGCAGAATCAATTGTGGGGGAGTGCCATAAGTACTTTGTTACTTATACAGCTTTTAAATGTGCAAACAAATTACTTTGTCCATAAATTAAAGCAGAGTCAAGGTTTTTCCTTCAATATCATCACTATCAGGAGACAGGAGGCAATAAGGCATGGCAGGTGAAAACACTCTGATTTCATACTGCTGAGGTTCACAGTCCACCTCCGCTAGTGGAGCTGAATAACTTTGGTCAAGACACACTTAGGCCAGGCTCAGTGGCTCACGCCTGTAATCCCAGCACTTTGGGAGACTGAGGCGGGTGTATGGCTTCAGCCTGTTAGTTTGAGACCAGCCTGGGCAACATGGTGAAACCTTGCTTATACCAAATAATATACAAAAATTAGCTAGACATGATGGTGCACGCCTGTAGTCCTAGCTAGTTGGGAGGCTGAAGTGGGAGGATGCTTGAGCCTGGGAGGCAGAGGGCAGAGATTGCAGTGAGCCGGGACCATGCCACTGCACTCCAGCCTGGATAACAGGGTGAGACCCTGTCTCAAAAAAAAGACAAAAAAAAAAAAAAAGACACTTAAAATTAACAAGCTTCAATTTTTTTCATTTATAAAATGATGGTTATAATAGGGTTTAAGCTGTAAATTATGAGAATTCAGATATGAATAAGACAGCAGAGTACTTAAAGGCATATAATAAGCACTCAGCTAAGATAATACTATTTTCAATACTACTACTACTTATTATTATTATTAAGAAGTCATCTAATGTACTTGTTAAGAAACTTTCAGTTCAAATAAACCTAGTCAACATCTAACTCTGCCACTTGGTAATTCTGTGACCTTCGATAACTTGCTTAACTTCTTTCAGCCTTAGTCTCATCATATCAAAAAAGTGTATCGGGTGTTGTGGAAATCAAATTGGCAATAAATCATGCAAATAAGAAAATATAAGGGCTCAATAGATAATAATTGTGTAATAAAGGTTATCAATGATAATGATGACAGTGCTTGCTTAAGTGTTAAAGGGGGAGAGGAATTGTGAATTGTGTTTAGGAGTGTTGGATCCATATTCATTTGGTCAGGAAAATATATTATTATCGATAAAAGAGCTAAAACATGCTTTATGAGAGGGAGTGGTTATCCTAGCTTATTTGAGAACTAACAAGTACATAAAGACACAGGGTCAACTCTTTTTACACAATTTCAGACCACTAGCGAAGCCCAGAAACCAGTGATAAACTTTGACTGCATATGTATAGGCCAGCATTGGGAGGTAATTGCTTAGTGGTTTAAAGAACACACAGTTTTGAAGCAAGGAAGGAAGAAGTCTTAGAAATTACGTAAATCCAACTCCTTCACTTTATAAATGAGGACACTAAGGCCCTTAATGAAGAAACTGAGGCAGTAAAATGCTTTGCCCAAGGTTAGGATTAGGCACTTATTCTTAAAACATGATCATAGTCTTTGTTAAAAGGTGATTAAGAATAGGATGCATTTTGCATTTCTGAATCTATTTCCATGTTTGTATATTAGTGTGACTGGAAGTTTTTGTTTAAAGATTGTGTTTACATGCCAACTAAACATTAAGAGAGAGTCAGAATCTTTAAAAACATCTGGAGGTTTCATCTGTTATTTTGTATATAAAAATTATAAGAGAAGGAACATTAGTATTTACTAAGTAAGCACTTCCCAAGCATGAATCAAGTTTACATAAAGTGTCTCTAGTAAACTTCACAATAATCTTGGAAAGCAACCTATCCATCAGGGCTCAGTCCAGAAAGCAGAAACTACTCTCAACACCTTAAGGAGAAAGGGAATTTGATGCCTACAAAAGCTCTGAAAGGTCTAAATGAAGCATCTTTAGACAAGACCTCCAGGAATGGCTCCCAGTTCACTACCATAGAACTAGCCTGCCCAGGGACCAGGCGAGGTGGCTCACACCTGTAATCCCAGCACTTTGGGAGGCGGAGGCGGGCGGATCACCTGAGGTCGGGAGTTTGAGACCAGCCTGACCAACATGGCAAAACCCTGTCTCTACTAAAAATACAAAATTATCCAGGTGTGGTGTCGGGCACCTGTAATCCCAGCTACTTGGGAGGCTGAGGCAGAAGAATCGCTTGAACCCGGGAGGCAGAGGTTGTGGTGAGCCGAGATGGCGCCATTGCACTCCAGCCTGGGCAACAAGAGCAAAACTCCATCTCAAAAAAAACAGAATTAGCCTGCCCAGGGAACTTCTCTCTCTACTATAGGTGGAACACTAGGTGTCCAGAAGGTGCCATGCCTACTGCAGACTCGTAGATTCTGATGTCAAAGCCATGTAACTGGAACGTGACTCCACCACCAGCACCGTTGGCCCCAGAGTTGTGCTACAGCTGCTATATCCTTCCAGCAAAAGTTGATGCCCTTCAATGCCCTTCAAGCCACTTCATATTTTCCCAATTGATTCAGTTTCAAAGTCAGTTCTCATAGTACATATTTAATCGGTTGATCTAAGTCACATCAAGAGCTTTAGCTGCAAAGGAGTCTGATAAATACAGGTTTTAGCTTTTCAAGCCTCTGTATAACAGTATGTCATATTAGAAGGAAGTTGCAATAAATATCAAGTAGGTCTTATACCCATTTTTAGAATCATAAAGCCACTATTTTGACAGGTTAAATAACTTACCTAAGGTCACACAGCAGTTAATAAAAGGAGAGAGGTTCAAAATAAGACCTCCTGGCTCTAATGCTGTCTGTACCTATATCCTAAGCAGTTTGTTGTTATCTCTGGCATAACATTTATTTCATTAGGTTTGCTGTATATTCACTCATCTGCTTTGATTAAGACAAACTTGTCCAACCCTCAGCCTGTGAGCCACATGTGGCCTAGGATGGCTTTGAATGCAGCCCAACACAAATCAGTAAACTTTCTTCAAACATTGTGAGGTTTTTTTGCAATTTTTTTTTTTTTGAGATGGAGTCTCACTCTGTCACCAGGCTGGAGTGCAGTGGCGCAATCTTGGCTCACTGCAACCTCCACCTCCTGGGTTCAAGTGATTCTCCAGCCTCAGCCTCATGAGTAGCTAGGACTACAAGCGCGTGCCACCACGCCCAGCTAATTTTTGTATTTTTAGTAGAGGTGGATTTCCACCATGTTGGGCAGGATGGTCTCAATCTCTTGACCTCATGATCCTCCCACCTCCGTCTCCCAAAGAGCTGGGATTACAGACATGAGCCACAGTGCCCAGCCTTTTTTGTGATTTTTTTTAAAGCACATCAGCTATCATATTAGTGTTTTTTATGTGTGACCCAAGACCATTCTTCTAATGTGGCCAAGGGAAGCCAAACGATTGAACACCCCTGGATTAAGAAATCCCTTAAGGTAGAGACATTTGTGGTTCATTATTACACTCAGGGTCTCCCAAATACAGTATTCATGCCCATGTGTAATTTCTTCCCACATTTATTCTAGGCTTGGCTAAATGATTTGCTTTGGCCTAAGAGATGTCAGCAAACATGATGTGAGTTCAGTAAGTGTTTGCACATTGGCACATTGCTCTCACCACGTTAAGAAGTCCAAGGAGCCAACTTGAAGATGAAAGACCTACAGAGAGAAATGTCCAGATCCTCAGCTTTCTCAGCTGAGCTCAACCCCCTGGAAATCCCCCAACTGAATGCAGCGCCATGAGTGAACTCAGGTGAAACAGCAGAAGAGCTTTCCAGGCAACCCACAGAATCATGAGAAATAGTAAATTATTGTTATTAGTCTCTAAGTTTTGGAGCTTTTTGTCATACAGTCATAAATAATTAAAACGCATGCCTTATTTATTTTTTATCCATGTATTAATATATTTGTTTATTCATTTATTTATTTGGCAATTATTTAAATATCACAGGCACTGGGATATATAATGCCTGTAATAATGCTAAGCACTGGGAGATATAATGATAGACAAGACAGAGACTGTGCTGTGAAGAAGCATCCAATAAGGAGTATGAACAAAAAAAGATATGACTATATACCATGAAGTACAGGCTATGAGAAGAGTAAACACAGGGAGCTATGAAAGAATCTAATAGTGACATCTTACTCAATTTGGGGAGAGGGTGTCATAAGAAAATGCCTGATGTGGATATTCTGTGCATACTTATTTTCTGTTGTAATAGAGGAAAGAGAAATTCAGCAATTTGTTCAATGTCACTCGGTTATTGGACCGATATAATTTCTCCTGAATCTCATTTGATGGCTCTGTACTTAAAGGTTGTTTCTTTCCATAGCTGGTTTTTTTTTTTTTTTTTTTTGAGACAGAGTCTTGCTCTGTCGCCCAGGCTAGAGTGCAGTGGTGCGATCTTGACTCACTGCAACCTTCGTCTCCCAGGTTCAAGCGATTCTCCTGCCTCAGCCTCCCAAATAGCTGGGACTACAGATGCCTGCCACCACACATGGCTAATTTTTGTGGTTTTAGTAGAGATGGGATTTCGCCATGTTGGCCAGGCTGGTCTCGAACTCCTGACCTCGTGATCCACCTGCCTCAGCCTCCCAAAGTGCTGGGATTACAGGCATGATCCACCATGCCCGGCCTTTCATAGGTATTTTTTATTTTTGTTTATTTAGTTGGTTTTGTTTTGTCTACAGTGGAAATCCATTCTCATCAATAAAAGCTGGGTTCTTGTGATCCAAACCACTAGCTTTTCTGCAAGCATAATTTTTAACAACAAATTAGCCTGCTTTCCCACCCAATAATTGTTTACTAAAAATTAAATCGTAAAATAATGATTAAATAATTTTAAAGTAGCTAAGTTTAAATATAAAAAATTATACTGGAAAGATATATTCATTTACAGAGCAAGACTTACCTTTTTTTTTTGAGATGGAGTTTCGCTCTTGTTGCCCAGGCTGGAGTGTGATGGCGTGATCTCGGCTCATCGCAACCTCTACCTCCCAGGTTCAAGTGATTCTCATGCCTCAGCCTCCTGAGTAGCTGGGATTACAGGCATGCGCCACCACGCCCGACTAATTTTTGTATTATTAGTAGAGACGGGGTTTCTCCATGTTGGTCAGGCTGGTCTCAAGCTCCCGACCTCAGGTAATCCGCCCCCCTCGACCTCCCAAAGTGCTGGTGTTACAGGTGTGAGCCACTGCGTCCGGCCTAGAGCCAGACTTAAAAACACCAAATATTGAGATACAATTTGGTACCTTTTCCACTTTAATTATTGCCAGTCACTGTGTCATCCAACTGTTTTCTTCCCATCAAAATCTGAAGAAGCTCACAAACACAGTCATGTGCTGCACAATATGGTTTCAGTCACCAACAGACCACAGCTCTCATGGTGGTCCCATAAGAGTATAATGCTGTATTTTTACTGTACTTTTTCTATATTTAGATACTTTTAGATACACAAATGCTTACCATTGTATTACAATCGCCTACAGTAGTCAGTGCTGTAACATACTGTACAGGTTTGTAGCCCAGGAGGAAGGAGCTAAACCATATAGCCTAGGTGTGTAGTAGGCTGTGCCATCTAGGTTTGTATAAGCACACTGTATGGTGTCACACAATGACAAAATCACCTAATGATGCATTTCACAAAACATATCCACGTCATTAAGCAACATATGGCTATACTGGGACAAAAGTGATTTGGCCCAATAAAATGGCTGCTTTGAGATTATAACTGCCCTTACAGTTGTTCTTGCCTGTTGCACTTGCACAGACAGAGCCAATTTACTGAGATAGCATTATTACAATAGAGAAATAGTTTAATAAATGCAGAGCTGGCTAAACAGAAGACCAGAATTTTATTACTTAAATTGGTCTCCCCAAAAATTTGAAGACTAGGGTTTTTTAAGCGTAATTTGGTGGTCATGGGGCTAGGGAGTGGGGGAATGCTTTGGTTGGGTTGGGGCTGAAATCATAGGGGGTTGAAGCAGGTTCTTCTTGCTGTCTTCAGTTTCTGGGTGGGATGGCAGAACAAGTTGGGCCAGTTTACCAGTCTGGGTGGTGCCAGTTGGTTCATCAGGATGCAGGGTCTGAAAAATATCTCAAACACCAATCTTAGGTTTTACAATAGCGATGTTATTTATAGGAGCAATTGGGGAGTATATTAGTCGTTCTTGCATTGCTCTAAAGAAATATCTGAGAATGGGTAATTTATAAAGAAAAGAGGTTTAATTGGCTCATGGTTCTGCAGGCTGTACAGGAAGCATTGTGGCTTCTGCTTTTGGGGAGGCATCAGAAAGCTCACAATCATGGCTGAAGGCAAAAGGGGACCAGGCATCTAATATGGCAGAAGCAGGAGGAAGAGAGAGTGGCGGGTAGGGGTAGGGGGATGTAACACACACTTTTAAACAACCGCATCTCATGAGACTCACCATCATAAGAACAGCACCAAGGAGATCGTGCTAAATCATTCATGAGATGTCCACCCCCATGATCCAATCACCTTCCACCAAGCTTCACCTCCAACACTGGGGATTACAATTTGACAGGAGATTTCGGTAGGAACACAGATACAAACCATATCAGGAAGTTTAGAATCTTGTGGCCTCTGGCTGCATGACTCCTGAGCCATAATTTCTAATCTTGTGGCTAATTTGTTAGTTTTACAAAGGTGGTCTGGTTCCCAGGCAAAAAGGGGGTTTGGTTTGGGAAGGGACTATTATCATCTTTGTTTCAAAGTTAAACTATAAACGAAATTCCTTTTATAGTTAGCCCGGCCTACGCCCTGGAATGAACAAGGACAGCTTGGAGGTTAAAAACAAGATGGAGTAGGTTGAGACAGATTTCTTTTGCTGTCATAATTTTCCTATGTCACAGTTTTCTCACTGTTATAATTTGTGCAAAGGTAGTTTCAAGATGGTTCTAGGACCTTGAGGAGTCCTCAGTATCACAGATGGAAAAATCGGTATGTTAAGAAAAGTACAGTCATAATCACTAACCCTTATTTTAGTTAAAATACAAGCTTATACATAGAAACAAGGCTGCAGTATAGAAGAAAGTCCGCAAATAGGCAGTGCAGTTTTAATTAGTTGAGTACGGAGACTAATTAATATGCAAATGAGGAGCTTACCAATATTAATCATCTGTTTTACTAGGCGGCTTTTACTAAAGAGTTTGCAAATTAAGTTTCTTTGACATTAAAAATCAGCTAAACGCCTGTCTGAGAATAATCTCTTCTAACTCAAGGGCGGGAAGCGGGAATTTTTTTCTGGACGAAAAACAGCAATGTTTAAAACCAATTCCCATGTTGGCAAGCACTGTGCAAGAGTTCTGTATCAACCCTTTCCAGGCTCTAATTGAAACCATTTCAGCAAGAGAGACACCAGAAAACAGTTGGAACAGAGACAAATATGAGTCATGGTGATTTAAAGATACATGACCTAGAAAGTTACATCAAAAAACTTGCTTAAGTTGGTGACTGGCATTGTTAAAGCACAAAAGAGGTTAGAAATATTTGCTTAAACTCCCTTTTATGGCCTTTAACATACCCCTGTGGTTCTCTTTACTTGGAAATATTGAAGATTGGGTTGAGTGCTGACTTATCAGGGGTGATCTGAGTATGAGGACAGATTACAAAGTGGTCACTTTTGTTTTGGGATTCATTTTCATTCAAATTTGTGAAAAAGTATATAGGCTTCAGTTCAATTATGTTCATTCTATTTTCATCCTATTTGCAATGTCAATTGATTCCATTATCGTGCCACTTGGCTATTAATACAAAATTATACACTACAAATTAATACAATATTTTTACGTTTCCTACTTCCAGGCAGAATGTCAGCAAAGAAATTCTTTTGAAAGACAATAGATTGGATGCAACTCTTCTCTGATCCTCTGCTCCAGTAATTGAAATTCACAGTTGCCCTTAAAAATATTTTCTCTTTCATCATATCCCTATGGAGATTCAAAGGAAACTTTGAAATGATACCTTTTCAATGAGCTCACAATCTATGTTTCTTCTCAAATTTTGCACCTCTCCCCCCCGCCACTCTTCTATACCTATCAGCCAAAACTTACCACAATTAGGCTAGACAAATTTGTTACCAGGGTTCTCCTTTATGCATTCATTCATTCACTTGTTCAGTGAATATTGATAAGGTTGAACCAAGGTACAGAGCACCTCCCGCTGTATAAGATACTTTGGGATGCAAATATGTATAATTAGCAGTTTCAAGGGATTTACAGTCTACCAAGAAAATAAAACACGTGCCCAATAAGGCCGCTTTGAAGAATTATGTGATAAAAGCAATGAGAGTTGTATATCTCATGTGCTTGCTGCACATGACTTTGAGCAATCTTGTGAAAACATTCTGCCTCAATCTCTTTCTTAATATAGCAGAGTCCTAGTGAGATAACATCAGAGAACAGAAGATGATTGGTGATTTATTACTTTTCAGTTTTTACAAGTTTAAAGTGGCTTATATGACAAATATCGAAGAATGGTCCCACCTTTCCCAGAGTAGGGAGAGACCTTACTTTAGTCTGTGGATATGTTTACTTGCTGACTGTCAATGAGAATGAGACAATGACATTCACTTAAAGTGTTCAGCGGGGGGCCGGGCGCGGTGGCTCACGCCTGTAATCCCAGCACTTTGGGAGGCCGAGGCGGGCGGATCACGAGGTCAGGAGATCGAGACCATCCCGGCTAAAACGGTGAAACCCCGTCTCTACTAAAAATACAAAAAATTAGCCGGGCGTAGTGGCGGGCGCCTGTAGTCCCAGCTACTTGGGAGGCTGAGGCAGGAGAATGGCGTGAACCCGGGAGGCGGAGCTTGCAGTGAGCCGAGATCCCGCCACTGCACTCCAGCCTGGGCGACAGAGCGAGACTTCGTCTCAAAAAAAAAAAAAAAAAAAAAAAAAGTGTTCAGCGGGGAGCTCTGGACTATATTTTTCTTTTTCTGTTATGATTCTTGCTTGTCTGAAGCCTTATTTCTTTTGGTCAATACCTGTGCTAAATGTCCTGGTTGGTGGAAAATACTGTTAGGTTCAGATTCATTGAAATTCATGGCAAAAATGAAAGAAAGTCCTTAATCAAAGGCACAAGATAGATTTTGCAAAGAAATTACAGCCAGAAAATTAATCCAAAATGTGCTTTGGTTTGGGCTTCTGTACAAGCACGTCTTGGCGGCAGGTCTGGACTCGAGGTTGTGGGAGCTGCAGGAGTGGAAAATGGAAATGGCTCATCTGCACCTGCCCTTTCTCCAGAGATTTGGCTCATCATCCTCTCCCATGACACACAGGGCCAGTCCACACTCAGAGGGAAGTCTGCAGACCATCCTTCCTTGATGCCCAAGCCCCAGCAGGATGGCGCTCCAAGTCACTGTCACTAAACTGTATATGGTGTTTTACAAACAACTATATGATTGGATATAGAATGTATTTCTGTGGTATGTGTGAATTCCAGTTGTTTGCTCTAGAACAGCACTGTTCAATAGAACATTTTGCAGTGACAAAAATATTCTATAAATCTCCATGGTCCAATACAATAGCCGCTAACCACATGGCTATTAAGGATTTAAAATCTGGAACTGGATTTTTAATTTTATTTAATTTTGATTACATAATTTTAATTTAAATAGCCACATATGTCTAGGAGCTTACCATAATGGACAGTGCAGCCCTAGAAAATAACTTCATCCATTTTGATTTTATAAGTGGAAATGGAATATAACCACCCTATGATAATGACACAATTCTGACTTAGGCGCATGAACTAATTCTCTTAATTTTTACATAAATATAATGAATGAAATTTCAACACTTCTGCTATTGATGAAAAAGTAAGGCTTTAACCTTAATTGTCTAGATTGAATATATAACTGGCCAACTGCTCACTTTGATTTTTTTTCCGTTTATTATACATCTTGCATCCCACACCTAGCCATAGATAGGTAAGATTAAATTAGTTGAAGGCCGGGCGCGGTGGCTCAAGCCTGTAATCCCAGCACTTTGGGAGGCCGAGGCAGGCGGATCACTAGGTCAGGAGATCGAGACCATCCTGGCTAACACAATGAAACCCCGTTTCTACTAAAAATACAAAAAAATTAGCCGGGCATGGTGGCAGGTGCCTGTAGTCCCAGCTACTCAGGAGGCTGAGGCAGGAGAATGGTGTGAACCCAGGAGGCGGAGCTTGCAGTGAGCCGAGATCATGCCACTGCACTCCAGCCTGGCCAACAGGGCAAGACTCCATCTCAAAAAAAAAAAAAAAAAAAAAGATTAAATTAGTCTTCCATCTTAAGAGCACATAATAGGACCTTCTAATTAGGACACAAAATTATAAAAACATAAATAAAGTAAATGCAAATAATATGAATAAACTCTCTAGGTAATTCAAAATGCTGTTTGAATCAGACTTCTGAACAACTTGGTGGCATGGCTACACTGGAGCTAAATTTGCTATTATTTGAAAATTCTGAAATCAAGTACTCTAAATGATGTGTTCTAATAAGAAATAATCACCTCTTAAGAGTATGGTAACATGTGTGATACTAAGCACAAGTAATACAAAACAGCATATAACCTGAATTTTATGTATAGTTCACGTCTGGGAGGAAATGTTCCCAATGTTTGCACCAGAATTAGAAGCAACCAGAGACTCAATTGGTCTGATTCTTATAACTATGCGGGAGCTTTTCTGAGATGCTGAATGTGCACTTCTGAACCCCCTTCCACTCACCGATCTGTGTTGATCAGCCCAGATACATACAACTAACTAGAATTTCGTCACTTTTAAACCCGCACCATTGAGTTGATGCCACATCCATGAATATGATTGATTTAGACAAGACTGAAAAACATAGCGTTTTAGATAACCGGGGGTTCAGCCAAATTCTAAGGAGAGGCTTGAGAGCACCTGCTCCTCTAGTGGCATTAATATGGCTCCTGGAGGCTGGGCATGGTGGCTCACGCCTGTAATCCTAGCACTTTGGGAGGCCAAGGTGGGCAGATCGTGAGGTCAAGAGATCAAGACTATCCTGGCCAACATGGTGAAACCCCATCTCTACTAAAAATACAAAAATTAGCTGGGCATAGTGGCATGTGCCTGTAGTCCCAGCTACTCGGGAGGCTGAGGCAGGAGAATCGCTTGAACCTGGGAGGCAGAGGTTGCAGTGGGCCGAGATTGCACCAGTGCACTCCAGCCTGGGCGACAGAGCGAGACTCCATCTCAAAAAAAAAAAAAAAAAAAATGATTCCCGGAAAAATCAACCCACTTGTTTATACAGCCTGTCTTACTTCATAGGATTCTTGTGAAAATTAAATGAGATCCTGGGAGGGTTAGATGACTACAGCAGAAAGAGCAGTCAGATGATTAAAAAAATCTGAATTTTAATCCTGAGACTTTACTTAATGTCTTTGAGTTTTAGCTTTCTTACCTGCAGAATGAAGGTAGGAATGTCGGCTCCATATATCTCACAGAGTTTCTGCAAGGATCACGAAACACTCACTCTGCATGCTTTTTTTTTTTAATTCTGAGTTTGTTATAGGCACAGAGATTTCTGAATTTCTGGTCACTGTTTTTTAGATTCATTTACTTTTATCTAGTCCCTTAGTCACCAGTTGCACATATCTACAAAATGATTGGCTGGGATTAGTGGCGTGGTCTATGAAGGTGAAATTGAGTGAAACAAGAAGAACCATAAAAGGCCCCAAATCCGTGGCCTTGACTTCATTAAGCAAGCGCAATATTCATCTGTGCGATCCATCTTCAGTGAAATGCAGCCTCCTGACCTTTTGCCAGCTTAGCCCCGCTGTCAGCAGCTGGGGGGCCCTGCCACAGGGCTGGGGAGGGAGCCCCGGGTTGCCCACATTGCAGATCATCTCAGGAATATTCAAGAGGGACTGTAAAATAAACCCCCAGTCTTGTAATTTTATTTCAAAAAGCAAAAATTCTCCCAGATAATGAGCATTTTGCTCTAATAAGAACTGTAGGATTGATTAGGTTCAAACTGTTAACAGACATCCTTATGGTTAATGAAGCAGCACTGAAAATGCCTCTGGATTTTTTTGAAACTTAAATCATACAAAAGCAAGCAAAGAACTGGAGGTAGGGTGGAATAAACTGTCTGTTAGTTAATATACTCAAAATAATGGACCCAAAATGTTCTTTGAAAAGTTAATATGTATCAAGAGTTATTTCCCCAATGGGCAAGCAATAAACTTTGATGATTATTGTTGAAACATTCTTTGGATAACATATTTTTCTGTGAATCTTGAGTGGGGGACTGAAGCTTCTGCCATTTTAATTCCTTTGTTAATGTCTTTATGAATGCAATTAACACTTCATTCACGCTTCTTTGTTTCTGGATCCCATTAGGATGTGGTTTATGCCAGTTTCTCTCTCCCAGGAGACAGCCCGCATCACACAACATTTCACTCAGCTGTGTCGCTGAGCACTGACAAACTCAATTTACGAAAGGCAAGAGTGAGTTGACACCATGCTGTGGCAGTTGTCCTGATGGGAGGAAACGACTCATTTCCTTCCAAGGTAGAATCCACCTTCTCTGAGAAGCATGCTTGTGCACAAGAGTACTGAAGACAAGGAGGTAAGGAAAGCCTCTTGGCTGACACAAAGTAAAATCCCTGCAGTTGAAGAAATGCTAAAAATCAAATTTGGTTCCTGGTCTTTAAAGAAAAAACAGCTATCGCTTGCCCTGTAGGCACAACAGGCTGCTATTATCTTTATCAAACATTTAGTAAGAGCTAACTAGGTACAAAGTAAGGGAGAAGCCCAGAAGCAGAGGAAATGGTCTCTCTTTTCTGGAGCTTACAATGTAAATAAGAGGCAACAGATAAACATGACAAATACATAAGCCGGGGTGAAAGGCAACACAGCTAAGTCCTGAATGAGAAGCACAGACCAAAAGAACACTAGGAGTTCAGAAGTCTGTGATGGGGAATTTGGGGAAAGCTTTTCTGGGGAGGTGAGAATTAAATAAAAGCAGTTCCCCCAGCCATTCAATGATTGAACTCACCAGTAAAGAGGGAGAGAATAGGAGGAATTGCAGAGAGGGAAAGAGAGGCAAGCATTAGCTAAGATGCAAAGGTCCAAAATGAATAAGAAGGTTTTTGTTCATGATACATTATTTTCCCTTTATATTAAAGTCTCTCCTCCAATTGATGGCATCATTTCTATTTCAAATATCACTGTGCTATTTGCTTAACAGCCAAAGGCACTGCAAATGAATATATCTGAATCTTACTAGGAACTGTACAGAAGAAGATGCAGGAGGTCTGAAGGGAAGTCAGAGACAAAAGAAGGAAGGAAGCAAGCAAGCACTGCTCATGGTTTGGCATTATATTTTTTCTTTAAATGAAAAAAAAATCACCTATAGATAGGCCTTGTACCTGTGCTATAATTTTAAGTTCGGTTTTCTCTGACAAACACAAAAAAAGGGGAGAATTTCTAGTAAGTGTTATGAAGCATAACATATTACCAGAAAAGGAAGTAAAGCAGCTTATAGCCCAAGTCATCTGTGCCTAATATTAAAGGCGTTTTAATATGCCAAGGATGGTATTCCTTATGTAATTTTAACATTATTTAATGGTATGATAATTGGTTGTTTTCTTATTTCTGAGTTACTCCAGAAATCTAGCCCTTTTCCCATTAGCTATATATCCTTATTACCAAGATCTTCCTCACGTCTCTTTCCACCAGATCTGGGCTGTCAACGCCATCATATTCTATTAGAGTAAGGCCTGGATGTATTTCTGCCAGACTGGCCAGCCCCTAGGCATTAAAGCATTACAGACCACAGTCATGCCTAAGCACTTTTTGCATTAAGAATAAGGGTCATTTTGTTTACATTTTATCATATGAAGCTGCTCTTTGTGGGAAAAATGGCTTCCTATATTACAAATGCTTGGCCAAAGAACAACTAACATTAACATTAACACTGATTCTAATCAAAAGTGAAAGTGTTGGTAATTTTATGAAGGTTATTTCTTTCCCTAAAGCAAATAGCTGTCAATTGTCACTTTTAGAACTACCATGATTTATTGGAAGAATAACAACTCAGTAGAATTACTGAATTAATTCCCAAACATTTAAAGGGAAAAGAAAAAAAAATGATAAAAGGGATGGTCTGTATGGAGCAGGGAGGGGAAGGGATGGTTCTGAGGCTAAAAAACAAAAAAACAAAAAACCCTTTACTTCTGTCCTTGTGCATTTTTTTAAATAGAAAAAAGCCACTCTGCATTCCCTGGCCTCAAGCCACTAGGTCACTATGTAAAACATAAACAGGGTCTGTGTTTTGCTGCATTTGAGAAAGATGTAAAGGTGTAAATATGATGGAAGGGGTTTTATTTCCTTTCCCCTCTCAGGAATGGTCTGACAGCCCCAGGCTCGAGAATGTGTCTCTCCCAAGTACTCTGTCACCCTGGTAACCATGGAGACCATGACGATCGATTAGATGCCATCTGATCTCAACCTTATAAAAAAAAAGGCAGCAGATGGCAACCAGGCCACTAGACCTGTCTCAAGAGAGACGAAGAGGAAGAGCGAGAAAGAAAAGGAAGGAGGGAGAAAGGGGAGGAGGTGGGGGTGGGTTGGCGCAGGGAGAAGAGAGCCCAGAAGCAGCTCTGGAAATGAAAATTTTAGAAAAGAATGAAAATAGAAAACAAGGAAAGCAATGGAAAAAAAGAAACTAAAACCCATTGTGTGATAGACCTCTACAGTGAGTTGTGGGAAGATAATTCTACAGAGAAAGCGAATCAGCTGTCTCCTAACTTTCCACTTTTATACAGAATGGTGTGGAACCCGGGCCCCAAGGCTTCTCTGAGGGATACGCACCAAGTTGGCTCTCAGAATCGGTTGGACTTTGATGCATCCAAAAGAGAATTCTGAGACCTGGTTCTCAGAATAAATGTCCCTAATCAGATGAGACCTTTCAGGGGACTGTATGCATCAATACCTGGTATGTTTGTCAGCCCATCCCCAGCAGTGTTCTAATACTCCTTAAAGGAAGAAGCGATAACCAGGTCAGTAGATACCTAAGGTGAAAAGAAGACAAGAGCAGTTAAGTCAATTCTGGTAACCTAGGGGTCTTAGCCAGTGTCCCAGAGTAATGTAATGGCTAATATTGATGAAGTGTTTATGATATGTCAGACACTGCTAAGCACTACATACAGAATATTTAATTTAATCCAGATAACAATACCATAAGTTAGGTGCAATAATTATTCCCATTTTACAGAGAGGACCTGAGGCTTAGAGAGGTTAACTACCTTCATCAAGGGCATACCTAGAATGCAATATGTAAATGTTCAGAACAGCTTACTTATATAGAGAGTTGATTTGCTCACTCTTGTTCTTTCTTTTTCAATCCCCTCCCCTACCTTTTTTTTTGAGATGGACTTTCACTCTGTCACCCAGCCTGGAGTGCAGTAGTGCAAACTCAGCTTACTGCAACCTTCGCCTCCTGGGTTCAGGTGATTCTTCTGCCTCAGCCTCTGGAGTAGTTGAGATTACAGGTGTGCACCACCACATCTGGCTAATTTTTGTATTTTTAGTAGAGACAGGGTTTCACCATGTTGCCCAGGCTGGTCTCGAACTCCCAACCTCAGATGATCCACCCACCTTGGCCTCCCAAAGTGCTGAGATTACAGGCATGAGCCACCGCGCCTGGCCTTCTCCTCCTTTTTATTTATTTATTTTCATTTTTTATTTTTTGAGATGGTGTCTTGCTGCATCAGTCAGGCTGGTCTCAAACTCCTGGGCTCAAGTGAGCCTCTGCCTCAGCCTCCCTAGTAGCTGGGACTATAGGCATGCACTACCACACCTAGCATTTTTCCCTTTTACATTTTATTTCAGATTTTTGCAGATTACAAAACAGGACATGTCCAATATAGAAAACTGCTTAAAACAAGAGAAAGAAAGGGAAAATTATCTACAATCCCATTAGTCAGAGATACGTGTGATAAGCATGTGGATTATGTAATATACATATATATATATAGAGAGAGAGAGAGGGAGACAGACATGTATATTTTAAGCAAATATAGTATTAAATCTTAAATACTGTTTGGTTAACCTACTTTTTTTTGGAACATTATATTATGAAAAACTTTCCATATTTTTGACTCTTCTATTTTATCTGATTTAATGATTATAGCATTCTACTATCTGATGTATCATAATTTTATTTAACTACTTCCTTATTATTGGATTGTATTTCCAGATTTTTGCTACTATAAATAATGCTATGGTGATCATTCTTGTATGTAAACCTTTTTTGTACTCCTCTGACTTTTTTCTTTAGAATGAAAACATACTTGCTAAGTCAAAGTGTATGTTTTCTCAAAACTTCTAAATTGAGGTATAGCATATATACAACAAAGTGAATAAATCTCAAGTGTACTGCGATTTGAATTCTACAAGTGTATAGACAATGGGTACAACCACCACCCAGATCAATGGATTAAACATTTTCCAGAATGCTTTTCATGCCTCTTCCCAGTCAATAGCTATCCCCTGTTCTTGAACTTCATATAAATGGAATCATAGAGTGTGTATTCTTTGGTTTCTGGCTTCCTTCACTCAACATAATGTCTGTGAGATTCATCCATGCTGTGGAGTATAGCAGTAATTCATTCTTTTTATTGCTTCATAGTATCCTTTAAAAAAAAAACTACAATTTATTGATTTATTTTTTTCTGATAGACATTTAGGCTATTCTGAATAAAGCTGTTATGTATATTCTTATACATGTCTTTTGGATGACATATTTATACTTCAAAAAATATAAACTAGGAGAGGCATAACTAAATCATAGAGTAAGGCATACTTTCAGCTTTAAATGCAGAGTAAACATTTTTAAAGTTTTATTTTGCTTTTGGAGAGGGGGCCTACTTTTAAATTGATCTCCAAAACAGCTGTACCAATTTGAACTCCAACTATCCAATGTCATGAGTGTACCCTTCCCCTTCCCGCCTTACCACCAGCTAGTGGGCATTTTCATTCTTCTTAATCTTTGCCAGTGTGAGAAACAAAATGGTATCTCATTGTTTATATTGTGTTTGATGACCAAGAAAATGTTAAAAAATTCTTGCTATGTTACCAGATATTCTTGTTTCTTCTTTTGTAAATTGCCCATATACATCATTGCCCTATTTGCTATTAGCTTTAAGATAAGGCAAAAAGCTTAAATATAATCCATATAGTATGTATAGATCCATTGGCATTGTAAGAAAAATTCATTGGTATTTATAACCAAAAAATATTTACATTCTTTCCATAAGTTGACATCCTGCTCTATATATTTCAGAACGAAGTTAACATTTACAGAACACCAATTACTGAGCACATTTACTCTTTAAAACAGCCCTATTTATTTCATTCTTACAATTTCATTTAACTTCAGAGGTAGCATTTAGTTTTCATGAAAAACTCTAAAGGTATTTAATATTCTGCCTATTTTTACAAGTGCAGAAATCAAAGCTCACGGGGCTCAGGGTCACAAATGATTAAGTGGTGGGACTGGGATTTAAACCCAAGACACCTCAAGTCAAAAGTAAATTATTTTTCTCTTTTCTGTAGATGCCATTGCCTAGGTCAGTGCTCTGGCCTATCATCTGAATGTTTGTATCCTCCTAAAATGTATATGTTGAAATCCTCACCGCCATAGGTGATGCTGTTAGGAACTGGGGGCCCTTGGGAGGTGACTGAGTCTCGTGAAGGCAGGCCATCATGAATGATCAGTGTCCTTATGAGAGCTGCCCCCCAAATTTCCCTCACCTCTTCCACTATGTGAGGACACAGCAAGAAGGCACCATTTTTGAACAAGGAAGTTAGCCCTTACCAGACACCAAATCTGCTAGCACCTTGATCTTGGGCTTCCCAGACTCCAGAAATGTGAGAAATAACATTTCTATTACTTGTAAGTCACTCAGGTATGGTATTTTGTTACAGCTACCCGAACAGACTAAGATAAGCAGTGATTCTCTTTTTTTTTCCCCCACATTTCAAACCCTAAGAGGGCATCTGAATTCTAGAACCCCATCCTTAACTCCCTTCCATTCTCAACACACATCTACCATTCCACTACCAAAGTCCAAAGAGTATCAGGATCTCTGGGCTATCAAGAAGATGGAGAATATGAAAAAAATCCATGTTAGCTCATTTATTTTAGAAACTTTTCTTTGTGTGTGGTGTGTTTTAAAATCTGAGTAATGGTTTAATAAATCCAGAAGTAGAATAAGTAGAAGCAGAAGTGAATCTAGGATCTTTTCCTCTTGATAAGTTACTCCTTTTGGGGTCTGAAGCTTACATAATTTTAGAGGCTTTTTAAAAGAAAAAGATGACAAGAATATTTATACAAAATTAGGTTTGAGTGTTGATTTAAAGTGAGAAAAGAAATTGCTATCAATTACACATTTTAAAAATATTTAACTGCCACAAGAATCACAAAATTAAAAATATATATATATACATGGTACTTAATTGCCCTGACACCCCTATATAATTATGCCTTCATTTTTTGGCTCTATATATTCTTGGGTCACGACTTCATATAACAAAGATTTTTGTAGTATTTTCTATCAAGAGGGTACATATAAAGATAGATTAGTCTTTCCAGTAGCATGGTTGATCAAATTTGTTTTTCATTAAGAATTTGGAAAAGTTTCTGTGAGCTTCATAACTCATTATTTGTACTATCACATAAATGCTTGGGATCACAGTTTTAGGAAATTTCCATCAAATTTTTGTCATATGTGAACTCTAAGATTTCAGAGTATCTCTAATTTGTTTTCGTTGTTGTTACTGTTCAATGACTAATCTTTTTTTCTCTTTGAATTTAATGAATTTACATAAAAAAATTAGGTAGTCATTTTGCATTTAAGGAATAAAAATCTTTAAAAAAATACAAAGAATGGAAGGATTTTAGCCAAGTTTACACTTCTTTTTGCTATAATTTGTAACAATTCAGCTCATCATAACTTAATGCAATGTGCAAATGCAGCACGTATTACGATCACTTAACTAAATTTAAGGAAGTACATTGTTAATAGTGGCCCTCAGAGGAAATAGATTTATCTTCTTGTAAAAACTCCATGGTATATAAACATTACATAATAATGCTACTTAACCACCTCTTGTCTCAAGAATCATTACCCGGCGAGGTGCGGTGGCTCATGCCTGTAATCCCAGCACTTTGGGAGGCTGAGGCGGGCAGATCACGAGGTCAGGAGTTCGAGACCAGCCTGACCAACATGGTGAAACCCCGTCTCTACTAAAAATACAAAAATTAGCCAAGTGTGGTTGCGGGTGCCTGTAATCCCAGCTACTTGGGAGGTTGAGGCAGGAGAATCACTTGAACCCGGGAGGTGGAGGTTGCAGCCGAGATCCAGCCTGGGCAACAGAGCAAGACTCTGGTCTCAAAAAAGAAAAAAACAAAAACAAAACAAAAAAACCACAAATGCTTTAATAGTTTTAAAGCAAAAGCTGTTAGAGTCTAGATAGCTAAAACTATACTTGTGAGTTCAAGCTTACAGATAAGTAGCTCTTAATAAAATATATTTTGATATATGTAGTTCTTTTTTTTTTTTTTTTTTTTTTTTTGAGACAGTCTCGCCCTGTCACCCAGGCTGGAGTGCAGTGACATGATCTCGGCTCACTGCAAGCTCCGCCTCCTGGGTTCACACCCATTCTCCCGCCTCAGCCTCCCAAGTAGCTGGGACTACGGGCGCCCGCCACCACACCCAGTTAATTTTTTTGTATTTTTAGGAGAGACAGGGTTTCACTGTGTTAGCCAGGATGGCCTCGATCTCCTAACCTTGTGATCCGCCTGCCTCAGCCTTCCAAAGTGCTGGGATTACAGGTGTGAGCCACCGTGCCCAGCAAGTAGTTCTTTTAAGTAGTTCTTAATAAAATATCCTTCCTCCCCATG